>NC_000003.12:41525151-41828181 GCF_000001405.40 Homo sapiens | reverse complement strand
GTGGGTTTGTCATAGATAGCTCTTATTATTTTGAGATAGGTCTCATCAGTACCTAATTTTTGAGAGTTTTTAGCATGAAGGGCTGTTGAATTTTGTCAAAGGCCTTTTCTGCATCTATTGAGATAATCATGTGGTTTTTGTCTTTGGTTCTGTTTATATGCTGGATTATGTTGATTGAGTTGTGTATGTTGAACCAGCGTTGCATCCCAGGGATGAAGCCCACTTGATCATGGTGGATAAGCTTTTTGATGTGCTGCTGGATTTGGTTTGCCCGTATTTTATTGGGGATTTTTGCATCAGTGTTCATCGGGGATATTGGTCTAAAATTCTCTTTTTTGGTTGTGTCTCTGCCAGGCTTTGGTATCAGGATGATGCTGGCCTCATAAAATGAGTTAGGGAGGATTCCCTCTTTTTCTATTGATTGGAATAGTTTCAGAAGGAATGGTACCAGCTCCTCCTTGTACCTCTGGTAGATTTTGGCTGTGAATCCATCTAGTCCTGAACTTTTTTTGGTTGGTAAGCTATTAATTATTGCCTCAATTTCAGATCCTGTTATTGGTCTATTCAGAGATTCAACTTCTTCCTGGTTTAGTCTTGGGAGGGTGTATATGTCGAGGAATTTATCCATTTATTCTAGATTTTCTAGTTTATTTGCATAGAGGTGTTTGTAGTATTCTCTGATGGTAGTTTGTATTTCTGTGGGATCGGTGGTGATATCCCCTTTGTCATTTTTTATTGCGTCTATTTGATTGTTGTCTGATAGTCTTGCTAGTGGTCTATCAATTTTGTTGATCTTTTCAAAAAACCAGCTCCTGGATTCACTGATTGTTTTGAAGGGTTTTTTGTGTCTCTGTCTCCTTCAGTTCTGCTCTGATCTTAGTTATTTCTTGCCTTCTGCTAGCTGTTGAATGTGTTTGCTCTTGCTTCTCTAGTTCTTTTAATTGTGATGTTAAGGTGTCAATTTTAGATCTTTCCTGCTTTCTCTTGTGGGCATTTAGTGCTATAAATTTCCCCCTACACACTGCTTTGAATGTGTCCCAGGTATTCTGGTATGTTGTGTCTTTGTTCTCGTTGGTTTCAAAGAACATCTTTATTTCTGCCTTTGTTTCGTTATGTACCCAGTAGTCATTCAGGAGCAGGTTGTTCAGTTTCCATGTAGTGGAGCGGTTTTCAGTGAGTTTCTTAATCCTGAGTTCTAGTTTGATTGCACTGTGGTCTGAGAGACAGTTTGTTGTAATTTCTGTTCTTTTACATTTGCTGAGGAGAGCTTTACTTCCAACTATGTGGTCACTTTTGGAATAGGTGTGTTGTGGTGCTGAAAAAAATGTATATTCTGTTGATTTGGGGTGGAGAGTTCTGTAGATGTCTATTAGGTCCGCTTGGTGCATAGCTGTGTTCAATTCCTGGATATCCTTGTTAACTTTCTGTCTCGTTGATCTGTCTAATGTTGACAGTGGGGTGTTAAAGTCTCCTATTATTATTGTGTGGGAGTCTAAGTCTCTTTGTAGGTCTCTAAGGACTTGCTTTATGAATCTGGGTGCTCCTGTATTGGGTGCATATGTATTTAGGATAGTTAGCTCTTCTTGTTGAATTGATCCCTTTACCAGTATATAATGGCCTTCTTTGTCTCTTTTGATCTTTGTTGGTTTAAAGTCTGTTTTATCAGAGACTAGGATTGCAACCCCTGCCTTTTTTTGTTTTCCATTTGCTTTGTAGATCTTCCTCCATCCCTTTATTTTGAGCTTATGTGTGTCTCTGCACATGAGATGGGTTTCCTGAATACAGCACCCTGATGGGTCTTGACTCTTGATCCAGTTTGCCAGTCTGTGTCTTCTAATTGGAGCATTTAGCCCATTTACATTTAAGGTTAATATTGTTATGTGTGAATTTGATCCTGTCATTATGATGTTAGCTGGTTATTTTGCTCGTTAGTTGATTCAGTTTCTTCCTAGCCTCCATCGTCTTTACAATTTGGCATGTTTTTGCAGTGGCTGGTACTGGTTGGTCTTTCCATGTTTAGTGCTTCCTTCAGGAGCTCTTGTAGGGCAGGCCTGGTGGTGTCAAAATCTGTCAAAATTTGTTTGTCTGTAAAGTATTTTATTTCTCCTTCACTTACGAAGCTTAGTTTGGCTGGATATGAAATTCTGGGTTGAAAATTCTTTTCTTTAAGAATGTTGAATATTGGTCCCCACTCTCTTCTGGCTTGTAGAGTTTTTGCGAAGAGATCCGCTGTTAGTCTGATGGGCTTCCCTTTGTGGGTAACCCGACCTTTCTCTCTGGCTGCCCTTAACATTTTGTTCTTCATTTCAACTTTCATGAATCTGACAATTATGTGTCTTGGAGTTGCTCTTCTTGAGAAGCATTTTTGTGGCGTTCTCTGTATTTCCTGAATTTGAATGTTGGCCTGCCTTGCTAGATTGGGGAAATTCTCCTGGATAATATCCTGCAGAGTGTTTTCCAGCTTGGTTCCATTCTCCCTGTCACTTTCAGGTACACCAATCAGACGTAGATTTGGCCTTTTCACATAGTCCCGTATTTCTTGGAGGCTTTTTTCATTTCTTTTTATTTTTTGTTTAAACTTCTCTTCTTGCTTCATTTCATTCATTTGATCTTCCATCACTGATACCCTTTCTTCCAGTTGATCGAATTGGCTACCGAGGCTTGCGCCTTTGTCACGTAGTTCTTGTGCCATGGTTTTCAGCTCCATCAGGTCCTTTAAGGACTTCTCTGCATTGGTTATTCTGGTTAGCCATTTGTCTAATTTTTTTTCAAGGTTTTTAACTTCTTTGCCATAGGTTCGAACTTCCTCATTTAGCTTAGAGTAGTTTGATCATCTGAAGCCTTCTTCTCTCAACTCGTCAAAGGCATTCTCCATCCAGCTTTGTTCCGTTGCTGGTGAGGAGCTGCATTCCTTTGGAGGAGGAGAGGTGCTCTGATTTTTAGAGTTTCCAGTTTTTCTGCTCTGTTTTTTCCATCTTTGTGGTTTTATCTACCTTTGGTCTTTGATGATGGTGATGTACAGATGGGGTTTTGGTGTGGATGTCCCTTCTGTTTGTTAGTTTTCCTTCTAACAGACAGGACCCTCAGCTGCAGGTCTGTTGGAGTTTGCTGGAGGTCCACTCCAGACCCTGTTCACCTGGGTATCAGCAGCGGAGGCTGCAGAACAGCGGATATTGGTGAACAGCAAATGTTGCTGCCCGATTGTTCCTCTGGAAGTTTTGTCTCAGAGGAGTACCCAGCCCTGTGAGGTGTCAGTCTGCCCCTACTGGGGGTGCCTCCCAGTTAGTCTATTCGGGGGTCAGGGACCCACTTGAGGAGGCAGTCTGTCCGTTCTCAGATCTCCAGCTGTGTGCTGGGAGAACCACTACTCTCTTCAAAGCTGGCAGACAGGGACATTTAAGTCTGTAGAGGTTTCTCCTGCCTTTTGTTTGGCTATGCCCTGCCCCCAGAGGTGGAGTCTACAGAGGCAGGCAGGCCTCCTTGAACTGCGGTGGGCTCCACCCAGTTCGAGCTTCCTGGCTGCTTTGTTTACCTACTCAAGCCTCGGCAATGGTAGGCACCCCTCCCCCAGCATCGCTGCTGCCTTGCAGTTTGATCTCAGACTGCTGTGCTAGCAATGAGCGAGGCTTCATGGGCGTAGGACCCTCCGAGCCAGGCGTGGGATATAATCTCCTGGTGTGCTGTTTGCTAAGACCATTGGAAAAGTGCAGTATTAGGGTGCGAGTGACCCGATTTTCCAGGTGCCGTCTGTCACCCCTTTCTTTGACTAGGGAAGGGAATTCACTGACCCCTTGCGCTTCCCCGGTGAGGCAATGCCTCACCCTGCTTTGTCTTATGCTCGGTGTGCTGCACCCACTGTCCTGCACCCACTGTCCGACACTCCCCAGTGAGATGAACCTGGTACCTCAGTTGGAAATGCAGAAATCACCCATCGTCTGCATCGCTCATGCTGGGAGCTGTAGACTGGAGCTGTTCCTATTTGGCTATCTTGGCTCCTCCTTTTTTTTTTTTTTTTTTTAAAGATAGAGTCTCATTCTCTCACCCAGGCTGGAATGCAGTGACATAATCTTGGCTCACTGCAACCCCCACCTCCTGGATTCAAGCAATTCTCCTGTTTCAGCCTCCTGAGTAGCTTGGACTTCAAGTGTACACCACCACACCTGGCTAATTTTTGTATTTTTAGTAGAAATGGTGTTTCGCCACATTGGCCAGACTGGTCTTGAACTCCTGACCTCAAGTGATCTGCCTGCCTCAGTCTTCCAAAGTATTGAGATTATAGGCGTGAGCCACCATGCCCAGCCCTTGGTATATACTTTAACTGAATACAAGCTAGGCTATTTGAATAAAGGGATGATAATGTGGCCATGACATTTAACTACATCTCGTGATAGCAAACTGGAAAAGGAAGTTAAGTCCCTGAGTCTACAAAAATAAATAACTTTTCAGGACATGAGGGCTTTGTGGAATTGTCAGTTTGAGTACAATAAACATTAAAATCTCAGGTCAGTGCTAACCTGTTGGTACTGAGCTGAAGTGATTATATATAGTATACATAATACAACAACCTGAGTCTTGTTGGCTCTCTAGTAACACCCTAAGGTTTCAGGCTTACAGACAGAAGACCAGAGTGTGATTCTGCAGAGGGTATTATAAGGCAACACATTTTCAGTTTTTGTGTTTTTCTTGATTTTGTCAAGGATACCTATCACCCTGAGTTCAGGTATTCTTATTTTGTCTTTTTTGTTTTATCCCATAATTTCTTTCTTCATTGTCACAGCCAAAGTCTCTGTAATTACCTTCTGGGCCCTTTTGGGCTGGCTCTTCAGAACCTGTCTGACCTAATTCCTCACTATCTTCCTACTCACTCCTTCCAGCTATACTGACCTCCCCACAGTTCCTTAAACCCACTATGCCATGCTTCTGCCTCACTATATTGACATTTGCTGTTTCTCCTGCTTCTAATATTTTCTTCTGAGTTGTTTGTATTTTCTGTGTGCTCAAAAATCCCTTCAGAAAGCCTTTCCCTGTCTCTGAGTGATCTGAGATGGAGCCAGCCTGTCTACAGTCTTTCTGCAACCTCTTACTCTGCTGTTTTTCTTTATAGCACTCATCATTATCTTGACTGACTTACTTTGTTTACTTCTTTAAAAAAAAAATCTCGGCCGGGCGTGGTGGCTCATGCCTATAATCCCAGCACTTTGGGAGGCTGAGGCAGGTGGATCATGAGGTCAAGAGATCGAGACCATCCTGGCTAACATGGTGAAAACCGGTCTCTTCTAAAAATACAAAAAAATTAGCCGGGTGTGGTGGTGGGCGCCTGTAGTCCCAGCTACTTGGGAGGCTGAGGCAGGAGAATGGCGTGAACCTGGGAGGCGGAGCTTGCAGTGAGCCAAGATGTTGCCACTGCACTCCAGCCTGGGTGACAGAGCGAGACTGTCTCAAAAAAAAAAAAAAAAAAATCTCAGCCCGGCATGGTGGCTTATGCTTGTAATCCCAGCACTTTGGGAGGCTGAGGCGGGTGGATCACCTGAGCTCAGGAGTTTGAGACGAGCCTGGCCAACATGGCGAAATGCTGTCTCTACTAAAACTACAAAAAATTAGCCGGGTGTGGTGGCTCAGGCCTGTAATCCCAGCTACTTGGGAGGTTGAGGCAGGAAAATTACTTGAACTTAGGAGGTGGTGGTTGCAGTGAGCTGAGATCATGCCACTGCACTCCAGCCTGGGCAACAAGAGCGAAACTTGGTATCAAAAACAAAACGAAACGAACGACAAAAAACAAGAAAAACAAAATGAAACAAAAAAAATCTCAGTCTTCCACTAAGCACTATTAAGGAAGAAAATGTATTTGCCTCATTATGGATTACGGCCGTTATTAAGAAGAGTTTCTGGTGCACCGTAGGTGCTTTTTTCATGCATGAACTGCACCAAGGCCAGTGGGACAGGAGAGAAGTGAGGAAGGAGGCAGGGTTGGAGAGACTGGCAGGGACATGATCATGAAGGGCTCCTCACCAGTCCGATGTCTTGGTCTTGATCCGAAGAGCAAGGGGAACTCATTAAAGAGTTTTAAGAGGGTAATTATGTCAGCTGATTTGCATGCCAAAAAGATAATTCTGGTTTAAATGTGGAGAGTAGAGTGGAGACTGAAAACAGGATTCTGAGAGCCTGGATGAGAGTAAGCAACGCAGGAGCAAAATTAGGAGAGAGAAGTGGGTATTTCAGGAAAGGGAAAGTCAGTAGGGCTGAATGTAGTTTAAGGCCCAATTTAAAGGACTAAGAGGGATCTGTTGGATTTAATGACATGAAAGTCACTGGTAACTCAGCAAGAGCTTTTTATATATTTATTTATTTTTCCTGTTATGAGGGAGATAGAAGTCGTCATATTGGAGTGGGCGAGGAGTTAGTGGAAGGTGAGGAAACTGAGAAAGTCAGTGTAAAGTGAGGATAGTTGTGAAAAGGGGCCAAGGGATGAGGAGGGTCTTGTTTTCAAAATGAGATACCGTGACCCTATTCAGGTGGAAACAGGAAAGACCCAGAGGGGATAAGATGTTGAAAATTTAGGAGCAATAAGGGATAGTCCATTAGCTAATGACCCTGAAGAAGGGAGGATGGGGATGGGATCCTGAGCCCAAGTGGAGGGACAGGAATGGAGGAACCTGTCCTGTTATAACCATTGGGCAGAAGTAGCAGATGGCTTTATGTGGAGGAAAGTTTGTCTTTCCTTTCTCAGAACTTCCATTCTCTTTATCTGTGAAGGAGGAGAGTAGGTGAAGTGGTGGGAGCGTCATAGCTTTAAAATAGCCTTTTCAGGGAGGGTGGTGATAAGAGAAATAGTAGGTCTGGAGATGGATGTTGAAGGTCCCCTGAGGATGCTGATCCCAAGTAAGTAATGGACTCTGTGCTCTCTGGTGCCACCTTCTCTAAGGGCCCAGTTGTCTGAGAGCAGACTTAGAGAAAACAAGCAGCTGGCTTTCTCAGAGGTTGAGGTTTCCCAAACAAGAGTAAAGGGACAACTAAAGAGACTGATAGTTTAGGTTTTGGGCAGGAGTGATTAAATGATGGGTACGGGATTCTAAGTGGCTGGGAGTGAAGTAGGTGATCTGTTGAGGGAAAGAAGGGCCAAGGGAGAGGGCACAGAGTCCACTGATGTTAAGGGTTGTGGTGGGCATTTTAAATAAGGGAAGAATAAGGGAAGGAAAGAAAGTTGTGTTTGCAAGTTAAATTTAGTGTGAATTAGTGATTTTTGAGTTGGAGCAGCTCCTGATCATAATGTCCAGGGTATAACCATATGTGGAATTCTATAATCAAGTAAGGGAATGGTTTTAATGGGTCATGATTCTTCTCATGGGTGTAAAATACTTTTGGATTAGTAATGTACTAATTCTTTTTTTAAAATTTCAACTTTATTTTAGATTCAGGGTGTACATGTGTAGGTTTGTTACATGAATAGATTGGATGATGCTGCGGTTTGGGGTACAACTGATCCTACCTCCCAGGTAGTGAACATAGTAGTCAATATGCAGTTTTTCAGCCCTTACTCCTGTCCCACCCTCCCCACTTGTTGTAGTCTCTAGTGTCTTTTGTTCCTATCTTCTGTCTGTGTGTATTCATGTTTAGTTCTCACAAGTGAGAACACGTGGTATTTGATTTTCTGTTCTTGCTTCAATTTGCTTAGGATAATGGCCTCCAGCTGCATCCGTGTTGCTGCAGTAGTATTTCGTGGTGGATATATACTACATTTTCTTTATCCACTTCACTGTTGATGGGCACCTAAGTTGATTCCATGTTTTTGCTCTTGTGAATAGTGCTACGATGAATATATGAGTGTGTGTGTGTTTTTGGTAGAATGATGTATTTTCCTTTGGGTATATAACCAGTAATGGGATTGCTGGTTCAAATGGTAGTTCTGTTTTTAGTTCTTTGAGATATCTCCAAACTATTTTTCATAGTAGCTGAAGTAAATTAATAATGTACTAATTCTGTCATTTGGACAATCTTGAGTATGTTCCGTAAGTAGAACCTAATTTTTTCTGCTTTAAAAAATTAGTTTTTTTCATCTTTCTGTGTGGTACCTGATTTATTTTCTGATTGTATTTGATAGGTTGCAGGAGTGTGCTTGTGGTTATTACACTAATTTGGTTAATCTTCTGGGAGAGAATTATTGCTCATGTCATTAAAATCAGTGTACCCGCTTATTTGCTCATTTTATTTAGTTCCTTGTCTTACTAGGTAACATAATACCTTTTACTTGTGCTTGTGAATTATCCTGAGATATTACTCAAACTTGTGTTTTCTATGCTTTCAAATCATTCCAGATAATGTAATACTTTTCAGATAGTTGTATCTGTATTATCATCTACAATTATCATTAGATTGATTTATCTGTCAGATCATATTGGATCATATTGTCATTTCTCAATATTTTAAATCTACCTTCTAATGAGGGGATCTTACCCACATCATATATAATGCAATGAGAAATAGAATAAATATCTTGTATGTACAATGCAGTAAAAGATCCTTGATCTAGTCGTTATCATCAGATAGTAAGTAATACTTTAAATAGACTATTAAGTTTTAGATAGTTTGTATACTTGGAGCTGTGCCATTTGCTTGAATGGGTTAATATCTTTCGTGCTGTTAGCTTCACTGCCTTTTTTTTTCCCACTTCATTTTAGGAAGAAAAAAAAAAGAACCCTAGAGAGTGCTGGGCTGTTCCCTTGGCTGCATACACAGTGCTAATGAGGTGCCTTCGGGAAGGGGTAAGGCTCCTTTGTTGTCCTCTGTAGATGCTGGCAATTGTAATAACCCTTCAGGCACTGTATGAGGATTGTAGCCTGCAGCAGTGCAGGAGCTTGTCAACCAAGTATTGCTCCTGAATTTAAATAATCCCGACAACCTACCATGAGCAAGTGACCTACAGTGGAGCAAGTGTAAAAATGATCTAGCTTTCTCATTCACTTGTTTAAATGTCTTGCTTTTTAAAGGAATGATAGCTTATATAAACAATGTAACTAACATTCAATAGCATATTCTTAATTACCCTCCGCACTCCCCCTTTAAAATTATTGATACACTAGTTTAGTAAGCAAGGTGTATGCAGCGAATTTTCTGTGAGCCTGAGACAACCCATGATTATCTTGTCAGATTGCCATTTTGAGGTTTAGAGACAGGGAAGCTTCTAGTATCCATTGCTTTTAATATTAAGTAGTATTTATTACGTGATGTGATTTTTCAGTTTATTCACATCATTTCTTAAGCAATTGTTAATGGCTGAAAGCCAGCCAGCTGGCCAACCAACCAGCTCATCTATATGTAGCTCCCACGTGTAACTATGTAAAGGATTTAGAAACCAACCTAAAAGGTTGGCATTTTCCATTTGCGTTAAATCATTTGACATTGTTTCACCCAAGGCAAAGCCATAGGGTGAAAACATTCCTTCAGGAATGAGAAAGATATATCAGGATAAACATCTTTCTTTTGAGTTCATTGCTTCCTACTTTATATGGTAACAGAATCATGTTCCAAGTGTAGAAAAACTCCCTGAGGTTTTCCCCTGTGATCCAGAAGAAAAGTTTGAACTCTTCCCAGCCTGTAGGTTTGAATACCTAGTCATTTGTCATTATGGGATATGATGTATATTATCAATTGTACTTTGTCAATAATATGAGAATTAAGTCATTCTCAGCTATCATCAAAAGACGTGTTTGGGTTTAACATTCAGAGCTTCAAGCTAGGTGCACTTAGAGGCACACAGATGAAAAAATTCCTATTCACACACAGACCTCACCTATTGTGGGAGTGAAAATAAAAATATAAAGTGGAATGTGTCAAACACATAAATGCAAAAGAACAAAATATAGGAACTCAAGGGAGAGAGAAGGCTTTTAGGGATCCTGTTGACAGTGTAAAAGTCATTATTGTGAATAGTGCTGTGATAAAGATGGGAATACAGGAGTGCAGTTGTCTCTTTGATATACTGGTTTTCTTTCTTTAGCATATATACCCAGCAGTGGGACTGCTGGATCATATGGTAGCTCTATTTTTAGTTAGTTTTTTTTTTTTTTTTTTGAGGAAACTCCTTACTGTTTTCTATAATGGCTTTACTAATTTACATTCCCACCAACGGTATGGAAGAGTTGTCCTTTCTTCACATCCTTGCCATCATCTGTTGTCTTTTTGATAATCGCCATTTTAATTGGGGTGAGATGGTATCTTATTGCGGTTTTGATTTGCATTTCCCTGATGATTAGTGTTGTTGGGTCTTTGGTCATGTACCTGCTAGCAATTTTTATGTCTTCTTTTGAGAAATGTCTATTCAGATCTTTTGTCCATTTTCAAATTGGGTTATTTGGTTTTTTTGCTCTTGAGTTGAAGTCCTTATATATTCTGGTTATTTCTTAAAATTTCAACTTTTATTTTAGATTTAGGGGGTACATGTGCAGGTTTGTTACATGGGTATATGCTGTGGTTTGGGGTTATGACTGATCCTGTCACCCAGGTAGTGAGCATAGTATCCAGTAGGTAGTTTTTCAGCCCTTATTCCCTGTCCACCTTCTCCCCTCTAGAAGTCTCCAGTGTCTGTTGTTTCCTTCTTTCTGTCCATGTGTACCCAATGTTAGTTCTCACTTATAAGTGAGAACACATGGTATTTGGTTTTCTGTACCTGCTTTAATTTGTTTAGGATAATGGCTTCCAGCTGCATCCATGTTGTTGCAAAGAACATGATTTTATAATTTTTTATGGCTGCATAGTTCTTTTATGATGTATATGTACTACATTTTCTTTGTCCACATATTCCGGTTGTTAATCTCTTAGCTAAGATATGGAATCAACCTAGGTGTCCATCAGTGGATGAATGAATACAGAAAATGTGGCATATATATACCATGAAATATTATTTAGCTAAACAGTGAATTGATCAGTTCTTAATGCTGAACTCTATGTAAATGGAATGGCGCCACATTCTTTTGAGACTTAATTCTTTTGCTTTTAAAGCTAGATTAGTTTACATGCTGATTGTGTAAACTATAGTTCATTTGGACCACTGTGTAGGGTGTTGTTGAAATATGCCTCATTGCACATGCGTGAGTACACACACACACACACACACACACAGTTTCCCCACATCACTGAGTGAAAGTGTGTCTTCTCTCCCCTGCTCTGCAGTGTCACCTCTGTCACATCAGTTGACATGTCTCTTTTTGGGCTCTATTTGGTTCTGTTGGTCTACTTATTTCTGGGCTCTGTGTGTGCGCATGTGTGTGTATCAATTTATACTCCCACCAGCAGGGTATGGAAGTACTTATTAACCCATATCTTCGCAAACATTTGACATAGGCAAACTTAAAATTTTTGTCAATCTGGTGGGCATTAAAGTGGTTTATTTTTTATTTTTTGAGAGAGGATTTCACTCTGTCATCCTGGCTCCCTGCAACCTCCGCCTCTGGGATCAAGTGATCCTCCTGCCTCAGCCTCCCAAGTAGCTGGGACTACACATGCATACTACTATGCCTGGCTAATTTTTGTATTTGTAGAGACAGAGTTTCACCATGTCGCCCAGGCTAGTCTTGAACTCATAGGCTCTAGGAATCCACCTCCCTCGGCCTCCCAGAGTTGGGATTACAGGCGCCAGCCACTGCACCCAGCCATGGTTTCTTATAGTAGTTTTAACATGTATTTCTCTGATTACTAATGAGGATGACCATCTTTTTCTATTTACCTCGTGTTTTGGGCTTCCTGTTTTGAAAAGTGCTTGTGAAGTCTTAAACTTGTTTTTTTCCTATTGCTTCGTAGGAACTCTGAATCCTCTACAACCTATTATTATAAAATGTTTCAAAGATTAGAAAAGAAAAGAAAGCTGTAATAATCACCTTTGTTTCCATCACCTAGATTAAACAGTAAACATTTTGTCCTGTTTGCTTTGCTGTAATATGTGTGTGTGTGAGTATGTGTGTATTCATGTGCATGTGCATTTATTCATTTTCTTTACAGTGTCTATTGATAGGCAGGAGTTCTTAATTTTAATGTAGCCACTTTATATATAATATATAATATGTATATATAAGACTCTGTGTGTGTGTGTCTGTATGTGTGTATACACATACAATCTTGCTATGTTGCCCAGGCTGGTCTTGAACTCCTGGGCTCAAGCAATCCTTCTGTCTCAGCCTCCCAAGTAGCTGGGATTGTAGTTATGCATGCCACCATGCTCTGTGTAGCTCAGTTTATCTATTCCTTTATGATTTGTGCTTTTTGTATCTTATGAAATGCTTCTCTCCTCCAACATCACTAAGAGAGTCTATTACATTTTGTTCTGAAAGTCTTATTTTTTCTTTTCCCATTTAGAGTTTTAATCTATTTGTAATTATCTTTGGTGTGTGGTGCTATGTGTAGGTCCAGTTGGTTTTTAAAAATAAAAATAGTCAAGTGAAGAATCCCTTATCCAGACCCAATTTAAGGTAGGAGCCCCCAGTGCCTACAACTAAGTATAAAAGATGTGAACAATAACTTCCCCCATCTCCCTGCTACCCCACTGATCTGAGGAGGGCATTGAGGACGTATTTGCAGCTGGGAGTGCAGGTTGCAGGAGGGAAATCCCACAAGAAGCTAAAAGCATAAGCAGGTCCTCACTTGATTTACAGAGTATTGCCTTCAAGAAGCACAGTTGCTCTGACAGCTAATTTCTTAGCAGCAACAACTGTAGTAAAAAAAAGTGAAATCGTATATTTCATTGTTAATAAAGTATTGTCAATTCACAAATGTATTCACATAAAATATGTATTTCAAGAGCAATAGAATAACCATGAATATGAAAGGAATTAGGAAAAAAAGAAACAAAAAAGACACGAAGAAATACAAAACAGATGGAACAAATAGCACAAAATATGATGAAAGTTATAAATGAAACTGTGCCAACAATCATAATAAATGTAAATGGACTGAATAGTTAAGAGAAAATGACTATAAAACAGAATTAGGGTAGGCATGTGGCTCACGCCTGTAATCCCAGCACTTTGGGAGGCCAAGGCAGGCGGATCATGAGGTCAGGAGTTCAAGAACAGTCTGATGAAAATGGTGAAACCATGTCTCTGCTAAAAATACAAAAATTAGTCGGGCGTGGTGGTGCATGCCTGTAATTCCAGCTACTCGGGAGGCTGAGGCAGGAGAATCGCTTGAACCTGGGAGGCAGAGGTTGCAGTGAGTTGAGATCACACCACTACACTCCAGCCTGGGCAACAGAACAAGACTCCATCTCAAAAAAAAAAAAAAAAAAGGACAGAATTAGAAAATAAACAGTATGAAAAGACATCTAAAACATAAAGTTATAGAAAGACTGAAAGAGAATGAAAAAAGATACACGTCATATGTACCTAATCCAAAGAAGTGTGGTTAGCTATATTATTATCAGATAAAATAGGCTTTGGGCAAAAAGCAATATGGGAGATTTTTAAGGTCACAATATGATGATGAAAATTATAATAAACCAAGGGAAAAGGCAATCTAAAATTTTAATGTATCTAATAACTAGCAGTCAAAATACATGAAAGCAAAATATGACAAAATTGCAACCCTAAGAGGGCAATTTAAACACATATCTCAGTATCTGATAAAACAGACAAAAACAATCAGCATAGACCTAGAAGATCTATATCTGCCTAGAAAATTAACAAGCTTGACCTAATGTGTAGAAAAAACATCTCTCCAAAGTGACAGAACTCACCACCCGCCCAAGTATATACGTACTGAGCCATAAGGAAAATCTCAACAAATTCCAAAGAAGTGGAATCATGCATACATCTTTCTCTCTAACCATAATCTCATTAAACTAAAAACAATAATAAAAAGTAAAAGGCCAGAAAGGCAGATACTAAATGAGAAAGCGACAGAAAAGTTATAGATTTTGTTAAGCATACAAAGCTTGTATGGTGTAAAGCAGTCAAAGGGATATGAAAATTTACACAGAAATCCAACCAATATAAATCCTTGAAAGATACTACATACAGATATTTCATCAGTTCTCACATGTCAAACCCAGCAAAGCCAAACTTTGGAGCCTCCCCTGCGAGCAGACCTGCCACAGGAGGACAGCCAGCACAAACCTCCCGTTTGCAGTGAAAATGCTACATTGTGTGTGCTGCTTACCCCATCACCTCTTTGGCAGCGGTCTACCCCACTCAGCGCTGGCTGAGAATCACTTCCCTCATACCACTCTCAATAGTTCACTCCAAGACACACTGGGCAACTCTGTACCTGGTAAGCCATTGTGAATCCAACTAATAATGGCATTCAGAAAGTTAGGAATCTTTGAAGTATTAGATTCATAGTGAGATTCAAAAGAAAGAAAACAACATCGTTTCTGTTCCACACACGTTGCCCACCTTCACTGCATGAAAGGCAAGGGGAATTGTGAGTACCCACAAAGAACCTGATATTGATGGCACATACATTTCTTCACTAGAAATTTAGACTGTAGGATAAATTTAGACTGTAACAATTTAAAAAACCAGAAAATATAACTGTACATTTTAGCTCTTATTAAAATCCAAGAGATTTAACTTACTTGCTCCTTGTTTAGGTAATTAGTGTCTAAAACATTTCAAAGATAACATATATAATGGCTAGCATTTCTAGTACTTTTAAAAAATTCAAGCCCAGTCTCTTCTAATTAAATGTATAAATTATTTGTCACTGGCTTTCTCAAAAAGAAGAACAAAGAGCCCTAATTAAAAAGTAAAAATTAAATTTCCTCTTAGAAAATTGTTACATCAGAATTATCTAATAAACTATAGTTCAGAAAATAATTTTGGAATTAAGAAAATATGAATAATAAAACCAATAGTTTATGTTCTGAATTTCAAATTTTTATTTTTTATTATTTTTTAAATTTTAAGTTCTAGGGTATGTGTGCAGGATTGTTACATAGGTAAACGTGTGCCATGGTGGTTTGGTACACCTATCAACCCATCACCTAAGTATTAAACCCAGCATGCATTAGCTGTTTTTTCTGATGCTCCTCCCCCACCTGCCCTGACAGGCCCCAGTATGCATTGTTCCCCTTCCTGGGTCCATGTGTTCTCATTGAACCTCACATTTTTAAATACAGCATATGCCAGATGTCAGTTCAGTACCCATAATTATATAGACTATTATGTAAGCTAAAAAATGTTGATTAGATACAAATGTATAAATTAATCTTTTCTAGACATGTGGAAATTCTCTAGGGGCTATTTCCAGCTTCTGTGTGGATTGTGGAGTAGGCTGCTACCTGTCCCCCAGAAATGGACACCTTAAACAAAAAGACAACTTTCTCAGCCTCCCTAATGTACACACATATGAAAGATATATTATTTAAATTCAATGCCAAATATTCCTGAGATCAACACAGCAGTGATCCCAAGGAGAAAATTTATCTTTGCTAATGGGCACAAACTTGAAGGGCAAAGCAATGGAAGGGTAAGTCTTCAGACTCAGGGGTGAGGCTCAAGTCAGAAACACATGGAAGATCATTGGCACATGTTTTTGTTTTTTTAAATAGCGAACACCACCAAGTGGAGCCCCCGGGGATTAGTCAATATTAAACCTCTAAGGAGTGGCACATCTGAGACTGAAATTCCCATCTTTTGATTCCCAGCTCAAGATCTCTGAAATCCCAGCACCAGCTCTGAAATCGTTATTCCATATTATCATGGATACCTTTTCTTCTATACTGCTGTACTCTTTTTTTTTGAACAGTTATACCTGATCTTCCTATTTTTGTGTGTGTTCCACCAAAAGTTTTTCACTCTAAATACTTCCCTCTTTCCATCTGATCATTTACATCTGTAACGAGGACAAAAAGATCTAACATGTCTCTCACCCTTGGTTTGTGTTTTGTTTTGTTTTGTTTTGTTTGTTTTTGAGACAGGGTCTTGCTCTCTCACCTGGGCTGGAATGCAGTGGTGTGATCACTGTTCACTGCAGCCTCGACCTCCTGGGCTGAAGTAATTTTCCCACCTCAGCCTCTGAGTAGCTGAGACTACAGGTGTGTGCCACCACGCCTGGCTAATATTTGTATTTTTTTGTAGAGATGGGGTTTTACCATTTTGCCCAGGCTTGTATTGAACTACTGGCTTAAGTGATCCTCCTGCCCTGGCTTCCCAAAGCGCTGGAAGGAATTACAGGTATGAGCCACTGTGCCTGGCCTCCCCATTGTTAAAATTATGGAAATCATGTTCATAAAGCAGGTTGGCCTGTTTGGAAAAGAGTGTCATAATTTCTCAGGTAACTCTAAAATAGAAAGCTACTGAAAATTACTTTAATACATTCATTACAGTCTCAGTATAAGATTATAGCTTCCTCTCCCAAAGCGTAACCACAACATGACGCAGGATGAGGTAGCTTTGAAAATGCTGCATACAATATCCTCTTGAGTAGAATCATAATTTAGAACTCTAGAAATTACCAGAAACAAAACTGTCCAAGTTTGTTTAACCCAATGTGTTCTAACCTATTTGACTAGAAAACCCTTCATTCGTGCAACATTTATTAATACCCCATGGCAAACCTAGTATTCCGTGAATAATGAACAAAAAATTTATAATTTAAAACTAAAATTGCCTTCTAAGCAGAGATCTACGTATCAATAAAATGAAGAAATAAAATTTCCATACTGTTTTCTTTCCAATACAAGGATTAGAAGGAAAAGGAAAAGAGTAACAACCAGAACCAATAGCCCATGTTTGGCCAGGTGCCATGGCTCAATCACACCTGTAATCCCAGCAATTTCAGAAGCTAAGGCAGGAGGATCGCTGGGTTCAAGTGATCCTTGAATGAAACCCCGTCTCTAAAAAATTAAAAATATTAGCTGGGTGTACACCTATAGTCCTACCTACTTAGTAGGATCGTTTGAGCCCAGGAGTTTGAGGCTGTAGTGAGCTATGAGTGTGCTACTGCATTCCAGCCTGGGTAACAGGGTGAGACTCCATCTCTAATAATAAAACTTAAAAAATAAATAAAGGCCAGGTGCAGTGGCTTATACCTGTAATCCCAGCACTATGGGAGGGCTAGGTGGGAGGATCACTTGAGGCCAAGAGTTCGAGACCAGCCTGGGCAACATAGCGAGACTCCATCACTACAAAAAAAAAATTTAAAATTAGCCCAGTGTAGTGGTGCATGCCTGTAGTCCCAGCTACTCTGGAAGTTGAGGCAGAAGGATTGGTTGAGCCCAGGAGTTTGAGGCTGCAGTGAGCTATGCACACTATTGCCCTTCAGCCTGGGCAACAGAGCAAGACCCTGTCTCAAATACATAAAATAAAATGAAATAAAATAATGGCCCATGCTCAGTAAGGTACATTACTAACTTTTGAATGTGAGAGGGAAAAAAAGGAAATAAGCCAATTAACATTTCAATAGATGTAAAAATGAGAACTAGCCCAACAGTTTGAATGGACTGCTGCCACAAAACTATACACTGTTGAGTTAGAATGGTCAATTTTATATCTATTTATCTTACATATAACCACAACTTTATTTTTGTCTTAAATTTTTTAAAATAGAGATAGGGTCTCATTAAGTTGCCCGGGCTTGTCTTGAACTCCTAAGCTCAAGCGATCCTCCTGCTTTGGTCTCCCAAAGTGCTGGGATTACAGGTGTGAGCCACCACTTCTGGCCATTGCCACAACATTAAAGAAAGAGACAGAGAAATAGAACAGACCACATTCTTGACTATTAGGTAACACAACTTTATTTCAACAAAGAGGAGTAAAGGCAATAAAATCCCACCCACCTGGAAAGTTTTAAACCATCTCATAAAGAACCCTAGATGAGGGAAAACTTTAAAATGAGACTTGGGACTGTCTATATAGTAACAATAATGGAAACACTGCATGTCAAAACTAATGGGCTTTCACTAACACTGGATTGAAAGGAAAGTTCATAGCCTTAAATGATTTAATAATGACACATGAAAGAAATAAAACAAATGAAATTACAAAACAATAAAAAGCTGGAGTACAGAACTAGGGATGAAAAGCCATTTCTCTTTCCCAATAAATGAAGACAGGGCAGTGTCTTTCCTATACCTGGCCAGCATATGATATATAAATATAGTTTCATAAATGTTAACTATAAAGAATTAGACCTATAGTGGAGAGCTAAGTTAAGTAATAAACACATTAGCTGAATGTGATCAAGAATTCAAAGGAACTTCAATTAGCTGTCATCTTATTCCAGTGTTTTTAAAATTAAATGTGTTTGTCTTTTACTGTTAATGTTTTCATTGAGTATGTTTTCTATTGTATACTAATATCATTTAATGTTCCTCACATTTATAGATGTACTCTCAGTCAACATCCCAATAGATAAACTTAAGTCGATTTTAGAAATTACATGCAAATGAAAAAGGGCAAAAATAAATTATTGAAAAAAGATTATATTGGTAGGGCAAAACACTGCATATATTGAAAATATATATTAAAAGTAAAGGTTATTAATTTAGATAGTGTGGCACAGAGATAAGTAGGCCAACAGAAACAAATAGAACCTACAAAGAGACATGTCAATTCATATGACAGAGGTGACACTGCAGAGCAGGGGAGAGGAGACACACTTTGAATCAGTGATATGCGGAAACTGATTATCTATATTTACTTTTAAAATCAAAAATAGAACTAAACATAGCACCACACACAAATATAATCTTAGTCTACACGCCTACTTTTTCAATAAAGAGCACCAAAATTAACATCTGAAATACTGACATTTGTTGTTTCACATTTGTGGATTGATCTTTCCTCTAAGCGCTTCAAGGTACCTGGATTTTTTTTTTAACATATTTTATTGTTTTAGTAATTCATTGAACCAAGAACATAGGATTTTCATTTCTTGCAGTATAGTGGACAAGATACCTGGACAACCCTATCCTCTGAAAGCAACTATAAATACTGGATATAAAATAAAAAAATAAACCTTACAAACATCTATAAAGTAGCACCAAATTCTTTTTTGTTTTTTTTTGTTTTTTTTTTTGTTTTTTTTTTGAGACGGAGTCTTGCTCTGTTGCACAGGCTGGAGTGCAGTGGGGTGATCACGGCTCACTGCAACCTCAGCCTCCTGGGTTCAAGCTATGTTCCTGCCTCAGCATCCTGAGTAGCTGAGATTACAGGCATGCACCACCACGCCTGGCTAATTTTTGTATTTTTTGTAGAGACGGGGTTTCACCATGTTGGTCAGGCTGTCTCAAACTTCTGACCTCGTGATCCGCCCGCCTCAGCCTCCCAAAATGCTGGGTTTACAGGTGTGAGCCACCTCACCCGGCTGGCAGCACCAAGTTCTTAAGTCAGCGACTGTGTAGACAAGAACCCTGAGAGGTGCCCAGGAGACTTAAACTGGTGTTTGCCCTGACGGCATTTGTCCAGCAAGGTAAACAAAAAAAATGAGAGGCAAGGCTAACGGCCTGCCTAAGTAGACCAAAATTATATTGGCAGAAAACTTTTTTGTTAAGGCTGCCTACAATATATTAAATCTATTTAACACCATTAAAACATAGCACAGCTCTTCATTAATAAGCCTAGCTATTTAAAAAATAATCTTAGCTTTTATTTTAGTGCTGTGAAGAAATAGGTCTTTGATTTAAGCAATAGGCATTAGCTCAGTTATCTTTCCCAAAGAGTGAGTTAAGCAGAAAATACCGCTACTCTTATTTGCTTGTATGGTATCCCACAGGGGATTGAAGATGGACTAGAGTCACTTATTTCAGGTAGGAGCAGGTTGAATTGGCCTGACAACCTCACTGAGTTTACAGAGCACTGGGATGACACATGGCCCCTTTCCAACCCAGCTGCTAAAATAGTTGTGGTTTTCTAGTACTAGGAATGAGTCCTAGGAACTGACTGACAATTGTGTTGTAAAGCACATGTATTTGAGAAGGCTTCTATAAATAGCTCATTTCCCCCCTACAGTCAGGAAAAAGATTTTAGAACTTCATAAGAAATAAGACAAAGAGCAAGGCATATGGGGCAAAATATTAATATTTTTTGTAGTAAGAACTAGGATAGAGGATACAGCTTATCTCTGTGGGCAAATAGGTTTCGTCATATTGAACCCCACATTAAGGAAGCTTAGCATTCCCCAGACACAGCAGCGGTCTCCAAGTAGGGTACCTGTCCAGTTAAGGCTTACAACTAGGAGATACGCGACGACAACTCTGTGTGGGTGGGCCTGTCCCCAAGGGCGGATGGGGAAGAGTTGAGCTGAGCACTTAGGAATATCCAGTTTTTTCTTTTCAAATTTGTCAAATGGATGTCACATTTTATTTCACCAAGTAGAGTGAATAAAGGAACAGAGAGAGGCTAGAAGTGTTAGGTTAATTTATTCTGGCTGCATTGAAGGAAATGGGAATGGGAAGGAAGAGTTCTCTCAGATAGCCATTCTGAGAAATGAAAAATGTGTTGAAGTTTGGGAAATTGAAGGATATTTAAGATTTCTTTCCTAGCAGTCTTGTAGTTTGTACTATATGGTATTAATAATAATGGGAATAAAAGCTAACATTTATTGAGAATTTACTACTTTTCATGCTCTAGATTGAGTCTTCCTGTGTGCTATCTCATTTAATTCTCAAACCGCTTGTGTTTTGTTAATCTTCATTTTGTAGATAATGAAGCTGGGGCAAAGAGATAAAAATAGTGAAGGATATATAACTAGCAAAATGCAAAAACTATGGCTTGAACTTAGACATTACTCAATATCTTCTGCGCATTTGTAAACGTTTTTATATGAAAAATACATAAATTTGGATTGAAAAAACAGTAAATGCATATTGTAACAAACCAAGCAATGTAAAAATTTCTAAAGTTGAATTAGTGGGCTCCTCCTCCCTACAATCCAAGACCTATTATAATCATCATTAACAGAGTATTATATATCTTTCTTTGCCCTTCCTTTACATATATATTTTTCTTGTTAAATAAATGTAGGATTATGTAATCTTTAATGTATTTTTTATTTTAATTAAGGTATCATATATATAAAATGTTCAGATATTTAATGTATGTGTGTTGTAAATTTTTTTATTTTTTTGAGACAAGATCTGGCTGTATTGCCCAGGCTGGAGTGTAGTGGCACAATCTCGGCTCACTGCAACCTCTGCCTCCTGGGATCAAGCCATCCTCCTACCTCAGCTTCCCAAGTAGCAGGGACTATAGGCGTGTACCATGCTTGGTAGAGACAAGAGGTTTTGCCACGTATCCCAGGCTGGTCTCAAACTCATGAGCTCAAGCAATCCACCTGCCATGGCCTCACAAGGTGCTGGAATTGCAGGCATGAGCCACTGTGCCTGGATGTAAATATTTTTTCCTGGCCTGAGATACTATGAGGCTTAATGGTGTCATTATGAGCAGAAATTTAAAATTTTTATGAAGCTTGATTTAATGCTTTTTCTCTTATGTTTAGTTCCTTTTTGTCCTGGTTAAGAAAGCTTTGCCTAAAATAAAGATGTTCTTTGAAACCAACGAGAACAAAGACACAACATACCAGAATCTCTGGGACATGTTCAAAGCAGTGTGTAGAGGGAAATTTATAGCACTAAATGCCCACAAGAGAAAGCAGGAAAGATCCAAAATTGACACCCTAACATCACAATTAAAAGAACTAGAAAAGCAAGAGCAAACGCATTCAAAAGCTAGCAGAAGGCAAGAAATAACTAAAATCAGAGCAGAACTGAAGGAAATACAGACACAAAAAACCCTTGAAAAAATTAATGAATCCAGGAGCTGGTTTTTTGAAAGGATCAACAAAACTGATAGACCACTAGCAAGACTAATAAAGAAGAAAAGAGAGAAGAATCAAATAGACTCAATAAAAAGTGATAAAGGGGATATCACCACCGATCCCACAGAAATACAAACTACCATCAGAGAATACTACAAACACCTCTACGCAAATAAACTAGAAAATCTAGAAGCAATGGATAAATTCCTCGACACATACACCCTCCCAAGACTAAACCAGGAAGAAGTTGAATCTCTGAATAGACCAATAACAGGCTCTGAAATTGTGGCAATAATCAATAGCTTACCAACGAAAAAGAGTCCAGGACCAGATGGATTCACAGCCGAATTCTACCAGAGGTACAAGGAGGAACTGGTACCATTCCTTCTGAAACTATTCCAATCAATAGAAAAAGAGGGAATCCTCCCTAACTCATTTTATGAGGCCAGCATCATCCTGATACCAAAGCCTGGCAGAGACACAACCAAAAAAGAGAATTTTAGACCAATATCCTTGATGAACATTGATGCAAAAATCCTCAATAAAATACTGGCAAACCAAATCCAGCAGCACATCCAAAAGCTTATCCACCATGATCAAGTGGGCTTCATCCCTGGGATGCAAGGCTGGTTCAATATACGCAAATCAATAAATGTAATCCAGCATATAAACAGAACCAAAGACAAAAACCACATGATTATCTCAATAGATGCAGAAAAGGCCTTTGACAAAATTCAACAGCCCTTCATGCTAAAAACTCTCAATAAATTAGGTATTGATGGGACGTATCTCAAAATAATAAGAGCTATCTATGACAAACCCACAGCCAGTATCATACTGAATGGGCAAAAACTGGAAGCATTCCCTTTGAAAACTGGCACAAGACAGGGATGCCCTCTCTCACCACTCCTATTCAACATAGTGTTGGAAGTTCTGGCCAGGGCAATCAGGCAGGAGAAGGAAATAAAAGATATTCAATTAGGAAAAGAGGAAGTCAAATTGTCCCTGTTTGCAAACAACATGATTGTATATTTAGAAAACCCCATTGTCTCAGCCCAAAATCTCCTTAAGCTGATAAGCAAATTCAGCAAAGTCTCAGGATACAAAATCAATGTACAAAAATCACAAGCATTCTTATACACCAATAACAGACAAACAGAGAGCCAAATCATGAGTGAACTCCCATTCACAATTGCTTCAAAGAGAATAAAATACCTAGGAATCCAACTTACAAGGGACGTGAAGGACCTCTTCAAGGAGAACTAGAAACCAATGCTCAATGAAATTAAAGAGGATACAAACAAATGGAAGAACATTCCATGCTCATGGGTAGGAAGAATCAGTATCGTGAAAATGGCCATACTGCCCAAGATAATTTATAGATTCAACGCCATACCCATCAAGCTACCAATGACTTTCTTCACAGAATTTGAAAAAACTACTTTAAATTTCATATGGAACCAAAAAAGAGCCCGCATCGCCAAGTCAGTCCTAAGCCAAAAGAACAAAGCTGGAGGCATCACGCTACCTGACTTCAAACTATACTACAAGGCTACAGTAACCAAAACAGCATGGTACTGGTACCAAAACAGAGATATAGACCAATGGAATAGAACAGAGCCCTCAGAAATAATGCCACATATCTACAACGATCTGATCTTTGACAAACCTGACAAAAACAAGCAATGGGGAAAGCATTCCCTATTTAATAAATGATGCTGGGAAAACTGGCTAGCCATATGTAGAAAGCTGAAACTGGATCCCTTCCTTACACCTTACACAAAAATTAATTCAAGATGGATTAAAGACTTAAATGTTAGACCTAAAACCATAAAAAGCCTAGAAGACAACCTAGGCAATACCATTCAGGACATAGGCATGGGCAAGGACTTCATGTCTAAAACACCAAAAGCAATGGCAACAAAAGACAAAATTGACAAATGGGATCTAATTAAACTAAAGAGCTTCTGCACAGCAAAAGAAACTACCATCAGAGTGAACAGGCAACCTACAAAATGGGAGAAAATTTTTGCAACCTACTCATCCGACAAAGGGCTAATATCCAGAATCTACAATGAACTCAAACAAATTTACAAGAAAAAAACAACCCCATCACAAAGTGGGCGAAGGACATGAACAGACACTTCTCAAAAGAAGACATTTATGCAGGCAAAAAACACATGAAAAAATGCTCACCATCACTGGCCATCAGAGAAATGCAAATCAAAACCACAATGAGATACCATCTCACACCAGTTAGAATGGCAATCATTAAAAAGTCAGGAAACAACAGGTGCTGGAGAGGATGTGGAGAAATAGGAACACTTTTACAGTGTTGGTGGGACTGTAAACTAGTTCAACCATTGTGGAAGTCAGTGTGGCAATTCCTGAGCGATCTAGAACTAGAAATACCATTTGACCCAGCCATCCCATTACTGGGTATATACCCAAAGGACTATAAATCATGCTGCTATAAAGACACATGCACACATATGTTTATTGTGGCACTATTCACAACAGCAAAGACTTGGAACCAATCCAAATGTCCAACAATGATAGACTGGATTAAGAAAATGTGGCACATATACAGCATGGAATACTATGCAGCCATAAAAAATGATGAGTTCATGTCCTTTGTAGGGACATGGATGAAATTGGAAATCATCATTCTCAGTAAACTATTGCAAGGACAAAAAACCAAACACCGCATGTTCTCACTCATAGGTGGGAATTGAACAATGAGAACACATGGACACAGGAAGGGGAACATCACTCTCTGGGGACTGTTGTGGGGTAGGGGGAGTGGGGAGGGATAGCATTAGCAGATATACCTAATGTTAAATGACGAGTTAATGGGTGCAGCACACCAGCATGGCACATGTATACATATGTAACTAACCTGCACATTGTGCACATGTACCCTAAAACTTAAAGTATAATAATAATAATAATAAAAAAGAAAGCTTTGCCTACTGCAACGTGTTCTTTATGACCTCTTCTAGAAGCTTTATGGATCTAACTTTTACATTTAGGTTTGTGATTCATCTCAAATTAATCTATGAGTATGGAGTTGCTAAGATATTTTTTACGGCCCTGAACATGGTCTAACTTGGTAATGTTTCATGTGATCTTGAAAAGAATGTGTCTTTTACCTTTGTTGAGTGGAGTGTTGTATAAATGTCCAAGTGAGTTAATAGTGTTATCCAATGTCCTTCCTGCCTTTATATCACCTTTATGGACTTATTATTACAAATCTTTTTTTTTTTGAGATGGAGTCTTGCTCTGTAAGCCCAGGCTGGAGTGCAGTGGTGCGATCTTGGCTCACTGCAACCTCTGCCTCCTGGGTCCTGGTTCAAGCAATTCTCCTGCCTCAGTCTCCTGAGTAGCTAGGATTATAAGCACGTGCCACCATGCCCAGCTAATTTTTGTGTTTTTGGTAGAGATGGGGTTTCACCATATTGGACAGGCTGGTCTTGAACTCCTGACCTTGTGATCTGCCTGCTTCGGCCTCCCAAAGTGCTGGGATTACAGGCGTGAGCCACTGCGCCCAGCCTATACATCTTTTTTTATTTAACAGTGTGTAACTCGAATTTATCACAGTTGACCTGCAAGTAATGATATACAAATGCTTACATATGAACCTCATGTATGTTAGAACTTTGTATCAGAACCTTATTTTTATGATGTATATAGTGATATGCAAATTCCTAAGAACCTTACACCAGAATAATCTAGTATTCTCCTTCTAGCCTTCCTACTATTGTCATACATTTTATGTCTACATATGTTATAAAGCTCACAATACATTTTTGTCATTTCTGGTTTAAACAGGTATGCTTGGCTTGGCATAGTAGCTCATGCTTGTAATCGCAGCACTCTGGGAGGCCAAGGCAGGAGGATTCCTTGGGACAAGGAGTTCGAGTTCAGCCTGGGCAACAGAGTGAGACCTCATCTCTGTTAAAAAATAAAAAAAATTGGCTGGGCATGGTGGCACATGCCTCTTGTCCCAGCTGCTTGGGAGGCTGAAGTGAGAAGATTGCTTGAGCTGGGAGATTGAGACTGCAGTGAGCTGTGATCCTGCCATTGTACTTCAGTCTGGGTGACAGAGTGAGACTGTGTCTCAAAAAGAAAAACAGCAGCTGCAGCTTATGTTTAAAATAGGCTCAAAAATTAAGGAAAACAATCTATTATATTTATTCACATATTTACTTTTTTATTCTTTGTTCTTTTGTATAGATTTAATTTTCTTCTCATTATCATTTTTTTCTGCATGAATAATTTCCTTTAATATTTTTGTAGTGCAGTTCTGCTGGTGATGAATTTTCTCAACTTTTGCATTTCAGAATGGTACTTATTTTATCTTTGTTTTTGAAAGATGTTATTTTTGTGCATAAATTTGTAGGTTGACAGTTACTTTTTTTTTCTTTTGGTACTTAAAATATATTGCTTTATTGTCTTTTGTATGTATTGTTTCTGATGAGAATTATCTGTCAGCCTTATCATTGTTCCTCTCTGTGGAATATGCCTTTTTACTCTAGTTGCTTGTAAAGTTTTCTTTTCTTTTTATTTTATTTTATTTTTATTTTTGAGACAGGGTCTTGCTTTGTTGCTCAGGCTGGAGTGCAGTGGTGTGATCACAGCTCACTGCAACCTCCAACTCCTATGCTCAAGTGATCCTCCCACCTCAGCCTCCCAGGTGGCTGGGAGTATAGGCATGTACTACCTTACCTGGCCAATTTTTAAAACTTTTTGTACAGAAAAGGTCTTGCTATGTTGCCCATGCTGGTCTTGAACTCCTGGCCTCAACTGATTCTCCCATCTTGGCCTCCCAAAGCACTGGGATTACAGGAATGGGACATTGCTCCTTGTCCATAAGGTTTTCTCTTTATTCCTTTTTTTTTTTTTAAAGCAGTCTGATTATGATGTACCTTGGTGTCATTTTTCTTTGTTTCTTCTGCGTAGGGCTCATTGAGCTTCTGAGACCTGGAATTACCAGTTTTCATGAATTTGAAAACTTCTCAGACAATATTTCAAGCATTTTTCCAACTACACATTTATTAGGTCTTTTGAAGGCGTCCTACAGTTCACTGATGCTCTGTTTCTTTTTTCTTTTTCAAGTCTTATTTCTTTCTGTGTTTATTTTGGATAGATTTTTATTGTTAGTAGCTATGTCTTCATGTTCACTAATCATTTAGTCTGTAGTGTCTAATCTGTTAATCCCATTCAGTGTATTTTTATTATAAGACATTGCATTATTTATCTCTAGAATTTTGATTTGGGTCATTTTTATATCTTTTGTTTCTCTCCTTATGTTTTTGCTTTCCTCTTCCTTCTTGAGTATGTGGACTACATTTATTATAGCCATTTAATATCTTTCTACTAAGTCTATCAGTCATTTCTAGCGATTGAATTATGAATCATATTTTTTGGCTTCTTTGCTTGCTTGGCAGTGTTCAATTAGATGTTACTCACTGCGAATTTTATATCATTGGATGCGGAACTTTTTAAAATTTCTGTAAGTACTTCTGGGCTTTTCCTTGGACTCATTTATATTACCTGAAAACAGTTGAATCTTTTTGAGGCTAACTTTTTAGCACCGCTAGGACCATCCAGAATGGCTTTTCCTCTAGGATTAATTTCGTCACACCACTGAAGCAATACCTTTCTTAGGACTCTCCTTGATGTCCCTTATTTAGACAATCTTTCCACTCTGATTGATCGGTGCTCAGATTATTCCTAGGACTGAATGACTTCTGAGGATTATTCTGCCTGCTCCGTATGATTTTAAAATTATCTTCCAGTTTTTATGTTATAGTTATTTTGTTTATTTTCCAGATTGTTTCAGCAGTAGTGTGTAGTGGTGTGATCACAGCTCACTGCAACCTTCATGTGAAATATTCCTAATTCTTTGTTTTATTAAAATATATGGAGAGTTATGTTATGATAGCTTGCTAGTGAATAACCAAATGATTATTTGTAATAGTTTCATAATGACCTGAAAGAGTTATCATTCCTCCCAAGTTGCCTAACACATCCAGAGGCATGTTACTGTCTTGGTATCATAACATTATTTACAATGGTCATAAAGAAATAACATGTATTTATTTCTCACACTAATATTATTTTAATCTCCTTTCTCTATAGGAAGAGCGTGTTGTGAATCACATGGCAGCAAAAATTATTGAAAATGTCTGTACCACCTTTTCTGCTCAGTCCCAGGGCTTTATTACAGGAGAAATAGGACCCATTTTGTGGTACCTATTCAGACACTCCACTGCTGATTCTCTTAGGATAACAGCAGTATCGGTAAGATGAAGCATCTTTTGGGGGATATGTCTGGGTATCTTTAAACAGCAAGTTTGAAGAAAATATTAGAATAAGAATAAATTTAATTTAATAGATAGGAAACTGAAATCTCAGAGTAATATTGAGAGAAATAATTTGATTTTCTTCTAAAAGAGAATTTTGAAAACTTGGAACTGGAAAACCTTGAGACTGTGAGAGAATTTCAATAAAACCTTGTTAGGACTATGGTATTATGGTTTCAAAAACTAATTAATAAGTTTATTTATTTTGAGACAGAGTGTCCCTCTGTCATCCAGGCTGGAGTGCAGTGGTGTGATCTTGGCTTACTGCAATCTTTACTTCCCAGGTTCAAGTAATTCTACTGCGTCAGCCTCCCAAGTAGCTGGGACTACAGGCATGCACCACCAGGCCTGGCTTATTTTTTTGTATTTTTGTAGAGATGGGGTCTTGTCATGTTGCCCAGGCTGGTCTTGAACTCCTGGCCTCAAGCAATCTGCCTGCCCTGGCCTCCCAAAGTGCTGGAATTACGTGGATGAGCCACCGCGCCCAGCCTTAAAAACAATTTAGAGGCGATAGTAGAAAACTGTGGCAGTATATAGGGTACAGGGTTTGGTTTGTTATATTTTTAGTGTTCCCTGACTTTTCCCTGTTAGCATCCCCATTCAGATTTTGTGTCAAATGAGTTTATCATGTGGTTCAGATGAATTCATTTTAATGTTCAAGCATCTGTGATTTTGGTGTTTTTGTGTTTTGATGGGTTGCCTACTACTTTACTCACATGGCTATAATAACGTGGTGTAAAGGATAATTATGTATAAAGATGTGTTAACATGCTTGTATCAATTTAATACTCTATTGAACAAATATAACCCTCTCTCCTATGATTTATTTAAATACCCCTTTGAGTTAGCAATCTCATCTGGGCTCTCAAACGCTATGTGGCATCCTTGTTGTATTTCTCTAGTTCAGCTACCTCTTGCACTTCTCTCTGTGGCAGTTTCTTACTTTGTGTTCTTTCCTTATGCCCTCAACCCCTCATTTTCATCACGTATCCTCACTCATGACTTTCCCTTTGCTGCCCAGGGAAAAGTGAAGACATCTAATGAGAACTATCCCAACTGCTTTCTGCCATATAAGTAGACCTATTTACCTGCACATCTGTCCTCTCTCAATTCTTTCCTTCCTGGTACCATTGACAAGCTGTTCCTTCTCTTTTCAGAGACAAACCTCTTCATGTTTCTCCAAATCTTCTTCCTGGTCCCTTCTTGGGAACCTAATTCAAATGGTTATTTTTGCCCTTTCCTGACTCTCAAATGTTTCCTTCTCTACTAGATCCTGCTAGTCAGCATTTAGGTGTTTAATTTACCACCCCTGCCCCCTCAACAACACGCACAATCTTGGCTGCATATCCCCCCATTCCTAGCCATACCTCTTTAAAGAGTTATTGCCACATAACTGTTGCTCTTTTCCGGCCCACTTTTCCCTTTTAGCCCAATCTGGTACTGTCCAAAAAATGCCACTGAAGCTAATCTTGCTTAGGTTACTAATAACTTTCATGTTGCTAAATCCTGTGGGTATTTATGGAAATTTTTCAGTTATGTTACCTATATAATCTTGAAGATCAATGGATATAAATCCTGCCCCTGATTATCATTAAGAAAGGATATATAACATTGATTATACACACGTCTGTTTCAGGAGCCACATGTTTTCAAAATTACAAAAACCCACAACTAATTATGGTATTAATAATTACAGGTAAACAATCAGAAACAGTTACAAAGTATACCAGTGAACTTTCTTGAGGCACCTTTGAATAATATTTTAAGACATTCATTTTAATCCTGAGCCTTTAGAAAAATCTGTCTTGTTTTAATTGGGCTTACTTTATAAAGATAACATTATACAGATTTTCATCCTTATACTCAGCATGGTTTCTTTTTTTGGCAAAGTTTTTTTTCAATAGTTCCCACCAAAGTCTCATAACTTCTAGTCCTCCCCTTTTTCTTCTGATGCATCAAGTTTGACTCTATCTTGGGCTTCTTATTACTTGCTCTTAGCATTTATCTGAATCATTAATTTTACATTGAAATTTTGCCAGTTGTCCCAACAGTGTCTCCTTTTTCTTTTCTGTGCAAAGATCCTGTTCAGGAGCATGGGTTGTATTTTCTTTTCTCTTTCTTTCTTTTTTCTTTTCTTTTCTCTTTTCTTTTCTTTTGTTTTGTTTTCTTTTGTTTTCTTTTCTTTCCTTTCATTTTCTTTTTCTTTTTGAGATAGAGTTGTGCTCTTGTCACCCAGGCTGGAGTGCAACGGTGTGATCTTGGCTCACTGCAACCTCTTCCTCCCAGTTTCAGGCGATTCTTGTGCCTCAGCCTCCTGAGTAGCTGGGATTACAGGCATCTGCTGCCACACCCAGCTGATTTTTGTATTTTTTAGTAGAGATGTGGTTTCACCATGTTGGCCAGGCTGGTCTTGAACTCCTGACCTCAGGTGATCCACCCACCTCAGCCTCCCAAAGTGCTGGGATTACAGTCGTGAGCCACTGTGCCCCGCCTGTATTTTGTTTTCATAGCTCTTTAGTCTCCTCCAGTCTGACACAGTTCTTCAGTTTTTGTATTTTTCACGTCATTTACAATTTTTAGAGTGCAGAGCTTTTGTTTTGTGGGGTGAAGCTTAACCTGGGTCTGTCTGTGTTTCCTCATTAAACCTCCATAGCATCCATTGATGACTCTTAACTGTACCAGATACCTCTGGGGTGGTTGTCATGTGATGATTATCCATTTGCATCATTCTTTTTACATCGGAGGTTGGCAAATATTTTCTATAAAGGATCAGATAATAAATATTTTGGGTTTTGTAGCTCATATACAGTCTCTGTTGCATATTCTTTTGGTTTGTTTTGCTTTTCGTAACCCTTTAAAAATGTAAACACCTTTTTTTTTTGCATTGATCATGAGCTATGCAAATTATTTTGATGGCCTTGTATATATAAGTTGGAATTCTATTTTGAGGAAGCACTTTCCTTTCTTCAGCATGCATGTACGTATTCATATCAGCATGGACTTGTGGATATAGATTTTATTCAGTGGGTTGTAATGTGATACTATTACTGCTACTGCTTATTGTTTGGGTGCTCTAATCATCCCAGATTTGGCGAGTGGGATCCCTTCAAGATGACTTCTGTGTCCTTGGACTTATTTCTATCACTGAGCACTTCCTTAACTCCTGATACCACGTACCGTTCTGGGCTCCTTTTGTGCTTTTCCTGTGCCAGCCTTGGAATCAATCATTTCTCCAAGAAATCCTAAGTTTTTAGAAATGAAGATCTGGGTGCTCTTTGTGTTCATTCCCTGGGTGGTGTCATTGTTGCTTCTCACTATTCAAAGCTAGATAAAATATATGTACCCATGCATAGACATTTATATTTTAAAAATGTCTGTCAATGTACACATTTTGAAAAAACCTCATGAATTTATATTTTAATTTTAATACCTCAGAATTCTTTCTAGTCTTCCCTCTTTCTTTCTTTTTGTTTTCCTCAAGACAGAGTGTTGCTCTGTTGCCCAGGCTGGAGTACAATCATGCAATCTCAGGCCACTGCAACCTCTGCCTCCTGGGTTCAAGTGATTCTCCTGACTCAGCTTCCCGAATAGCTGGGATTACAGGTGCATGCCACCACATCCGGTTAATTTTTTTGTAGTTTTTAGTAGAGAGGATGTTTCATCATGTTGGCCAGGCGGGTCTCAAACTCCTGACCTTGTGATCTGTCTGCCTTGGCCTCCCAAAGTGCTGGGATTACAGGCGTGAGCCACCACGCCTGGTCTAGTCTTCCCTCTTTCTGTGTTTGTAGAACTCTTCTCAGACAGAGAGAGACTGGGTTCTCATTATTCTCAATATACTTACTGATTTGTTCATTCAGTTCATTTGTTCCCCTTAGTGTAACCAGCTCCCATTCACTCCCCGCTGGAGGCCTCCTCCATATTACCCCAACCTCCCTTGCTGCTACCACTCTGCTTCCTTGGCCACTCCTCAGCTCAGCACACTCTTTTCCCTCATTGACCTCCTTTCTCAGACTGACATATGGATACTGGGCGGGAAGGTTAGGAAGGAGCATTAAGGAAAGCAAAGGGCTAGACATCCTCTTTGATACTTTCCTTTCCCTTAAGTTCTTCCACTTTATTGTTTACAACCAGCTGGTCAACTTGTCCTGTGATTCTAACTCATCAGCATCTCTCAGATCTGCTCACATCTCTCTGCAGCTGTATGGCTACTTCCATAATCCAGGCCACTGCCATCTCTCACCTGGACCACTGGAGTAGCTTGCTAAATGGTCTTCCAACGTCCAGTTTTAGGCTCCACCAACTTGATTCTCCACACAAAATGAACTTCATAAAATCATATCTCTTCTTCTTACCTGCTTAAACTTTTCAAAGCTTTCAATTTTTTTGGAAGGGTTAATAATACTTTATTCATAGTACTAGGTAGAAGTTGAAAATTGATGACCGCTTTAAGGTAATATTAATGTTTAAAGCAGCACATTTTGCTTAGTAAATTAGTTATGTTTATTTTATTATAATGTCATACATTTTAAACTCCTTGAAATCTAGGACTATGTTTTGTTTATCTCTCTCTGTTTGATACCAGGCCTGTTGATTGCAAGTTAAGATTTTTCTTGCAAAGATTAAGAGGGAGCATCCTGCCCTACGTGTGAGTAGAGGGCAGAGGTTAGTAAGATTAAACTCCCCTCTTTACTGGGAGACAAAGAGGAATAGGCCATAAGATTCCTGCTAATAACAAAAGGCAGGTGGGGGAACAGCATGAGATCATTATACAGTTACTCTAACATCATAATCTTAACAAAAAAAATTGCACCTGCACGGTTAATAGATTTACATGAGGATTTATTAAAGACTGAGGTTATAGGAACTGAGTATATGCATTTGGAAGATAATTCACACACATTCCTGGCAAGGAATGACAATTGCCTCCTCTCTGGGATGGCTTACAGAGCTGAATCTCCTTTTTAAGGTCTTTTTCGCTATTTACCTCTCAGGAGCACGTCTTGTAGGTTAATGGATACATTTGATGATACAGGTCAGAATTCTTAACATGACCTTCAGTATCTTGCATGATTTGGCCCTTGCCTACCTCTTTGGTTCCATCTTGTAACACTCCTTCCCTCCTTCACTCTGTCTCCAAACTTACCTTCAGACATTTCCTAGGATTTCCAAGTATTTTTCTGCCTCAGGACCTTTCCTCCTTGCTGTTTCCTGTGCCTGGATGTTCTCTGCTGGTTTTTTACATGGCCAATTCCTTATTTCAGGTCTCAGCTTAAGTGTTACCTCCTCAATTAGGACCTCCCTGACTCTGCTCTCTCGCCTCTAATGAATGCAGCTTTATTTATTTAATGTATTTATACACAGGTTTGTGGTTTTTTTTTCTGTGTTTTTTTTTTTTTTTTTTTTTTTTTTGAGACAGAGTCTTGCTCTGTCACCCAGGCTGGAGTGCAGTATTGTGATCTCAGCTCACTGCAACCTCTGCCTCCTGGGTTCAAGCGATTCTCCTGCCTCAGCCTCCTAAGTAGTTGAGATTACAGGTGTCCACCATGCCCGGCCAATTTTTCTATTTTTAGTAGAGATAGGGTTTCACCATGTTGGTCAGGCTGGTCTTGAACTCCTGACCATGTGATCCACCCACGTCTGCCTCCCAAAGTGCCAGGATTACAGGCGTGAGCCACAGCGTCCGGCCTTATGCACAGTTTTTTCTCATTAGTGTAAGTTCCAGGAAGACAAAAGTCCTGTTGTTCCTTTTCTGGGCACATGGTAGATGCTCAGTAGATATCTGCTAATCAGATGAATGAATGAGCAGGTGGAGGATAGCAAGGCTTAGTGCTGAGGGAGCAAGCTCTACATGTTGTTCCACTTGTAACTGTCTGTATTTCCTGCCTGTCAGTGATTTTCTGACCTGTTTCTCCTAATGATCTCTTGGCTCCATAGATTGTTCTACACTAGTGTGTTCTCCACACCAGCAACATTAACATTTCTTGGGAACTTGATAGAAGTGTAGTTTTTTGGGCCCAAACCCAGACTTACTGCACGAGAGTCCCCCTGGGGAGAGGCCAGTAATCTCTATTTTAACATGCTTCCAGGTGATGTTGCCTGCTGATATTTAAGAACCACTGCCCTAGTCCTTGCAGCTCTTAAAATACACCAGTGTGGCTTAGAGTAAAATATAACTAACTTGTCCTTTCCACTCAGGAGTGGCAGCATTGGTAGGTATTGGTAGTTGGAAGGAGTGGACCTGACTTGGGGAATGTGTTGAATAGATAAAAGTGATTCTTAGACTTATTGGGATTATAGGGAAAATCTCTATAGGGACCATAGTGAGAACCAGAGAAACCTGTAGAGTTAGATTGAGTAAAGTGGCTCCTATGAGAGAGGTAGCTGAAGTAATCATAATTACTGAAGTGCTGAGATGAAAAGGTGTCAAAAAGTGAAGAAGTATGCAGGATAGTGGTTCTCACTAGGGTTGGAGGGGAGCTTTTCAAGCAACATTAACTACTTCCTCTTCTCTGTCCACCCCCTGCCCCTATTCTGATATATCTTAAGATCTCTCAGGGGTCAGATAAGAGTGTGTGTAGTTTGAAAAACCTCCCAGGGTAATTTCATATGACATCAAAAAATCATTTGAAATACCAAAAAGAAATGGTTCTTAAACCTTTTCTTCCTTGGTGATTCTGCTCATATGTTTCTAACAGATATGCAGCCTTCAATTTTGAGTGAGTCTGTTTCTTGGAAACTGCTTTTATTGAACAGACTGTAAGAAAATTCAAATTCTGGAGGTAACACTAAATGTTCTTTTCGAAGTAAATTTTGAAGTGAATTTTGAACTGGAACAGTTTTTTCCAGTTTTAAAATATAATCTCAGACTCTATTTTTTTTTTGTTGGTTTTTTTTTTGAGATGGAGTTTCACTCTTGTTGCCCAGGCTGGAATGCAGTGGCATGATCTTGGCTCATTGCAACCTCCGCCTTCTGGTTTCAAGTAATTCTCCTGCCTCAGCTTCCTGCATAGCTGGGATTACAGGCACCCGCCAGCAGGTGCGGCTAATTTTTGTATTTTTAGTAGAGATGTGGTTTTACCTTCTTGGCCAGGCTGGCCTGAAACTCCTGACCTTGTGATCCGCCTGCATCAGCCTCCCTGAGTGCTGGGATTGCAGGCGTGAGCCACTGCGCCCGGCCATACTCTATTTTAATAAGTAAATGTTTAAAAACCACATCACTGAAGATCAGATTTGATTTGATTTCTTTTCTTTTGATTCAGAAAATACAAGTACTAGTGTGCTGTTAAGGCTCTGTGCATCTTCTCAGTTGCTCAGAAGCTTTCAAGTGAGTTTGATATTTAGAAGTGAATTAAAGAGTATTTTCTGCCTGAGCTTTTCAAAATGGAAAGTCTGTTAGGCTTTTGCACAGCATTCTGAAGAAGATCCATTCCAGTTGCCCAGAAGTAGTCTGGGAAAATCTTTTATTAAGAAATTTCCCCATCATAACTGGATAGGGATTTTATAACAATGGGAAGTTGGTTTTGCAGTGCCAGGTCCTCCAAGAATTGTTATAGTGCTAATGAGACTTACTGTTGTGCTGTGTTGAAGTCATTGAATCCTAATTTGCTAGAAAAATTCTGATCTTTAAGGACATCACTTCAAATGATCTTTTTTTTAAAAAAAATACTTGGATTAGGAAAATAATTAAACAATACTGTTTGATTTCATAAACAGCAATTTTAGACTCATTTTTAAAACTTTCACAATTTTTATTTTTTAAAGATTACTTTCTATACACACACACACCCCTACCTCTCAAAATTTTAAAATCATAACCAGATTTTTAGAAGTGAATTCATTTTTCTGTTGTTACATGGACATAGAGAAAAAAATAAAGTGAATTCATTTTTAATATTCCTCTTTTCAGATATTACTACTATTGATACTTTTCTACCAAAACTCATGCAATTTGGAATTTAGATTTGAAGAACCCTAGTTTCATATTTCCTAAACCATGGTATCTGATTTACCCATCTGTAGCTTTTTTGAAAGAGGACACACTGAAAAGTTATTTGAAAAATGCCCAAAGTAGAGTTTAATTATTTGATGGGATTTCATTCTGATATGGATATCTCCAAATGAATAAAAATCCCTGGTATATGTTTGAAATGGAGTCAGTGATTATTAATTCTGTAGGTGTTTGTAGAATTTTATAGGTGTTTCATATGATAGTTCCACAAGGAAAGGGACTTGTTTTTAGGGAGAGGTATATAGTTGGTGCTCTACAAATGCTCATTTTTTCAGTGCATATATTTACTTGTTTATTTCAGAAATGGCAGTAAATGTATAGAGTATTAATTTAAAAATCTCCCATAAATGTTTATTTCAATACAAGTAAAAAAGTATCTAATATAGTCATTGGCATTGGAGTGTAACTTTAAATATTACTATAAAATAATATGCATTTACTGGAAAAATTTGAATGGTATAAACGTGGAAGATCGAAGGTTCTTCGTGGCCCCATTCCTACCTCCCATCTCTCAGTCCTGCCCTCAAGAGGAAGCATCTGGAAAAAGTCCTAGATTTTCCTTGATGTGAGTTATATTTACCTTTTCCTTTCTGGCTATAATAAAGTCATCTTAGCATTTTCATAAAGATTGAGGCTGGGTGCAGTGGCACATACCTGTAATCCCAGCACTTTGGGAAGCCGAGGTGGGCAGATCATCTGAGGTCAGGAGTTCGAGACCAACCTGGCCAACATGGTGAAACCCTGTCTCTACTAAAAGTAACACAAATAGGCCAGATGCGGTGGCTCATGTCTGTAATCCCAGCACTTTGGGAGGCCAAGGCAGGCAGATCACGAGGTCAGGAGATCGAGACCATCCTGGCTAACACGGTGAAACCCCGTCTCTACTGAATAACATTTAAAGGAAGATTATTCTTGGAGAGAAAAAGGTTTTTAATTTTTTTCTAAGATGTTTAAGAAAATGGAAATATTTTTCAAAGTCTTTTTATGTTTTTTATATATCCCTCTCTCCTGTCCCTCCTCTTAACATCATTATTTCTAACAGTTTGTTTTATATTTGATCTTTTTGTTATTAAGGTTATAAATCTGTTTAAAATATAAATCAGGGAGAAGGAGCTTATATGATATTATAATGAGTATTTTTATAAAACTATTCATAGCTTAAGCTTATTTCTCTCTTTGGAGTCACTCGTACACACAGAATATCATCATGTCTTTCCTTTCCTTAAAAACTTTCAAGGCCTTCCCTTTCCTTATGGCATAAAATTTTAAGTTCCTAGCTTTGTTGACCAACTCTGGCTCCAGCTTGCTTTTCTAGATAGATCATAAGGTTTTCTTCTTTCCTACTGTGTACTTCTTTTTCTACACCTGATAAATGTTCTAATTGCATCAGACAGCTTACGTCTTTATGTCTCCATGTGAATACTTGTTCTATTCTCTCAAGTTTGAATCTTTTCTTAACTCACTTTTTCACCTATTTCCCATCTACCCTTCAAAAACTGGCTCAGCGTCATCTTCTTTATGTACCTTTTGTTGACTTTTTCTTCCTTTCCAAGCACGATTAATTGAGCCCACTTCTATTCCAACACTTAATACATTCTATTAGCTGATTTTAAGTTTCATGTCTAATAGTCTGAGAGCAATTTAGGAACGGTCTAGGGTCTGATTATATCGGTTTAATTTCCTGCTTTGCTACTTACTAGCTATATGCCTTTGGGCAAGTTACTTAACTACTGTATGCTTTAGTTTTATCATCTATAAAATGAGGATAATAATACTACCTTTCTCATAGTTGTTAGAAGAATTAATTGAGGTAATCTTCAGATATTTACAGATAGTGTTTCTCACATTATAAATGATAAATGTTAGATATTCACTTTTACAACTGTTTTTCAGCACTTAGTTCATTGTCTGCAGGTGTTTGATAATGTGTTTTATTAATTAAAGGGACATTTTTCTATATAGGCTTATGAATTTATCAATTTAATGGTTATTACTACAATAGTCTCTAGTGTTTTAAAACAACCTTAGCTTTTATTGGCAGGCAGATTGTTTTATTTTTAAGTTTGTTGAAAATTGCCAACTTTCTTGTGCCAAAATAAGTAATAAAAGAGCCAAGTAAGCACCTTCTACTCCTTGACACAGAAGCATGTGTTACCTTTCAGGGGAATGATTGATGCACTTGGAGTTGCCTGACAGGTCTGTTCTCTTGTCTTTGTAGGCCTTGTGTAGAATCACTCGCCATTCTCCTACTGCCTTCCAGAATGTTATTGAAAAGGTGGGACTGAACTCAGTAATAAACTCCCTGGCCTCTGCCATCTGCAAAGTTCAGCAGTACATGTTGACCTTATTCGCTGCCATGTTGTCCTGTGGGATTCATCTTCAAAGACTAATCCAAGAAAAGGTTTGACTTAGATTTTACCTGTTACTCTACATTAAAAATTGTTTTCTTCTGCATTTTAGTGGTTCCACAAGTAATGTCATGTTTGTAGAATTCATTTTTTATCCCAAGAGGCCTTTTTGAACTTTGCCAAACCTTTGTACCACAGAATGTTCATCTGAACATGTTCCAAGAGCCTTTTAGTGATTAAAATAGAAATTCTTTAAATGGCTTCTGCCTACTTGTCCCATTTCAGTAATGTTAAACTGAAAATGTCTCAGTCCTTCCTATATGCTGGCATTTCTTATGCCTCACCAACTCCAGCTTCCATCTCTTTCTCCCATGGCCTTTGCCTTTTTTAGGGGGAGGAGTCCCTTTATATTTTTCTGCTTGCTCTGACCTATTTTTATTCCTTTCCTTGTAATACTCTGCCAGTTGAAATTATAGAGCCCCCATTCTGTTTTTAACCTATCCTCTTCTAGTCCTTTATATGCCTTTATTATATATACAGTAGAGTTTGTAAGTACTAAATTCGTATCACAGAACTGTATAGTGATAAACAGGGCTCTCTAGTAGCCTTTCTCAAAGTGTCTTCTCTAGTCCCTTGTTAAAGAGTGATCCCTGGACCAGCAGCATTGACATCACCTAGAAGCTTGTTGGAAATGCAGACTTTTAGGCCCCATGCAGACCTTCTGAATCAGAATCTACATTTTAGTGAGATCTCTAGGTGATTTGTTTGAACTTTATGCTTTGAGAAGCTTTGCTTGAGAATATTAGTGTTTGATGATGTGTTAACAGGTAAAAAATAAAGTAGGCCTGGCTATATATAAATTTGGAAAGCAATGATTCAAACTTAGAAATATTTTCAGTTGTACAATTTTTCCCAGTTTTTAATATGCTAATGTGTATTGTGATTGTGAATTCTCATGAGGGGAAAGTAGTATGCAGCATTATTTCAACCAGTCATTTTCTTTTTCTTTTTTTCTTTTTTTTTTGAGATGGAGGCTCGCTCTGTCGCCCAGGCTGGAGTGCAGTGGTGTGATCTCAGCTCACTGCAAGCTCCGCCTCCTGGGTTCACGCTGTTCTCTTGCCTCAGCCTCCTGAGTAGCTGGGACTATAGGTACCCGCCACCACGCCTGGCTAATTTTTTGTTTTTGTATTTTTAGTAGAGACGGGGTTTCACCGTGTTAGCCAGGATGGTCTCGATCTCCTGAACTTGTGATCCGCCCTCCTTGGCCTCCCAAAGTGCTGGGATTACAGGTCTTTTTTTCTATAAGAGGTAGAGAGGTGTACCTTTCAATTCAGAGTTTTGCAAAACATGATGAAGGTAACACTGCTTAGAAGTGTGGAATGGAACCACTTAAATACACTGTTTACCATGCTTCTTCTGCTTTAAATGAAACACATTAAATTTTGGTTTTTATAATGAAACTTAAAATGTCAGTAACTATTATGAATAACTCTCAGATTTGCATAGTAAACTTAATCTTTGGAAGTCCAAATAGAGGTAAACCACTTCTTGTCTTTAATTATTCTGATTTAGATTCTGCTAAGAAATTTGTGCCTCAGAGACAGTATTTTTTTCTAACAAATCTATGTGTCTAGTTTTTGCTATTAAATTTTCACTCATTAAATGTTCTTATTGTTATATTAGAAAAAGTAATACTTGAATAATTTTACCAGGTAATCCGTGGTTAGAGAGGCTGAGAGTTTTAGAAGAATTTGTGTGTGTGTGTGTTTTACCTTCAGCACAGGCATGGATTGATTAAGTTTCAAATATAGTATTTCACAAAAGCAGTAAAATAGGTTGTTATGTTAATATAATTTTAATTATTTATCATATATAACTACTATTCCACATGTCTTAAGGAAATGAGCAATTGTATGGCGTGATAAACAGTCTTTTACTTTTGATTAGTATTGGTACATTAAAAAAGTTTTTATTGTGGTAGATAACACATAACATAGAACTTATAATTTTAACCATTTTGAAGTGTACAGTTCAGTAGTGTTAAATATGTTCACATTGTTGTGAGACAGATCTCCAGAACCTTTTTATCCTGCAAAACTGAAAGTCTATACACATAAAACATTTTGGGTGGTGGTGGATGTTATTTGAATCTTCTATTTTAGAGTCCCCTCTGACACTGAATTGGCAGGGGGAAGAAGGGTGCTGCATTGATGTTGCTGGGTTGGGATGGAAGCACAGATCCCCAGTGGACTGCTTTTGCCACCTCAGGAGGTAGAAGAGCTCCTCATTACTGCTGGGTGAGAGTGCGAGGTCAGGCTTTCCACCAGGACTCCTCTGATGCTACCCCGGCTGCTGAGGGGAAGGGATCCTCATCATTGCCTCCACTGATGCTGGTGGAGTGGAATGGATGCCTCATCACTGGGGAAACATTGTACAGCATGGTGGAGGACTTTCTGTCGTTGGGTTGGGATGAAAGCCCCAGCTCTCTGCTTGGTCTTTTGTGACTCCACTCTGGCAGGGGATAATGCTGGGGCACCTTGCCATGGTCACATGAGGTTGGAAGTCTAGGCTCCCTACTTGCTCTTTGCTGGTGGGGTTGGGGTGTGGTTTTTCCATGGTGCTTGGCTGAAGTAGAGTAGCTATTTTCTAAAAATTTTCTGTCTTGCCAGGCTGCCCCTCTCTTGGTCCTTTGGTTTGAGAGAGCTGTTTTTTCTTGTGTATTTGTGTATGTATACCTGTTGGTGCTTCTAGACCCTTGGATTTTTCAGCACCCAATCTGGGATATAAGAGGCAAAAAGACAACTCAGTGAATGCATTGCTGTGTTGATCCTCAGGTTTCAAGGCCCCTAGCTGGTCTTCTGCCTTCTTTCCATGTATCTGTCATCTTATATTTGTTTTATATATATTGTCCAGGGTTTTTGGCTGTACTTAGTAGTAGGAATAGAGAGAAGTGCATCTTCTCTCTCTTGTCTTCTAGTTTTTTAAATGTATCTGTGACACCTCAATAATGTACAATGAATTTCTATTTAGAGTTCAAGATTCTATTTTAATAAAAAGATTAACAATTAAAAAATTTACAATTTATTGAACATTTGCTTTTTTTTTTTTTTTTTTTGGAGACAGGATCTCACTCTGGTTGCCCAGACTGGAGTGCAGTGGTGTGATCTTGGCTCATTGTAGCCTTGGCCTTCTGGGCTCAGGTGACCACCTCAGCCTCCTGAGTAGCTGGGACTACTGGCGTGCACCGCCATGTCTGGCTAATTTTTGTATTTTTTTGTAGAGATGGGGTCTTGCTATGTTGCCCAGGCTGGTCTTGAACTCCTGGATTCAGGTGATCCCCCGTCGCAGCCTCCCAAGGTGCTGGGATTACAGGTGTGAGCCACCATTCCTGGCCCTGAATGTTTACTTTGGGCCAAATGATTTTCAACTCTGAATCTTTCACAGATGAGACAGTGTGTTGAGTAATTTTGTCGAGTTCTTGGAGTGTATAAGTGCTAGATATAAGTGCTTATGCCCTAACAGGAGGGGCTGATAATAAACAAAACGCAGTAATTTGGGATAGTTTTAGTGTCCTGAAGAACATAGAACAGGGTATGTGATAGAGTGACTGTTAGGGGCAGTGTGCAGGTGGAGTGGAGCCACACATTATTAGCCTAGGTTAGGTTGGAGAACAGTCAGGGAAGGCCTCTCTGAGAAGGTGCATTCTGGCCTTGGATGATAAGAAAGAGCTTGGAATGTGAAGATCTAGGGGAAGAACTTTGTGGTTCAGCCTTCCTGAAGTGTGAGAGATCTTAGGGAGATGTGGGAAGAGAAAGAAGGTCATCAGAGTTGGAGCACAGCCAGCAGGGAGGAAGGGACATGGAAGAACCTGGGCAGTTGGAAGAAGACCCAGCTCAGGTAGGGTCATGATATTGGCCTTCCTAAGGGGTTTTAGTGCAATGATCATTGTCTTATTGTTACTTAAAGAAAAGTGAGTGTCGTCTATACCTGTCTATACATGTGTGTTTGAGGTGCAGATTTACCAGCCTTATTGTTGATAGGTTAGAATGAGTGGAAGAGGAAGAGACCCAGGAGCAAATACAAAATTGCTTCCTGTTGAACAGGGAGAAGGAATTCTACGTGTTGTTTTTTGGCGGGATTGACGCTCATATATTATGGTCTTTTACAATGGAAACCCAGTCTCCAAAAGAGTTCCATTCCCTTCCTTTTAAATAAAAGAAATTACTGTTTGCTACAGAAAACTTAGAAGACTCTAAAGAAGAAAACAAAATTAGCTGGAATCTCACTACCCAGACATAATTTTTGTTAACATGTTGGTTTATCTCTTTCTAGTTTTCTGTCTGCGTCTATGCATTTTATGCACACATTTACCAAGTTAAAATAAAATTGTGTTGATTTTTCTTGCTGTTTTCATGAGTATTTTACTATGTCATTAAATGTTCCTCAGGGATATTAAAAGAAACTTGTTATATGATTTATTTTGTGATGCACCAATAATTTAACTCTTCCTCCACTATTGAACTGTTTGGCTCCTGTTTTTTGGTTGCTACTCATCATGATATGATGAACACCCTGTTACATACATCTTTGTGTTCACCTCTAATAGATTACTCAAGTGTTATACACATTTGTAAGGTGCTGCCTTAATGTTGCTTGATTGTTCTTTGGAAAGGTAGATTATGTGGGTACCATTTATTTGTAATTTATCCAGCAGTCGTTTAAGCCACATGCTGTATTTTTCTTATAATAAAACCTAGAGTTTAACATTATTTAATTATCAGTATACTTCATGTTTTCATAGTTATTTGTAGTTTGTAATTAATCTCTGATTCTCCATTTGAAATTTGTAACTGTAGCCAGGTTTTCATCTTAAACTAACAAGGTGGTAGAGTCTATTCTCTTCTGAATCATAGACATTTTCTTGAGTGGATGTTTATGTATTGAAGGAACTTGTTCAGTTCACATTGTCATCTGCATTAGCTACTTGGGTGTCAGTGTCCTTAGATGGTTATTATTCAGCAGCTATTTGGATGAGTAGCCATTTGCATCATGAGTGCTTGATTTATTTTGTGTCATCATCTTTAAAATGATTTGCTTGCCCATAGATGTCCTTAATAGAAGAAGATTCCTTTATCCAAAACAACTGTTAGTTCCATACACTGTGATGTTAAAAGTGAACAATCACAACCACAATGAGAGGGGACTTTTGATTAAAAATCAAAGTAAAAAACCACCTTTTTCCATTTTTCCCCCTAAACACTTAATAGGAAACTTTTTTTTTGAGACGGAGTTTTGCTTGATTTCCAGGCTGGAGTGCAATAGAGTGATCTCGGCTCACCGCAACCTCCGCCTCCTGGGTTCAAGCGATTCTCCTGCCTCAGGCTCCCGAGTAGCTGGGATTACAGGCATGTGTCACCACGCCTGGCTAATTTTGTGTTTTTAGTAGAGATGGGGTTTCTCCATGTTGGTCAGCCTGGCCTCAAACTCCCAACCTCAGATGATCTACCTGCCTCGGCCTCCCAAAGTGCTGGGATTGTAGGTGTGAGCCACCACGCCTGGCCAATAGGAAACTTTTTGAACTATTGGCAGATGGTACTTTATATGTGATTCTTGAATCACTGCTAGATGTAGGGAATTGATTACCTTTTTATAATTCAGATGCTTGAATGACTGACCAAGAAGCTTCTGGAAGACCTGATCAAGTAGAAGAAAAAATCTTGTAGGTTAGGTATGAGTTTATTTACTAATCCTTGTACTCCAAACTCTTTTATTTTTCTAGTTTACTTTGTAGTCATTTTTCTGGTACTTCCAAGCTGTTAATGTTTCCTGCAAATATTTCATTTTCAAGGCTGGAAAAGTCTGAGAGTTCATGGATGTTTCCTGCTGTTTATTGGGGAGAAATATATTGGATGAGCTCATTACAATTTTCTATAATTACAATACCTAAAAACTTAAAGTAGTCAATGCTAATTTACTTTAATTGTTATCAGACTGTATAGTGACAAATTTTAGGATTCATATGAGTAGTATAGAGAATTCAAGCTGGGCACAGTGGTATGCACCTGTAGCCCCTGTTGCTTGGGAGGCTGTGGCTAGAGGATTGCATGAACCTAAGAGTTCAAGGCCTGCCTGGACAACATGATAAGACCCCATCTCTCCCTCTCTTTTTTTTTTTTTTGAGACAGAGTCTTGGTCTGTTGCCTAGGCTGGAGCGTAGTGGCATGATCTCGGCTCACTGCAACCTTCGCCTCCTGGTTCAAGCAATTCTTATGTCTCAGCCTCCCAAGTAGCTGGGGTTATAGGCATGAGCCACTGCACCTAGCTAATTTTTGTATTTTTAATAGAGACAGAGTTTTGCCATGTTGACCAGACTGGTCTCGAACTCCTGGCCTCAAGCAGTCGGCCCTCCCCAGCCTCCCAAAGTGCTGGGATTACAGATGTGAGCCACTGCTCTGGCTAAGACTCCGTCTCTATTTAAATAAAAAAAGAAAATTCAGAATATGTGGAATCAGAACACCAAAGGCCAAAGTTAAACATTTACCTCTCTGAGGTAATCTCTGTAAAAAATTTGATATATATCCTTTCAAATTCGTACTTGCTATGCATATATATACATATACACATGTACGCGTTGACATATTCCCTCTTCTCTGCTGTCATGCTATTAGTCTTTTTTTTTTTTTTGGTAGAAATTGGACCAACCCAACTCTATGTTCTTTGCTGGCTCATATTTCTCCTATTCAGTGATGTGTTACGAATGTGTGTTTAAGTCAATTTATGCAACTCTTCAATATCATTTTAAAAGGTTATGATATACGATCATTTAAAGGTATTGCAATTCATTCCTACAGTCCTCTTTTGCACATTTAATAATTTCCATTGATTTGCCAGGGAGAACATTCTTATGGCTAAATCCTTTTGTATGGACATCCTTAGTTATTCCCTTAAGATAAACTTTTAAATAAAGTTACTAAATTAGTCTCATTTCTTAAAAAGTTCTTTTTTGGTAGTTTATATGTAACACTGTAGTTTTATATGTACTTGCAAATAGCTATAGTGCCAGTAAAAAATGTGATAAAATTAAACTCTTTCACATATGCCAAAAATACTTTGATTTAACGCTTCATTAAGTTCCTGATTACAGTCTCTATATCTTTTGATTTACCTTTCTATCTTTAAAATTTTCAGCCGAGATACTTAGAGGTCACATAGTAAACTAAGGTTTTCTTTTTTTAATCATCTCCGTCTTTTTAAATTTGGTGAGTCACAGTAAGTTATTTTTGGGTTGTTGAAAGCTGTGTCTCTGTTCTAAATTTGAGCGCAGAAATCATGCCACTTACAAAATAATGCTTTGTCTTCTGACATCAGAGTGTCTGGTAGAAGGTGACTGCTCTTGGAACTTAAAAAATCTAAACAGGACAAGAACAGAATCTGGAAAATATTTCTGTTTCTGATAATATGGCTGAGTAGGTACTCTGCAAACCCTCTCTCATAAAATAGGCATGCCAGATAGTCCTTGCAAAGACATACTTGAACTTGCCCAAAAAAAAAAAAAAATTCAGAATCGCTATGAAGATGAAGTGAAAATCAGAAAGGTTACTGTGAGAATAATGGCGAGGCAGCCCCAGTTATCAAGGGATGTGTGCATGTGTTCAATAAAAAGTTTCAAACCTAAAAAAAAGTTGAGAAAAATAATATAATTGCCCAACATAAACACATCATCAACAATTTTTCATTCATGGCCAAATTTTGTTTGTATGTTTGTTTGTTTTTTTAGGTGGAATTTTGCTGTGGTTGCCCAGGCTGGAGTGCAGTGGCATGATCTCGGCTCACTGCAACCTCCGCCTCCCGGGTTCAAGTGATTCTCCTGCCTCAGCCTCCCGAGTAGCTGGGATTACAGGTGCCTGGCACCACGCCTAGCTGAATTTTGTATTTTTAGTAGAGCTGGGGTTTCACCATGTTGGCCAGGCTGGTCTCGAACTCCTGACCTCAGGTGATCCACTCGCCTCAGCCTCCCAGAGTGCTGGGATTACAGGCATGAGCCACTGCACGTGACCATGGCCAGTTTTGTTTCATTTATATTCCTACTTCATTTATATACATTCCTTCTTCCTCTGAATTATTTTGAAGCAAAATCTATACATCATATCATTTTGTAATTACCTTATATGTATCTGTAGAAGACAAGGAATTTTAAAAAGTAAATATATTCACAAAGTCATTAAAGACCAAAAAATTAATACATTCTCAAAATAGCCACAAATCCAGTCAGAGTTCACTTTTTTTTTTTTTTTTTTAAGATGGAGTCTCGCTCTGTTGCCCAGGCTGGAGTGCGGTGGCGCGATCTTGGCTCACTGCAAGCTCCGCCTCCTGGGTTCACGCCATTCTCCTGCCTCAGCCTCCTGAGTAGCTGGGACTACAGGCACCCGCCACCATGCCCGGCTAATTTTTTGTATTTTTAGTAGAGACAGGGTTTCACCGCAGAGTTCATATTTTCCTGACCTTCTCATAAATGATTTTTTCTAGGTTATCTGTTTCAATCAGATATCTGTTTGCAAATATAGGTAAATATGTCTCATCTTCTGTCTGTCTCTCCTCTCTCTTGCTTTCTCTCTCTGTATGTATAGAGAAAAATATATTTTTATGTATGTATTTGTATAAATATATATTTTTCTATCTATAAATCTCTCTTTCTGCCTCTATCTTCTCTTTCTCTGTGTTTACCTCTCTTTCTTTATATCTCTGCTTATCTATAGGTAAAGGGTTAACAAAACCTTTCCTTCCCCTTTCTGTGTGGGAATTTGAATTTCAGTTAACTTTGGAACTCTGTGTCTCTGGGAACCCGATAAGACCAACCTATTATTTGTATTATGAAGCAGGACTGCTTGTGGTTAAAATGGCCCCTGATTGGTAAATTGCATCTAAGCTGGAGAGTGATAAATACTTGGTAGAAAGCCATAGCTTTGGGGTTCCCTAAGTGCAGTGACTCTGGTTTCTATGGAAACTCTGGAAGCTATGGCTATGGAGTTGTTACAAGGTTGGTGCTTGTGTGGTTGGAAGTTCCTAAGCCTAGGTGGCTCCCATACCTACCCAGTGTGGCTCTCTTCTTAATGCACCTGAGCTGTGCTGCCCAGCCTGCTGCAAGGACTCCAGCAGGAGAAGAGCATCAATTGTAGCCTTGCTGGCAAGCTCAGGTTCCTGAACAAACTGACAGAAAATGTGATCTTGGGTAGTCTCTTGAATCTGTGTGCTTCGTTGACTCTAAAAAGACCTTTGGTGGGTGCCACGATATTTTCTCCCTAAAATATAAAAGATAACATCTTTTATATTTTTAATATAAATTTTTATATTTTAATATAAAAGATAAAAGATAGCATACACCATCATGCACTTTATTTAATTTTTGACCCAGGGTGGGGTCTCTTTCTCCGAGGCTGGAGTACAGTGGTGTGATCTTGGCTCACTGAAACCGCTGCCTCCTGGGCTCAAGCTGTCTTTCCACCTTCCAGGGTGGCTGGGACCACAGGTGTGTGCCACCACACTCGGCTTTTTTTTTGTATTTTCGGTAGAGACTGGGTTTCGCCATGCTGCCCAGGCTGCTATCGAGCTCTTGGGCTCAGGTGATCCACCTGCCTCAGCCTCCCAAAGTGTTTCCAAAGTGTTGGAAATTGCAGATGTGAGCCACGGCATCTGGCCCATTTTGTACCTTTTTTTTTTTTTTTTTTTTTATTATACTCTAAGTTTTAGGGTACATGTGCACATTGTGCAGGTTAGTTACATATGTATACATGTGCCATGCTGGTGCGCTGCACCCACTAATGTGTCATCTAGCATTAGGTATATCTCCCAATGCTATCCCTCCCCCCTCCCCCGACCACACCACAGTCCCCAGAGTGTGATATTCCCCTTCCTGTGTCCAAGTGATCTCATTGTTCAATTCCCACCTATGAGTGAGAATATGCGGTGTTTGGTTTTTTGTTCTTGCGATAGTTTACTGAGAATGATGGTTTCCAATTTCATCCATGTCCCTACAAAGGATATGAACTCATCATTTTTTATGGCTGCATAGTATTCCATGGTGTATATGTGCCACATTTTCTTAATCCAGTCTATCATTGTTGGACATTTGGGTTGGTTCCAAGTCTTTGCTATTGTGAATAGTGCCGCAATAAACATACGTGTGCATGTGTCTTTATAGCAGCATGATTTATAATCCTTTGGGTATATACCCAGTAATGGGATGGCTGGGTCAAATGGTATTTCTAGTTCTAGATCCCTGAGGAATCGCCACACTGACTTCCACAATGGTTGAACTAGTTTACAGTCCCACCAACAGTGTAAAAGTGTTCCTATTTCTCCACATCCTCTCCAGCACCTGTTGTTTCCTGACTTTTTAATGATTGCCATTCTAACTGGTGTGAGATGATATCTCATAGTGGTTTTGATTTGCATTTCTCTGATGGCCAGTGATGATGAGCATTTCTTCATGTGTTTTTTGGCTGCATAAATGTCTTCTTTTGAGAAGTGTCTGTTCATGTCCTTCGCCCACTTTGTGATGGGGTTGTTTGTTTTTTTCTTGTAAATTTGTTTGAGTTCATTGTAGATTCTGGATATTAGCCCTTTGTCAGATGAGTAGGTTGCAAAAATTTTCTCCCATGTTGTAGGTTGCCTGTTCACTCTGATGGTAGTTTCTTTTGCTGTGCAGAAGCTCTTTAGTTTAATTAGATCCCATTTGTCAATTTTGGCTTTTGTTGCCATTGCTTTTGGTGTTTTGGACATGAAGTCCTTGCCCACGCCTATGTCCTGAATGGTAATGCCTAGGTTTTCTTCTAGGGTTTTTATGGTTTTAGGTCTAACGTTTAAATCTTTAATCCATCTTGAATTGATTTTTGTATAAGGTGTAAGGAAGGGATCCAGTTTCAGCTTTCTACATATGGCTAGCCAGTTTTCCCAGCACCATTTATTAAATAGGGAATCCTTTCCCCATTGCTTGTTTTTCTCAGGTTTGTCAAAAATCAGATAGTTGTAGATATGCGGCATTATTTCTGAGGGCTCTGTTCTGTTCCATTGATCTATATCTCTGTTTTGGTACCAGTACCATGCTGTTTTGGTTACTGTAGCCTTGTAGTATAGTTTGAAGTCAGGTAGTGTGATGCCTCCAGCTTTGTTCTTTTGGCTTAGGATTGACTTGGCGATGCGGGCTCTTTTTTGGTTCCATATGAACTTTAAAGTAGTTTTTTCCAATTCTGTGAAGAAAGTCATTGGTAGCTTGATGGGGATGGCATTGAATCTGTAAATTACCTTGGGCAGTATGGCCATTTTCACGATATTGATTCTTCCTACCCATGAGCATGGAATGTTCTTCCATTTGTTTGTGTCCTCTTTTATTTCCTTGAGCAGTGGTTTGTAGTTCTCCTTGAAGAGGTCCTTCACATCCCTTGTAAGTTGGATTCCTAGGTATTTTATTCTCTTTGAAGCAATTGTGAATGGGAGTTCACCCATGATTTGGCTCTCTGTTTGTCTGTTGTTGGTGTATAAGAATGCTTGCGATTTTTGTACATTGATTTTGTATCCTGAGACTTTGCTGAAGTTGCTTATCAGCTTAAGGAGATTTTGGGCTGAGACAGTGGGGTTTTCTAGATAAACAATCATGTCGTCTGCAAACAGGGACAATTTGACTTCCTCTTTTCCTAATTGAATACCCTTTATTTCCTTCTCCTGCCTGATTGCCCTGGCCAGAACTTCCAACACTATGTTGAATAGGAGTGGTGAGAGAGGGCATCCCTGTCTTGTGCCAGTTTTCAAAGGGAATGCTTCCAGTTTTTGCCCATTCAGTATGATATTGGCTGTGGGTTTAAATTGACCATGTAGTTGGAAGTAAAGCTCTCCTCAGCAAATGTAAAAGAACAGAAATTATAACAAACTATCTCTCAGACCACAGTGCAATCAAACTAGAACTCAGGATTAAGAATCTCACTCAAAGCCGCTCAACTACATGGAAACTGAACAACCTGCTCCTGAATGACTACTGGGTACATAACGAAATGAAGGCAGAAATAAAGATGTTCTTTGAAACCAACGAGAACAAAGACACCACATACCAGAATCTCTGGGACGCATTCAAAGCAGTGTGTAGAGGGAAATTTATAGCACTAAATGCCTACAAGAGAAAGCAGGAAGGATCCAAAATTGACACCCTAACATCACAATTAAAAGAACTAGAAAAGCAAGAGCAAACACATTCAAAAGCTAGCAGAAGGCAAGAAATAACTAAAATCAGAGCAGAACTGAAGGAAATAGAGACACAAAAAACCCTTCAAAAAATCAATGAATCCAGGAGCTGGTTTTTTGAAAGGATCAACAAAATTGATAGACCACTAGCAAGACTAATAAAGAAAAAAAGAGAGAAGAATCAAATAGACACAATAAAAAATGATAAAGGGGATATCACCACCAATCCCACAGAAATACAAACTACCATCAGAGAATACTACAAACCCCTCTACGCAAATAAACTAGAAAATCTAGAAGAAATGGATACATTCCTCGACACATACACTCTCCCAAGACTAAACCAGGAAGAAGTTGAATCTCTGAATAGACCAATAACAGGCTCTGAAATTGTGGCAATAATCAATAGTTTACCAACCAAAAAGAGTCCAGGACCAGATGGATTCACAGCCGAATTCTACCAGAGGTACAAGGAGGAACTGGTACCATTCCTTCTGAAACTATTCCAATCAATAGAAAAAGAGGGAATCCTCCCTAACTCATTTTATGAGGCCAGCATCATTCTGATACCAAAGCCTGGCAGAGACACAACCAAAAAAGAGAATTTTAGACCAATATCCTTGATGAACATTGATGCAAAAATCCTCAATAAAATACTGGCAAACCGAATCCAGCAGCACATCAAAAAGCTTATCCACCATGATCAAGTGGGCTTCATCCCTGGGATGCAAGGCTGGTTCAATATACGCAAATCAATAAATGTAATCCAGCATATAAACAGAGCCAAAGACAAAAACCACATGATTATCTCAATAGATGCAGAAAAAGCCTTTGACAAAATTCAACAACCCTTCATGCTAAAAACTTTCAATAAATTAGGTATTGATGGGACGTATTTCATTTTGTACCTTTTTAAACTTACCTCAGAGATCATTTTGTATCTGTTTATAGAAATGTTCATCTTTTTTGAAATTAGTACTTTGTAGTGTGACTGTACCACATTTTTATTCAATTAGTTTTTTTGTTGACATTTGAGTGTTAGATTTTTTTTCTGACATAAGACTAAAATATGAAAAGGAAAACTTGAAAAAAACTTAAAAGAAAATTTACATAACTGTCTTTGTGATCTTGTTGTAGGGAAACTTTTCTTAATGATTAGTATCCAGGATATGAAAAATAGCCTAATAATGAAAAGGAAAAGTTAAGACAAAATGGGCATAGAATGTGAAGAATTACTTTATAGAAGAAGAAATTGGAATGGTCAGTAAACTTGGGAAAAGATGCTTGAATTAGAAACTGATGGATAAAATGAAAGTTAAAATGACTATTCTATAATCTTCAGATTGGCGAACATGTAAGTCTGACAGAATTGCTGGCAGAGATATGGGCCAGTGGAAACTCAGCTAGGTAAAGTGGAGTGCAATTTTATAATCTTTAATGAAGTTGAAGATGCACATACCTGAGCCAAAAAATACATGTGTACAAAGAAATTTGGAAAAATTATTTATCACAGTAGTGTTTGCAGTAACATAAGATGATGCAGAATGTAAAAGTTAACCAACAAGAGATTGGATAATTAAACTTATATCCTTGTGGTAGAATATTATACAGCAATTAGAAATGAACAAACTAGATTGAAAAGAATTAACATGGATAAATCTCATAAAGAAAACTTTGAGTGAAAAAAGGCAAGCTGCAGAAGGATATGGGCGATATAATAACGTATGTGAGTAGTTCATTTCCATATTTATGTTGTTTCAATGTTTAAAAAAAGAGGAGTTGTCGGCTGGGCGCGGTGGCTCATGCCTGTAATCCCAGCACTTTGGGAGGCTGAGGTGGGTGGATCACCTGAGGTCAGGAGTTCAAGACCAGCCTGGCCAACATAGTGAAACCCCATCTCTACTAAAAATACAAAAATTAGCTGGGTGTGGTGGTGTGTGCCTGTAATTCCAGCTACTCAGTAGGCTGAGGCAGGAGAATCGCTTGAAACTGGGAGGTGGAGGTTGCAGTGAGCCCAGATTGCACCACTGCACTCCAGCCTGGGTGACAGAGCAAGACTGCATCACCATAAAAAAAAAAAAAAGGAGTTGTCACCATATATATATTATTTTCTTATATTCATTAGCATGTGGATATGGATATTATTAATACTGTAAATTTTGTTTACTGAATGGTTTAAAGATACACTTTTTGTCTGGATAGGTAAAATACAATTATTTAAAAATATAAATCTTTATATTTCTTTTATTTTTATTACTTTTATTATTATTATACTTTTAGGGTACATGTGCACAACGTGCACGTTTGTTACATATGTATACATGTGCCATGTTGGTGTGCTGCACCCATTAACTGGTCATTTAGCATTAGGTATATCTCCTAATGGTATCCCTCCCCCCTCCCTCCACCTCACAACGTCCCTGGTATGTGATGTTCCCCTTCCTGTGTCCATGTGTTCCCATTGTTCAATTCCCACCTATGAGTGAGAACATGCGGTGTTTGGTTTTTTGTCCTTGCAATAGTTTACTGAGAATGATGGTTTCCAGCTTCATCCATGTCCCTACAAAGGACATGAACTCATTATTTTTATGGCTGCATAGTATTCCATGGTGTATATGTGCCACATTTTCTTAATCCAATCTATCATTGTTGGACATTTGGGTTGGTTCCAAGTTTTTGCTATTGTGAGTAGTGCCGCAATAAACATATGTGTGCATGTGTCTTTATAGCAGCATGATTTATAATCCTTTGGGTATATACCCAGTAATGGGATGGCTGGGTCAAATGGTATTTCTAGTTCTAGATCCCTGAGGAATCGCCACACTGACTTCCACAATGGTTGAACTAGTTTACAGTCCCACCAACACTGTAAAAGTGTTCCTATTTCTCCACATCCTCTCCAGCACCTGTTGTTTCCTGACTTTTTAATGATCGCCATTCTAACTGGTGTGAGATGGTATCTCATTGTGGTTTTGATTTGCATTTCTCTGATGGCCAGTGATGATGAGTATTTTTTCATGTGTTTTTTGGCTGCATAAATGTCTTCTTTTGAGAAGTGTCTGTTCATATCCTTTGCCCACTTTGTGATGGGGTTGTTTGGTTTTTTCTTGTAAATTTGTTTGAGTTCATTGTAGATTCTGGATATTAGCCCTTTGTCAGATGAGTAGGTTGCAAAAATTTTCTCCCATTTTGTAGGTTGCCTGTTCACTCTGATGGTGGTTTCTTTTGCTGTGCAGAAGCTCTTTAGTTTAATTAGATCCCATTTGTCAATTTTGGCTTTTGTTGCCATTGCTTTTGGTGTTTTAGACATGAAGTCCTTGCCCATGCCTATGTCCTGAATGGTAATGCCTAGGTTTTCTTCTAGGCTCTTTATGGTTTTAGGTCTAACATTTAAGTCTTTAATCCATCTTGAATTGATTTTTGTATAAGGTGTAAGGAAGGGATCCAGTTTCAGCTTTCTACATATGGCTAGCCAGTTTTCCCAGCACCATTTATTAAATAGGGAATCCTTTTCCCATTGCTTGTGTTTGTCAGGTTTGTCAAAGATCAGATAGTTGTAGATATGCGGCATTATTTCTGAGGGCTCTGTTCTGTTCCATTGGTCTATATCTCTGTTTTGGTACCAGTACCATGCTGTTTTGGTTACCGTAGCCTTGTAGTATAGTTTGAAGTCAGGTAGCGTGATGCCTCCAGCTTTGTTCTTTTGGCTTAGGATTGACTTGGCAATGCCGGCTCTTTTTTGGTTCCATATGAACTTGAAAGTCGTTTTTTCCAATTCTGTGAAGAAAGTCATTGGTAGCTTGATGGGTATGGCATTGAATTTATAAATTACCTTGGGCAGTATGGCCCTTTTCACGATATTGATTCTTCCTATCCATGAGCATGGAATGTTCTTCCATTTGTTTGTATCCTCTTTAATTTCATTGAGCAGTGGTTTGTAGTTCTCCTTGAAGAGGTCCTTGACATCCCTTTTAAGTTGGATTCCTAGGTATTTTATTCTCTTTGAAGCAATTGTGAATGGGAGTTCACTCATGATTTGGCTCTCTGTTTGTCTGTTGTTGGTGTATAAGAATGCCTGTGATTTTTGCACGTTGATTTTGTATCCTGAGACTTTGCTGAAGTTGCTTATCAGCTTAAGGATATTTTGGGCTGAGACAATGGGGTTTTCTAGATATACAGTCAAGTCATCTGCAAACAGGGACAATTTGACTTCCTCTTTTCCTAATTGAATGCCCTTTATTTCCTTCTCCTGCCTGATTGCCCTGGCCAGAACTTCCAACACTATGTTGAATAGGAGTGGTGAGAGAGGGCATCCCTGTCTTGTGCCAGTTTTCAAAGGGAATGTTTCCAGTTTTTTTCCATTCAGTATGATATTGGCTGTGGGTTTGTCATAGATAGCTCTTATTATTTCGAGATATGTCCCATCAGTACCTAATTTATTGAGAGTTTTTAGCATGAAGGATTGTTGAATTTTGTCAAAGACCTTTTCTGCATCTATTGAGATAATCATGTGGTTTTTGTCTTTGGTTCTGTTTATATGCTGGATTATGTTGATTGAGTTGTGTGTGTTGAACCAGCCTTGCATCCCAGGGATGAAGCCCACTTGATCATGGTGGATAAGCTTTTTGATGTGCTGCTGGATTTGGTTTGTCAGTATTTTATTGAGGATTTTTGCATCAGTGTTCATCAGGGATATTGGTCTAAAATTCTCTTTTTTGGTTGTGTCTCTGCCAGGCTTTGGTATCAGGATGATGCTGGCCTCATAAAATGAGTTAGGGAGGATTCCCTCTTTTTCTATTGATTGGAATAGTTTCAGAAGGAATGGTACCAGTTCCTCCTTGTACCTCTGGTAGAATTCGGCTGTGAATCCATCTGGTCCTGGACTTTTTTTGGTTGATAAGCTATTAATTATTGCCGCAATTTCAGATCCTGTTATTGGTCTATTCAGAGATTCAACTTCTTCCTGGTTTAGTCTTGGGAGGGTGTATGTGTCGAGGAATTTATCCATTTCTTCTAGATTTTCTAGTTTATTTGCGTAGAGGTGTTTATAGTATTCTCTGATGGTAGTTTGTATTTCTGTGGGATCGGTGGTGATATCCCCTTTATCATTTTTTATTGCATCTATTTGATTCTTCTCTCTTTTCTTCTTTATTAGTCTTGCTAGCAGTCTATCAATTTTGTTGATCTTTTCAAAAAACCAGCTCCTGGATTCATTGATTTTTTTGAAGGGTTTTTTGTGTCTCTATCTCCTTCAGTTCTGCTCTGATCATAGTTATTTCTTGCTTTCTGCTAGCTTTTGAATGTGTTTGCTCTTGCTTCTCTAGTTCTTTTAATTGTGATAGGGTGTCAATTTTAGATCTTTCCTGTTTTCTCTTGTGGGCATTTAGAGCTATAAACTTCCCTCTACACAGTGCTTTAAATGTGTCCCAGAGATTCTGGTATAAAGAATAGCTGTGGTGGTAACCCACCAGAGTGAGCATGCTTGCTTCTGAGGATAGACGGAGGGTAGTGGGATTGGGGAGAGGCAGGACAGAGGCTTCCGTTGTGTCTCTCTAATTCATTGTTTCTTAAAAAGGATTTGGGCTTACAAGTTTCAAATACTAAGATTTGATAAAGTCACATGGATTTTAAAAAATCACTCTATTGTATGTTTGAAACATTCCATAATTTAAATAAAAGGATTGGTATTATATATGTACTTGAGTTGCTATAATGTTTTACGTTTTTTCTTTGCTTCACTTTTGAATTTTTCGAGGATCTCTGGGGAAGTTTCAGTCGTTTTTTCTTTGAGGGGTTTGTGTGTGTGGTGGTGGTAGTGATGGTATTAGGTATTATGGTCTTCCTACCACATGGGTAGCTTTTACTCGCACACAGTATGATTTGAAAGGAAAAGCATTGTAACATCTCACAGATATTCATGATTTTTTGTTGTTGTTGGAAGTGAGGGTAAGTTCTTATTTCAAAAATTCTTACATGCTTTTTTGATGTTTACTAATAATATTAGTAATGATAGAATGTACAAATCATAAATTTACATTTACTGAGTTTTGCCATCATTTGTAATTCTACGGTTCCTTTTGTTCTTTATAAATGTATTTGATTACAAAAACACTGTGACAATGTATTCTTTCTTATTTCATCCTATTTCTTCTGAAAGTTTACAGAAAGTTCCAGAATACACTGAATTTTAGGAACTCCATCTCTCATTGAAAATGGTTTGGATTATTAAACTAATTAACTTTTGAACATTACCACATATTTTAATGGAAATATTCTGACAGATTATTATGTGGTATTTTATAATTGACAAAGATAGAATATGATTTAGGCACGCAAGGGAGTAGGGAAACTTACTACTTGATGGAGTGAGCTATTCTTATGGTAAGCCGTATTATTAGCTGGAGTATTCAGTGTTTCAAATATAAGAAAAAATATGTCCGTTTTAATTCTCTCTTAATATTTACAAACTTCTTGTCATCTTTCAATCTACAGGTCTTCGTGGATGACTGTAGCCATAGTTGTTTTGTTTGGGGAGAATCTGAAGTTAACTAAAAATAAAAAGGCTTCTTTAGAAATTCACCTTTCAAAAGTAACTTAATATTCTTCATGAAAAAGTCTATGAGGCTCTCTCCTTTACCCTATTTACTTATGATTCAGAAAGTATCATTCTGGCTGGGCATCTTGGCTCATGCCTGTAATCCCAGCACTTTGGGAGGCTGAGGTGGGTGGATCACTTGAGGCCAGGAGTTCAAGACCAGCCTGGCCAACATGGCGAGACCCTGTCTCTACTAAAAATACAAAAAAATTAGCCTGTCGTGGTAGTGCGTGCTTGTGGTCCCAGCTACTTGGGAGGGTGAGGCAGGAGGATCACTTGAACCTGGGAGACTGGAGGTTGCAGTGAGCCAGGATTGCTCCACTGCACTCCAGCCTGGGCAACAGAGTAATACTCTGTCTCAAAAAAAAAAAAAAAAAGTATCTTTCTATAAAATCAATGTATACGTTACACAATTTTTGGTAGTAATCCTATAATCTGTAGCATTAGGAAGATTATTTTATGGATGTGAAGGAGTAACAAGTGGTTACCGCCCTACAGAAAAATTCCCCAGTCAACATGGAAAGCATGAAGGACTGAGGGCTGAGTGGTTCATGTTTTGTGTTTTGACACAAACCTGTAACACAACAGTGATTAATAATAAGCCTGAAGCTGCAGATCTCTGTATAATTTGGAAGCACCGTGGAAGATCACTATGAAATTTAATGCATGTAAAATTTTGATAAATTTGGATAAGTCTGCTCACTTTTTAATCAAGCATTTAAAATATGAAATTAATTTATACATATTAATCGGATTATGTGTGTATATTGTGATATTTTTAGTCTGTATTAATAAATGTGTGTTCTCTGAAAGACATTTTACTTAGGTACTTGGCTAAACTTTTTAAAGGAAAATTGCAATCCAAAAACAATTTTAGATTTAATCATTACCTTGTTTGTTTCCCTCAATATTAAATAGGAAAATAGTGTCAGTGTGGTTATCTACATGATTTCTCACTGTTTTTCTTTCAGGCTGTTATCAGTTGATGGCCAGGCTATACATATTGATTTTTAGCTTTGACCATTGAAGCAGATCAATTTTACCCCTTGAGATTTGTAAGAGATAATTTTGAAGTTCTCTACCTCGTTACCATCTAATATTTGCCTTTATGATGTGTACTAGAGGAATATTTTACCATTATGCTTAATTTTGATAGTGAAATATTTTTGGTTGTGGTGGAAGCTTTGTATATTTCAGAGAGATTCCTATCATTTTAAATATTTCATTATACCATCTTTAAGTTAGAAAAGAAATGTCCACTCTGAAATCACTGCTGGTTACCATTTGCTTCTGGCCGTGAATGCTGGACATAACCTTGTTGTGCTGTGATTTGGGTTATAGAACTAAATGGCTTCTGCTCTTTTTCTGCACAGTAATATTTGGGTATGTCGAGCTGTATGACAAGATGAATTTCAATCAAAGCTGAATACTTGGTGGATTGCTAGCTGAAGTGACCTGAAGTCATTTTTGGTTCTCTAAAGTCAGTTTTGATTATTCATCTTTGGCACTAAGTCTTTGCCTGTAGCCTGTAATCTTCTCTCCTCAAGTGTTGTGAGATTAAAACTGTTCTAGAGGCGTGGTACACATTGCTTAAGGTTAAATATAGAATCCTAGGCAACTAGTTGTAGGGAGTCAAAGTCATTACTGTTCATTCAGTTTTTCTGAAATGACTAAATGAGAATTTATTTAGGGCAGAAGATGTTTTTAGGCTTAGATCTAAAATTGTGCTGCAGCTTCTTAAAGGACCCAGAGTTATTGTGTTACAAATAAAGCTATGTAATTCCTTTTATTTTTGATGTTTGTTATAGTTTGTCTAGTTTCACCCTAAATCATAAGCATACTATTTTAATTTTGCAAGATTATTAGTATAGCTGAATAACACTGCAGATGGTCCCTAATCTATAATGGCTTGACTTAGGATTTTTTTGATTTACAGTGAGTTTATTGGGATGTAACCTTATTGTAAGTTGAAAAGCATCTGTATATCAAGAAGAAATACAGTAACATACCTCACTGTCACTTACTATTGGTCACTTCTGTGTTTTCAAATTATGTCTATTGCTGTGTGAAACTTTTTTGTGCCTGGAAAGTTTTTTTCTTTCTTTATATACTTAAGTTATATTTTATTTTTCTATTGCTGTGTAACAAACCACCCAAAATGTTATGATTTAGACAAGGACAATAGGTTATTTTGCTCACAAATCTGTAATTTGAGCAAGGTTGTGTTAGCTGGGGTGGGAATATCCGTTCCAGATGGCTCATTCATATGACTGGCAAGTTGGTACAAGCTGTTTGCTGAGAACTCAGCTGAGGCTGTAGGTTGGTAGCCTCAGTTGCATTGTATGTGGACCTCTACAGGCTGTTTGGGCTTCCTCACAGCATGGTGGCAGAGTTCCAAGAGTGACTGTTTCAGGAGTACAAGGTAGAATCTACATGACCATTTCAAACCTAGCCTTGGAGGTAATGTAGCATCACTTCTACCACTTTTCTTTTCCCCATATACTTCATTAGTGTTTTTCATGAAAGAAGCAGGTTAGTCCAGATACTGTATAGATGGAGTATTTACTACAATTATGATTTACTTAACAAATCTCTTGTTATTAGATGTTAAAATAGTTTCATGTTTGTCTTACAAACCAGTGGTCTCCACCCTTTTTGGCACCAGGGACCAATTTCGTGAAAGGCAATTTTTTCCAGCAGACCAGAGCTGGGGAGGTGGTTTTGGGATGAAACTGTTCCAACTCAGAAGATCATCAGGCATTACATTCTCATAAGGAGTGTGCAACCTAGATCCCTCGTATGTGCAGTTCACAATAGGGTTCACACTCCTATGAGAATCTGTTGGCTCCACTGATCTGACAGAAGATGGAGCTCAGGTGAGAATGCTAGCTCGCCCACCGCTCACCTTCTGCTGTGCAGCCGGGTTCCTAACAGGCCAGTACTGGTCTGTGGCCTGGGGGTTGGGGACTCCTGCAATAAACAGTGTTACTGTGAGTATTCTTGTACATAAGCTCATTTGTTCATCCCTTTGAGGTAAGTTTCTTGAGACGTAACAGCTGTGTCAGAAGAAAATAACCTTTTTAAGGCTTTTGAGAAAAAAATCTCACTTTCCTACCAGCTGTAGGAAAGGCTGAATACATACTTTCCTACCAGCTGTATGTAAGATTTATCTGTTTACCTATGACCATTCCAACACTGGCTGCCATCCATTTTCATCTTTGCTAGTCTACTTTGCAAAAAAGTGAATTCTTTTTTTTTGCATGGCTCAATTATGAATATTATTTGCACAGTCATACATATGGAATATACATATTAATTTGTAATATAACTGTTGGATAATTGAGGGAGGAGAAGTGCGTATTTGGGAGGCAAGGAGCAGGAAAGAAACAGCTGTAAATAGATAAGACATAGCTAAATTCAGATTAATTGAACTTAGTGAACAAAAATTGGGAAGTAGAAGTGTGGGGAGCAGATGGCTGTTTTTATAAACATTGTAGATTTTTTTATTAAAAAAGCAAAAAGTATTTTAATACATAATAAAAATCAAATTCAGATAAATTCAGTGTCTGTCTCTGGATCATGTAAGAAATGGATGATTTTTCTTTTGTCTCTAATTTTCGGTATTTTGCAGAGTTTTTGTAACTTACATGAATACATTTTTGTGAAGAAAATTAACATGCTTCAACTTTTTAAACAACTGTGTTTTACTTATCCGGACAAAAAGGATGTCTTTAAATCATTCACTAAACAAAATAATTTACAGTATTAATAATATCCTTATCCACCTGCTAATGAGTATAAGAAAATAATGTATGTATGATGACAAATCCTTTTTTTAAACCATTGAAACAACATAAATGTGGAAGTGAACATATTTCACAGTTAGCCAAGCACACTGCGTTTACATCTTAGCTTGGACCTACACAAAAACTTCCAGTAGCTCTTTCAGTTTTCAAAACACCATTAAGGGATGTGAGGGCAATCTGGCTGTGACATCTGTCGCCTCATTGATCACCAGGGTTCATTCAGCTGATCTGACTGGCTAGGCAGATGTCCCCTTCCTCCCTCATGGCTACATGTGTGTCCCAACCAAAGCCCTGTGATTGATCAGATCCTTCCTTGATTGAGGAGGACCATACTTCGGTCAAGGGTATACAGGTAGCTATGCTCCCTTGCTAGAATCTCCAAACATGCTCTTAAAACACCACTAAGATTAAGAAAATTTAAAGACAAAATAATGAAAGTCTAACCAGCTTTGACATCATCCATATTTACCTCCCCTGTCTTTTATCAATGCATAAACTCACATTTTTACTTAGTGATATTCTGTGGATACCTGTGTAATCTGGTTGTGCTTTTTCCTAGAAGAAGCCTTGCTAGTTGTGGGATTGGTATGAGGTGAAAGGCTCCCCGGGAGGGGAAGGTATCAAAAATGTTTTGGTTTCCTGAGGCTTCTGTTTCCTCATCTATAAAATAAATCCAATAATATCTTCCTTAAAGGAATAATTGAAATAATATATTTAAATCACCTACCACAGTGCCTGACTTAGAGTAAGTATGTAGTAGATATTTTTCCTTCCCTCATCACACTTTCATATTTTTAAATGGATTTTTTTCTTTGAGACAGAGTCTTGCTCTGACGCCCAGGCTGGAGTGCAGTGGCGTGATTTTGGCTTACTGCAACCTCTGCCTCCCAGGTTCAAGCAATTCTCTGCCTCAGCCTATCGAATAGCTGGGATTACAGGTTCCTGCCACCACGCCTGGCTGATTTTTGTATTTTTAGTAGAGATGGGGTTTTACCGTCTTGGCCAGGCTGGTCTTGAACTCCTGACCTTGTGATCCACCCGCTTTGGCCTCCCAAAGTGCTGGGATTAAAGGCATGAGCCACCACGCCTGGCCTAAATGGATTCTTATTCTTACAAACTTTGTGTGTCTTTGACTACTCACTTAAGACAACCATGTTTTAATTTGCTTATTGGTGGTAGAGTCCTTTTATCAGTTGTTTCTTGTTCATATCATTTTGTTGTTTTACTGGACTGTTCATACATACTTTTTAATTGATAAATGTTATTTATGATAAAGATAGTGATTCTTTGTAATACATTTTCCAAGATAATATATTCATTTTGAAAGATATATAGTATTATAAGATTGCTTCCTCCACTCCTTACTTAAGTTTTTAATTTGGAGTCTTTCTAGTATAAGAAATAAAGTAAGGATATCATTTAATGAATAGTCTGTCTTTTATCTTTTCTAGAGTCTTAAATATACTTTTCTTTGTTTTCCTCTTTGTGTTGTCTTTTCCACAACAGTTTTCCTTTTTTTATTATTATTATACTTTAAGTTTTAGGGTACATGTGCACAACCTGCAGGTTTGTTACATATGTATACATGTGCTATGTTGGTGTGCTGCACCCATTAACTCGTCATTTACATTAGGTATATCTCCTAATGCTATCCCTCCCCACTCCCCCACCCCATGACAGGCCCCGGTGTGTGATGTTCCCCACCCTGTGTCCAAGTGTTCTCATTGTTCAGTTCCCACCTATGAGTGAGAGCATGCGGTGTTTGGTTTTCTGTCCTTGTGATAGTTTGCCCAGAATGATGGTTTCCAGCTTCATCCATGTCCCTACAAAGGACATGAACTCATCATTTTTTATGGCTGTATAGTATTCCATGGTGTATATGTGCCACATTTTCTTAATCCAGTCTATCATTGATGGACATTTGGGTTGGTTCCAAGTCTTCGCTATTGTGAATAGCGCCTCAATAAACATAACGTGTGCATGTGTTTTTATAGCAGCATGATTTATAATCCTTTGGGTATATACCCAGTAATGAGATGGCTGGGTCAAATGGTATTTCTAGTTCTAGATCCCTGAGGAATCGCCACACTGGCTTCCACAATGGTTGAACTAGTTGACAGTCCCACCAACAGTGTAAAAGTGTTCCTATTTCTCCACATCCTCTCCAGCACCTGCACAATAGTTTTCATAAATGAATACTTCTCACAGATTTATGCTTAATGATATTTTTATTTATTTGGACAAAAGCCTTCAGTCCTTACCTCAGGGCTATGAGAAGTGTTATTGTAATTATCTCCACTTTATTTTAAAGTTGAAGAAACTGAATCATAGCAGTTATTCCTTTAAGAAATGTGGCATTTGAAGCCAGGTCTTCCTGATTCCAAAGCTCAAATTCTTTGCCAGCATGTTATACTGCCACTCCATTTATTCAAGTGCACTATTATCACTCAATAAAAATCTGTAGTTTTGTTTGTCTAAGTCCTACATTTCTCTTTTAAGTTTTTTGTTTTCTTTGTAGAGACAGGGTCTTGCTCTGTTGCCCAGGATAGTCTTGAACAATCCTCCTGCTTTGGCCTGCCAAAGTGCTTGGATTACAGGTGTGAGCCACCATACCTGACCCACTTTTTTTTGTATGATTTGTATTTTTGTTCCTGTTTATTAATGAGATTTCAAAAGTTATACTGTAATTATAGTAGAAACTATGGAGTCTTCAATCTTTATGGTTATCTAGTTACTTTACTAGGCATCCCAAAAAGAAAAAGCACCAATTGTATTTTTACCATGTTTCTGGACTTGAATTCATAACTGCTAAGTCTGTTTTTAACAAAATGTTTGTTTTAATATAAAGTTTAAGAAAATGTATTTAAATATACATAAACATTTTTAAAGCATAGCTAAATCACGTGTAAGATTATATTTTCTTTAAATTTATACACTTTTTCATTTTCTCAGTTTATTGTGTATACCAAAGTCTTATGTTTTGCTTCTTGTCAGGGAGATTTAAATAGGTGTCCTTCTTTGCCATGAATACTTTGAAAACTCCTCATGGATTAGAATAAGAAATGTATTATCCTTTGGGTAGCACAAAACTTTGGGTAGCTTTCAAGTGAGTAACAGTAGACTTTTAGAAAGTTTCTTCTGAATTGACTGCCATGTGTGTTTGTTAATATTTGCTCTATGCTCAGAATTAAACATTTAAATAAAATGAAAAAGACAATAATAAATGTTGGTGAGGCTGTGAAACAACTGAAGCTTTCATATATTGATGGACAGTAAATTGGTACAACCACTTTGGAAAGCCATTTGACAGTCTCTAATAAAGCTAGGTAGATGCTTACCTCTTATTGGAGCAATCCTCCTGGCAGGTGTATACCCAAAAGAAGTGAATGCACATGTTCACAAAAAGACATTACAAGAATGTCCATAGCAGCTTTGCTCATAGTAGACCCAAACTCTAAACAACCCAAATGTCCAGGAGTAGAATGGATATGTAAATGTTTCTATAGTCACACAATGGAATATTATATGACAATAAAATGCCAACTACTACTATAGCTAACATACACAGCGTTCACTCCATTATATGGAAGCCAGCAATGGTAATTGCCCTCTTTTCATTTCTTTTCTTGTTTATCTTTGCTATCTCCCCTTTTTTCTTGATTATTTTAGCTAGTAAGTTATCTATTTTGTTCATATTTTTCAAAGAGCCAGGATTTTGATTTATCACTTTCCTTAAAAATGTTTTTTCCCACCTCATTGATTTCTGCTCACACCTTTCTTGCTTCATTTTGGTGTACTTTGTTGTTTATGTTTCAGCTTTTTATGTTGGAGATTTAATTCGTGTATTTTTATTCTTTTATTATGGGTATTTATATTCTTTTATATAATTATGGGTTGCATATTTTTTCATTTCTACTTTTATCCTATCCTGTATGTAGTTGATAGGATTTGGCTCTGTGTCCCCACCTAAATCTTATCTTGAATTGTAATTCGCACGTGTGGAGGGAAGGACCTGGTGGTGGGAGGCGATTGGATCATGGGGGCGGCTTCCCCCATGCTGTTCTTGTGATAGTGAGTGAGTTCTCACAAGAGCTGATGGTTTTAAAGTGCGGCACTTCTGGCCAGGCACAGTGGCTCACGCCTGTAATCCCAGCATTTTGGGAGGCTGAGGCAGGTGGATCACAAGGTCAGGAGATTGAGACAATCCTGGCTAACAGTGAAACCCTGTCTCTACTAAAAATACAGAAAAAAATTAGTGGGATATGGTTGTGGGCACCTGTAGTCCCAGCTACTGGGGAGGCTGAGGCAGGAGAATGGCGTGAACCTGGGAGGCGGAGCTTGCAGTGAGCCGATATCATGCCACTGCACTCCAGCCTGGGCGACAGAGCGAGACTCTGTCTCAAAAAAAAAAAAAAAAAAAAAAAAAGTGTAACACTTCCTGGCTCTCTTGCTCTTTCTCCTGTCACCAGGTAAGACATGGTTTGCTTCTCCTTCACCTTCTACCATGACTCTAAGTTTCCTGAGGCCTCCCTAGCCATGTGGAACTGTGAGTTAATCAAACCTCTTTCCTTTATATATTACCCAGTCTGAGGTGGTATCTTAATAGCAGTGTGAGAATAGGCTAATACAATAGTGTTTTCACTGTTAGCTTTTTATTTTCTTTACTTTTTTTCTTATTTTTTAAACTTAAAAAAACATTTTAAATTCTTTTGGGTAGATAGAGCTAAAAATTAAAACAGTTGAACTCATGGAAATAAAGAACAGAATGATGGTAACAGGAGCTGGGAAGGGTATTGGAAGGGAGAGTGGGGGTGGTTAATGGGCACAAAAATATAGTTAGCTAGAATGAATAAGATCTAGTATTTCTAAGTTCTGCAATTTTGGTTTGTATTTTCTCTTACGGTTTGTTTAATACAGAGTTAAAAAATTTGCAGGTAGAAGGGCCTTTTGGATTATTTATGTTTTAATTAATTTCTAGTTTTGTTTGTTTGTTTCCCTGAGACAGGGTCTCATTCTGTTTTCCAGGCTGGAGTGCAGTGATGAGATCATAGCTCACTGTAGCCTCGACCTCCTGGGCTCAAGTGATCCATCCACCTCAGCCATCTAAGTAGCTAGGACTACAGGCATGTGCCATCATGCCTGGCTAATTATTATTATTATTATTTTTAAGTAGAGAAGAGGTCTTGCTGTGTTGCCCAGGCTGGTCTGGAACTCCTGAGCTCAAGCAATTCTCCTGCCTCAGTCTCCCATAGTGCTGGGATTACAGGTTTCAGCCACCATGACAGCCTAATTTCTAGTTTTATTGCATTGTAATCATAAAAATTATTTTTACTTTGTGGAGTATTTTAATACTTTTTCATGATCTGTTATATGATCAACTTAAAGGAACATTCTATGTAAAGTAAAAGATGTATGTTCCATTATTTGAATATAAAATTTGATATCTACCCATAATATCTAATCTATTTATGTTATTTAGGTCTTCTATATCCTCACTTATTTTTGTTCTTTTGAAAGTCTCAGACTGACAGTAGTGTGATAAAATATTTTATTGCTTCTTGTATCCTACATAGTTTTCACATTAGAAAGGTGGTTGCTCTACTGTTTAAGGCATAACACTCATTACTATAATCATTGCTGTTATACATTGTTGTGAATGGTAGATAATATATAATATATATATAGCATGTATAATAAATCTAATATATGTATATACATATAATACATATACATATATGTATGATAATATATAACATAACATAGTATATAATGTATTTTATGTGTATATTATATATACTATATTATTTTTTAATTTTTAAATTTATGTATAATGAAATTTACTTTTAATGAAATTTACTTCCATGGGGACTCAGTTCTATGAGGTTTAATATATCCATAGACTCTTGTTACCACCACCAGAAAGATACAGAACAATTCCAGTTTCCCAAAGAATGACCTTGTGCTGCTTTTGTCTTAGGCAAACCACCCTCCATCCCAGTCCCTGGCAATCATGGATGTCTTCCCTGCCCCTATAGTTTTATCTTTTCCAGAATGTCATATAAATGGAATCATACTGCATATAATCTTTGCAGCTGGTTTCTTTCAGTTAATACAGTGCAGGTGAGATTCATCCATGTCACTGCATGTATCAGTAGTTCATTACTGCTGAGTACTGTTTCATTATGTGGATGTACCACAGTTTATTTTTTCACGTACACATTGAAGGACATGTGGACTGTTTTTGGTTTTTGACTGCAGATTAAATATCCCTTATCCAAAATGCTTGAGACCAGAAGTGTTTCAGATTTCAGTGTTTTTGGATCTTGTAATATTTGTATATAAATAATGAGAAATCTTGGGGATGGGACCCAAGTCTAAGCACAATATTTATGTTTCATATACACCTTGTATAAAATAAGGCCAAGGTAATTTCATACAATATTTTAAATATTTTCAGTGCATGAAACAAAGTTTGTATTAAGTACTTATGTGTGGAATTTTCCACTTGCATCATGTCAGTGCTCAAAAAGTTTTGGATTTGGGAGCATTACAGATTTCAGATTTTTGGATTTGGGATACTTAATCTGTATTATAACTAAATATTGCTATTTTTGTGTACAATTTTTGTGTACAAGGTTTTCTGTGAACTTAAGTTTTTATTTTATTAGAATACTTAGGATGGTTGAGGCATATATGATAGGTATGTATTGAACATTTTAATGAAACTGCCAAACTGTTTTCCAGGATTCCTGTACCATTTCTGCATTCCCACTAGCAATGTATGAAAAACTTCAGTTGCTCTACATACTCACCGTTTTTCATGCTAGTCATTCTAATAAGCTCATAGTTATATCTCAGTATGATTTTAATTTGCACTACTATAATGATTATGATATTGAGCATCCTTGCATCTATTCGACAGATACATATTTTCTTTAGTGAAATGTCTGTTTAAATATTTTGTTCATTAAAATTTTTTTCTTAATTTTGAGTTTTGAGAGTTCTTTATATATTCTGGGTACAAATATTTTCTGTCAGTATGTGGCTTGTCTTTTCTTACAGTGTCCTTCACAGGGGAGAAATTTTAATTTTGATGAAGTTTACTTATATTCAGTTGTATAATACATTTTGGGCTAATTTTTGCATATGGAGTGAGGAATGAGTGTAAGTTAACATTTTTGCATGTGGATGTTCAGGTGTTCCAGCATCATTTGGTCATATGATTATCCTTTTTCCAATGTTGCCTTTGCACCTTTATCATAGACTAATGGACTATATTTCTAAACTCTAGTTTGTTTCCTTGTTCTATGTGTCTATCATTTTGTCCATACTACATTGTTTTGATTACCGTAGTTTTTTTATGTCTTAAAATTATTGTGCAATTCTTGCATATCCCCCCAAAATTGTTTTGCATATTCTAGTTTTTATTTACCTTTCCATAGAAATTTTAAACTTAGTTTACATCCACAAAATGCCCTGTTGGGATTTTGATTGAAGTTGCATTAAGTCTATAGGTCAATTTGGGGAGAATTGATGACTAACTTGAGTCTTACTACATGAACATGGAATGTCTCTTCATTATTTATACGTTTAAAAAGTTTTCTTTAATCACTATTTTAGAATTTTTAATGTACAGATTCTGTAGATGTTTTGTTAGGGTGAAAGCAATACTTCTTTGTTGTTGTTACTGTTGGAGCTATTGAAAAGTGGTACTTTAAAAAGGATTTATTTTCCAATTGTTCATTATTGGTATGTTGAAATATACCAGATTTTGCTAAACTCACTTATAGGAGCTTTTTTTGTAAATTCCTTGGGATTTTCTACATAGATAATCATGTCATCTGCAAATATTTCTTTCATTCAAATCTAAATGTCTTTTATTTATTTTTCTTCTTATACTGGCTATAGCTTTCAGTAAAATACTGAATCATGGGTGAAGAGAATGAACATCCTTGCTTTCTTCCCAGTTTCTGGGGAAACACCTTGTCTGTCATCATTAAGTATGATGTTAGCTGTAGGTTTTTTGTTTTCTACTTGCTTTGTTTCAGATTGAGGAGGTCTCTTTTATTCCTAGGTTACTGAGAGTTTTTATCATGAATGGATGTTGAATTTTGTAAAATGGTTTTTTATTAGTAATTGATATGGCTATGTGGTTTGTCTTGTTTCATCAATTAATTATGATGAATTACACCTTTTTTTTTTTTTAATTGAGATGGAGTCTTGCTCTGTCGCCCAGGCTGGAGTGCAGTGGCGCGATCTTGGCTCACTGCAAGCTCCGCCTCCCGGGTTCACGCCATTCTCCTGCCTCAGCCTCCCGAGTAGCTGGGACTACAGGCACCCGCCACTGCGCCCTGTTAATTTTTTGTATTTTTGGTAGAGACGGGGTTTCACTGTGATCTTGATCTCCTGACCTCGTGATCCACCCGCTTCGGCCTCCCAAAGTGCTGGGATTACAGGCATGAGCCACTGTGCCCGGCCACTTATTGTTTTTCAAATGTTGAATCAGCCTTGGATTCCTGGGATAAACCTCACTTGGTCATCAAGTTTTATTCTTTTAATATATTCTGGATCAACGTGCTTATATATTGTTGAGGAGTTTTTGCATCTGTGTTCCTAAGGTATACTGTCTATACCTCCTTGTCTTGTATAACTAAGTGACTTGGACCTTTTTGATGTCTATAAATGCTTATTTAATGATAGTTCCTTCAAATTGAGCTGTTACAGTACAGTTTACCTCTCCCTCAATTTTGCTTTGTTTTGTTTTTTGTTTTGGTTGAGTGGTATCTTAGTATGTTTGGGCTGCTATAACAAGGTACCTTAGACGGGGTAATTTATAAATAATGGAAATTTATTGCTCACTGTTCTGGAGGCTGGGAAGTCCAAAATCGAGGTACTAGCAGCTTTGGTGTCTATTGTGGGCCCATTTGTCATACATAGTTTCGTCTTTGTGTCCTTACATGTTGGAAGGGGTAAATAAACTCACTCAGGCCTCTTTTATAAGGGTACCAACCTCATTCATGAGGGATAGTCCTTATGACCTAATTACCTCCAAAAGGCTCCACCTCTTAACGCTATTACATTGTGGATTAAGTTTAACATATGAATGGGGGCAGGCAAAAACATTCAGCCCATAGCAGGTAAAATCAGAGCATTTCGGCCAGGCATGGTGGCTCACGCCTGTGATCCCAGCACTTTGGGAGGCCAAGGCAGGCGGATCATGTGGTCAGGAGATCAAGACCATCTTGGCTAACACGGTAAAAATCTGTCTCTACTAAAAATACAAAAAATTAGCCGGTGGCACGCACCTGTAGTCCCAGCTACTCAGGAGGCTGAGGCAGGAGAATCACTTGAACCCAGGAAGGGGAGGTTACAGTGAGCCGAGATTGCACCACTGCACTCCAGCCTGGGCGACAGAGTGAGACTCTTAACTTTTTTTTTTTTTTTTTTTTTTTGAGAGAGTCTCGCTCTGTTGCGCAGGCTGGAGTGTAGTGGCACGATATCGGCTCACTGAAAGCTCCGCCTCCTGGGTTCACACCATTCTCCTGCCTCAGCCTCCGGAGTAGCTGGGACTACAGGCACCCGCCACCACACCTGGCTAATTTTTTGTATTTTTAGTAGAGACGGGGTTTCACTGTGTTAGCCAGGTTGGTCTTGATCTCCTGACCACGTGTTCTGCCCGCCTTGGCCTCCCAAAGTGCTGGGATTACAGGCGTGAGCCACTGTGCCTGGCCAAAAAGAGTTTTTATCAGCCAAAATGTTTTTGATTTTCATTTTTCGTTTTCTTTATATGAAATAGGTTTATATGGATAGCTTTATATGAAACTTGCCTCCTATCTTCTGTATTTTTTGAAATACCTTAAATTATCCTTGGTTAATGTGATATTCCACATGGAAGAGATCAGAGGTTTCAGTTGTTTCTAGGACTCTTACTTTCTTAGTTCTTAAGTTCTTTTCTTAGTTATTGATATTTATATATCAAGAAAATCACCCTTTATTAAAAAAATGTGCTGCAAATACTCTAGTTTATGTGGTTTTTTTCTTTATAGTGTTCTATTTCTATGTGGCATTTAACATTTTTTGTATTTACATTTCTCACGCTTATTTTGTTCTTTCTAATTATTTACGAACATTTTCCCCAGTCTGAGATTGAAATATGTATATATGTATGTATATATGTTTGTATTCCTACCTCCCATGGCCTCTTCTAGATCTTTGAATCATTTTGTGTTTATTTTTTAAATCTTAGAGCTGTTTGGTGTTTATTTTGAAGTAGGACATGAGACAGGCTCCAATATGCATATGTAATCAGTCTGTTAATTTTGTGTAGATCAATATCTAGTGGAACTTTCTTCGTTTTCATCACTTTGTGTTTCAGAGTACATTCAGGTGCTTCGTATAATCTGTCAGTTTTTTCTCCTGAGTTTTCTCTGGGGGCCTCTGACCAGCTTCCTTACAGATAGGCTGCCCTCTGTCTGGTGAAGGCTGTCACCTTGGAATCATCCTGAGATTCCCTTTGCCGCTTTCCTTTGTTCAATGTTCTCATCTTCCTTTTTTTACTTCTTCATGGTGAGTGTTGAGGGTATTCAGTGGAGTTGATGGTATGATACATGATTTTGGGAAGATAATGAAAAGCCAGACCATGAAGAACCTCATATGCCATAATTAGTTTTAACCTCTTTTTAATGGTTGTGTAACTATTGAGAATATTTTATAGGTGAGTTATATTTGCTCTTACAGAGGATCCACTGTGGCTAAAATTTGTAGAATAGATGGAATAAAGGAAAATTAGATAAAGCCGATTGTAGTAATTCAGGAAAGATATAATGGTGCATAGAAATAATACAGCCATAGTGGGGGTGTCATTTTCACAGAGCTTGGGGTTAATTGGGCGTGGGAGAAAGGAAAGAAGGGTCAAGGATGGTACTCAGACTTCTGAGTTTGGCTAGTACTCATGTTTAGAGTAGTCACTGAGTTTAATTTTGGACATACAGTGTGAATGATTGCAATAGATCCTTTGTCCACATTCACCAAATGTTAACAGTTTGCTATGTTTACTTTATAATTTGTCTCTCTCTCTGTCTTTATCTCTTTCACTTTGTGTGCATGTGTGTGTGCGTGTATCTGTGTTTTCTGACCCATTTGAGAAGTTTGTGGACATGATGCTTGCTCTTCTAATTCTAATTATTTCATTGAATGTTTCCTTGAAACAAGCTGTGAATTTCAAAATCAAGAAACTAACATTGATTCAGTATTGTTAGCTAATCTACAGACCTTATTCAGATTTTGCCAGTTCTCCCGATAGTGTTCTTTATGGGAACAAAACTTCCAGATCTTGAATTGCAGTCAGTTATCATGTCTTTTTAATCTCTTATAATCTGGAAGAGCTTTTCAGTCTATGATTGCTGGAAATTTGAATGGCTTTGGAATTATGTGTGTATATGTTGGGGGTGGTGTTGATATGGGGAACAGACTTGTGATGGTGGTCCTTAGACCACAGAGTATAAATTAGAATCAGGAATGGACTCTGGGGAGATGGATTTTCTACTGTCTAGTTGCTGGAAAGGTAGAAAACAGATCTTCTACTCAAGGATGACTGCCTTGATTTGTTTTTTTTACCTGAGATAAATAATTTGGCTTTGATAATTTGGTTCAGGAAGTAGGTGAGACTGATGCTTAGATATGTTTTTATCCTTAAGTAGCATAGAATTTACATGGCATATACATGACTATGTAAATTCTTCCTACCTGGAAACATAGCACCAAATAGAAAAGGACTGGAGTGTGGCCAAAAAAAAATGAGCTTCTTAAATCTGTCTTGGACACACAGTGTTACTGTTAGGTGCTGGCCTCTCTTAAGCTCTCTTGGGAACTTATATATTCCTGTTCTCTGTAGCCATCTTGCTGATATTACGATTCCGTATTTCTGACTACTTACATTCGTTAACCATGTGTGTGTATGTGTGTCTGTTTTCTGTTTGCATATTTATAGAAATTATTTATAGTCTGTCTTTTAAAAGGGAAAGTAGCACTATTCCTTGTCAATACTTAGTCCTCTGTGTTGAATTATACCTTTAATTAAAGAGTGTTATAGGAGTATACGTTTCTTTGTGTCATGTATTGAGTATTGTCTTTATATCTGTTAAGCCCTCAGATGTGTAGACTAGAGGTATGATCTCTCTATATGCAGCTCTTCTCAGAGATTTATATCTACATGTAGTTGTGACTGACAGTTGTATTATTTGCTGCCACATTTCCAGTTGTGTGATTGAGTAGTTAACAGGCAGGCTTTGTCATTCAACTGGCCTGGATTTTATCCAACTCTGAATTTGGGTAAATTGCTTAATTTTTCCATATTCATTTTTCTCTTTAAAGCGGGGACAACATTGTCAACTTTTTATGACTAACTTTCAGATTTAAATGAGATAATATTAAAATTTAGTTATGGGATCTGGCACAAATTGAGAATGCGAAAACAGTAGTTATTATTTTACTTCCTGCCATCTGCTTGATTATTATAGTCTGTTCACTCTGAGAATTGAGACTGCCCTATTTTTTTATGTTCTCTCAAAAAATTGTTTAAATGTCTTCTACAGGGTTTTGTCTCCACAATTATCCGTTTACTTGACAGCCCCTCAACATGCATTAGAGCAAAAGCCTTCCTGGTTCTTCTATATATTTTGATTTATAACCGTGAGATGTTGCTGCTCAGTTGCCAAGCAAGGTAAGATTTTCTCTGATGGTTTCATCAGTAACTTCAATTTAGTGCCTGTTGTATTAGTAGTTGTAGGGTATTTCTTGGCCTCTGTGTATCTGGTATTTTTTTTTAAGAGTTTTTCCAGGGGCTTAATATTTCACCTGTAATCTCAGCTTGGAAGTACTGAGGACCCAGAGAAGACCTCTGAAACTATAGCAGAGTGAGAAATCCCTGGTGTGCCCTTGATATGGTTTGTCTCTCTGTCCCCACCCAAATCTCACCTTGAATTATAATCCCTGTAATCCCCACGTGTCAAGGGTGGGACCAAGTGGGAGTAATTGGATCATGGGAGTGGTTTCCCCCATTCTGTTCTTGTGATAATGAGTGAGTCTCACCACATCTGATGGTTTTTTAAGTGTCTGGCATTTCCCATGCTGGCACTCACTCCATCCTCCTGGCTGTGAAGAAGGAGTCTGTTTTTCCTTTACCCTCTGCCATTGTTGTAAGTTTCCTGAGGCCTCCCCAGCAGTGTGAATTAATTAACCTTTTTCCTTTATAAATTACCCAATCTCAGATATTTCTTCACAGCAGTGTGAGAATGGGCTAACACAGCCCTAGATCTGAGAACAATCCAAAGCAGGGTGTTGAGATGTTTCTTGTTTGTACCTTTGGGAGTCAATATTAGACCAGTGGCTTGGTTGTAATTTTCCTTATTGTAAGATTCTGGAATAAGTAGCTGAAGGCTCAGAAGGAGGAGCAGGGCAGGGGGTGAGAGTTTATGGACTGGTCCTAGGAAGGACAGGTCTTTCTCCCGGCTTGTAACTCTTTGCTCTAAAAGGAGGAGCTGTTCTAGATGCTCCTCAAGTTTGCTTCGTGTTCTGATGCTTTCTGATTAACACCTTCTGAACCATCTGATCCGTGCTGTATTGAAGCCCAGAGGAGACCTGACAGTTTGGTTTAATGTCTGTTTCTAGATCCAGGGTTTTACTTGTTCTAGAATACTGAGCAGAGCCTGGTATTGCTGAGATTGATCTAGATTAGGGGTTGACAATTTTTTTTTTCCTGGTAACAGTGAGAGAGTAGGCTTTGTAGATCAAGAGGCAAAATTGGGGCGATTACATACCTACCTATATAACAAACAAGACAACAAATTTCTGTGTGTATTTTTGGAGACAGGGTCTTACTCTGTTGCCCAGGCTGGAGTGCAGTGGTGTAATCATGGCTCACTGGAGCCTCGATCCCCACACCAGGCCCAAGCGATCCTCTCATTTCAGCTTCTGGAGTAGCTGGGACTACAGGTGCATGCCATCATGCCCAGATACTTTTTAAAATGTTTTGATAGAGACAGGGTCTCACTGTGTTGTCCAGGCTGGTCTTGAACTGCTGGGCTTGAGTGATTCTCTTGCCTCAGCTTCCCAAAGTGCTAGGATTACAGGCATGAGCCACCATACCCAGCCCACATGTTTTTTATTGACATAAAAATATACCAATATTAACTGAATGAAATTTTTCTTTTGTAATACAGGTCTGTTAGGGAGAAGAGAATTCTTTTTTCGGGGAAGGGGGAGATAACATTTTGCTCAATTGGGGATCAAAGTTAGTGTCCTTATCATTAAATCAGTTGCAAATGTTTTTCTCTTAGTGCTGATTTTTAATGTGATTTAATGTGTTTTGTCTTTGAAAATGTCTTCACACAGATAGATACTGCCAAATAACAAAATCAACTCATGAACATATGATTTTCATTGAGCAGATTTGTCACTGGGAAGGCATTTGTATAATTCTGTTAGATTCTTCTCTTGATTTTTGTGTTTCAGGATGTCATTACATTGTAGATCAGTCACTTCCAATTGAGGGGTGTGGAATTTCCTAACAAACCTCCTTGTTTCTCATCTTTTAGGGATCACTGGTTTTCCTTGTCCAATGTCTTGAAGTGTGATGTTTCATGTATTTTGGCTATTTTTTGGTTGTTTTAGATGGGAGGGTGAATCCTGTTTCTGTTAGTCCATTATGGCCAGAAGTGGAAGTTGCTCGTGTCTATTTATTTTTAATGGCCTCACTGCTGGCTTTGCTACCTCTGATTTGTCTTTGCGTTTACCATCATTTTTCACTGGAACAACTAATATAGCTTCTCAACAGTTCTACCATATAGAGTTAGGGCAAGAAAAGAGAAAAACAAAAAAGGGACAAAATAAAACAATAAAAGAGAAAGAACAAGTAAGAAACTTTCTCAATGGATGCTGTTAGATCATTTCTTGTACTCACAGTCTGGTTTCTATATAGGAGCTAGAGTACCTACACACTGCAAATCAGCTTTTGTTTCTTCCCTGCTTGGACTCCTCCAGTAACACCCAGTCACTCTGAAATAATACCCCTGTTCCTCACCATGTCCTACCTGTCCTGCCTTGTCTAGTTCTTGCCCTTGTGTTAGCCCTTGTCTTCTTTGGGCACACTCCATTTGAGCCCCATGGTTTGTCTGTTGCATTTTGAATACACTAAGCCTATGCACTCACCTCAGGGCTCTTCTTGGTTGCTGTTTCCTGTGCCTATGATCTCTTCCTTCAGATGCTTGCATGACTGGCTTCCTCAGATCATTCAAGTCTCTGTCCAAGGTTTACTTCTTCTGAGAGCCACTCTGATGATGCTATCTAAAATACTTCCTGTAACCTCAGCTTCAGAAGCTCTTTAACTGGAAGGAACTAAACCACTTACACCTTCAGAGATTGGGTATGACACATGTGGTCCTTCCTCCCTGGGAATTGCTGTGACTTATCTCTGAATAAATGTTTAGAAGCTGAAGCAGTGGTGGGAACATAGTGGTCTGAAGGCATGCCCCTGACACTGACCTCCACTCTTCTCAGTCTCTGGAGCAACACAACAAACAGGATGAGTGTAGAGAGAGGGTCTGGAAAGTGACCTTAGGCTTGCAGGGGAGGTAAGGTAGGCTCCATTTTTCCTGCACTGTGTGGCAGAGATGGTGCTCCTGTCTTTGGCCTCCTAAGCTCAGCATGAATAGTAGAACTTGGAGCTTCTGCAGGGTCTAAAATGCAGATGCTTTCTACATATGGTGGTTTGGGCTTGCAGTCTTATTCCCACAAGATCTTGAGCAGAACGGAAATGGTGGGCCAATCTGTCCCTGTCTGTAAGGTTCTAGAAAGACTACACCACCTTCCTGCCCTTGAAGAGAACAGCTCCCTCTTAATACCTGCTTCTTTGCCACACCCATCCTGATTGGGTACTGAGTAGGTTAAGAAGTCAATAGGCAGAGATTTGTCCCAGCCCATTTAGGGAAACATGGTACTTGAAAGAGAAAGAACGGGAAGAGCAGGCTGACCCGCCCACCCTCCCTCCTTCCCTCCCTCCTTCCCACCCTCCTTCCCTCCCTTCCTCTCTCTCTCTCTTTCTCTCTCTCTCTTTTTTTTTTTTGAGGTGGAGTCTCACTTAATCTCAGCTCACTGCAATCTCCGCCTCCCGGGTTCAAGCAATTCTCCTGCTTCAGCCTCCTGAGTAGCTGGGACTACAGGCGCCCGCCACCACATCCAGCTAATTTTTGTATTTTTAGTAGAGACAGGGTTTCACTATGTTGGTCAGGCTGAACTCCCGACCTCAAATAATCCACCCGCCTTGACCTCCCAAAGTGCTGGGATTACAGATGTGAGCCACCACACCCGGCCAGACCAGGCATTTCTTATGGAGGCAGAACTAATGGAAGAGACAAAGAAGGAATTTTAACAAATATTGAAAACTCTACGGAGAAGGCAGTGTTTTTTTTGTTTTGGAAAGTCTAGAACTGGAAGACAATGGCCTCTGCTAGGGATAGCATTGGTGCTTTGAAACGCAATATTAAAGGGTACATTAAACCATTCAGAGCAGGTGGCAAAGACATGGAAACTTGAGAGGAAACAGTAAGAAATATGGAGTGGAGGTCCAGGAGATCTCACATGCCAAGTGCCAAGAACATTAGGAGGAGTAAAGAACAGATGGAGGAGGATTTCCAATTGAGGAAATCATAGCAGTAATCTTCTGGTTGAATGTGTTCTCTTCTGATACTGTACTCAAATGAGAATAAAAGAATTAAAAGGCACAAAACCACAAGGGCAGAAGCAAAGGGAAAGATGGCTAAAGCAGATGAATGTTGTTACCTTGTCTTTGTATTTTGGAAGTTGAAAATTACCAGACTCCATCATTAAAGGCAGTGCCCGTTTATTAAACTGACAGTTTCCATGGGTCAGGAGTCTGGGCTTCGTATAACTGGATCCTCTGCTCACATCTCACATACTTGATGTCAAGGTGTTGGCTGGTGCTGAGATTCTCAGTTGAGGCTCGGAGTCCTCTTCCAAGCTCGCTGGTTCTTGGCAGAATTCATGTTCTTGCAGTCTTTGGACTGACATCCTCACTTTCTTGCTGGTATTTGGCTGGGGTTCATGCTCAGCTTCAGGAATCTGTCCTTCTTCATTGACAGTTTACTGCATACCTGTTTACTTTCTCTTGGTGGCCAGCAAGATTGCTTCTCATGCCTTGAGAAGCAGGCACTCATTCCCCTCATGCTTCAGACATCTTTGACTTCCCTCCTCTGCCATCAGTCAGAGAAAATGAGTTTTAAATGTCTCACTTGATTAGCTTAGGCTCACTCAGATTATCTATGTGTCTTAAGATTAATGGAATTGGGACTTTAATTATGTCTTCAAACTCACTTCCCAATACAGATGCTCCTTGATTTCCAATGGGGTTACATTTCAATAAACCCATCATAAGTTGAAAATATCATGTCAAAAATGCATTTAATACATCTAACCTACTGAACATCATAGCTTAGCCCGTCCTACCTTAAATGTGCTCAGAACACTTACATTAGCCTATAGTTGGGCAAAATCATCTAACGCAAAGCCTATTTTTTATTTTTTTGAAATGGAGTCTCGCTTAGTCATGCAGGCTGTAGTGCAGTGGTGTGATCTCGGCTCACTGCAGCCTCTGCCTCCCAGATTCAAGTGATTCTCCTGCCTCAGCCTCCTGAGTAGCTGGGATTACAGGTGCATGCCGCCATGCCTGACTAATTTTTGTATTTTTAGTAGGGACGGGGTTTCACCACGTTGACCAGACTGGTCTCGAACTGCTGACCTGAAGTGATCCACCTGCCTTGGCCTCCCAAAGTGCTGGGATTACAGGTGTGAGCCACCGCTCCCTGCCCACAAAGCCTGTTTTATAATAAAGTGTGGAATATCTCATGTAATTTATTGAATACCACCCTGAAAGTGAAAAGCAGAATGGTTATATGAGTATTCCATGTATGGTTTCTACTGAATATTGTTTTTGCACCATTGCAAACTAACATATCATAAAATCGCAAGTTGAATCATTGTAAGTTGGGGACCAGCTGAAGTATCTAGATTAGTGTTTGAATAGCCGGGATGGTGGGGCTTTGGGGGCAGGGGGATCTTTAGCATTCTGCCAACCACCACCATCCCCAGAATGGAGGGCTACGCAGTTGTGGAAAGGCACAAGGAAGATGTCTGTACACAGCCATGGAATCATCTACAAGATATTATTATCCTGATAAAAGTCAGATTTAGAACAGTATTCATAGCATACTATTAATACCTTTTTGTCTAAGAAAGGGGGTGAAAACAGAGAGGATATGTGCCTTTACTAATATTTTACAAAAGACAGAATGGAAAGTTAAATAAATTACAAGAGTGATAATTTACAGGATTAGGAAGAGAATAAGGAAGGTGCAGGGGCAGGAGTGAGCTATGCTTGTCTGAATGTACCTGCTTTATGGTCTAGACTTAAGAACCATGTAAATGTTTTATATAATGTTAAAAATAGAAATAAAAATGAAGTGGTCTTTAAAAGTTGAAAACAATCTGTGTATCAAGTTTGTGGTATGATTCCCCAGGGAAGAGATATTTAAAGTGAGTGCTTTTAAAGCACAGTATTATGGCAGAATATTTCTTTCATAATGTATTTTACTGACCAAAATCCCATTAAGAAACCTTAAACTGCATTTGGTGTTCTTCTTGTCAGTGTTAATATATGTATTGCCATTTGAAACTATTATATATATATATATGGTATGTGCGTGTCTGTGTGTGTGTATATATATAATATATATCGTGTGTGTATATATATATGATCTCTATATATGGTGTGTGTGTGTATATATATATGTGGCCTCTCTCTCTATATATGGTATATATACGTCTCTATGGTGTGTGTATGTGTGTGTGTATATATATATATATAGTCTCTATATATGGTAAGGTAAAACTAACAATTATGCTAATTCCAGTAATAACCAATATTATCAGTGTAAAATAAAATGTACAATTATAAAAATATAAGTAAAATTCTCTCATCCTTAATTTGACTCAAAAATGTTAGGATAAACTTATTTATTTTTCTATCTTTTTAAAGAAAGTATGTATTTCATAGTTGTGTCTACTTGTGTTAGTTTGCTCAGGCTGTCATAACAGAGTATGACAGATTGGGCAACTTAAACAACATAAATTTATTTTCTCACAGTTTCATCGGCTACAGATCCAAGATCAAGGTGTCGACAGGTTTGGTTTCTGGTGAGGTCTTTCTTCTTGGCTTACATAGAGGGCTGCCTTCTTCCTGTGTCCTCGCATGGCCTTTCCTTTGTGTGTGTGCACTCATGGTGTCTTTTCCTCTTTAAGGACACCATTGCTGCTGGATTAGGTGCCCCCCCACATGGTGTCATTTAGCCTTAATTACCCCCTTAAATCTCCAAATACAGCCTTATCTCCAAACACACACCTATCTTCAAATATAGTCACATTGAGGGTTAGGGCTTCAACATATGAATTTTGGGGGGAACAGAATTCAGTTTATAACACTAAGAAGCTAGTATTCAAGTTTTAATTCCTAACTACCATTTTCTACTCAAATCGTGGTCTCTTGTATAAATAGGTTCCAAGTCTCTGGCACAGCTTTGCATTTAGGCCAGAAATGAACAAATTGAGGCTGGGACATGTCATTCCTGAAAGCGAGGAAGTTATCAGAGACTTCTAAGGTCATGTTAAAAAGAATGCAGGAGCCAATGTGAAGGAGCTTCCACTGGCCAAAGATGGAATTTCGAGAGTTCTTTATATATTTTAGACACGAGTCCACTGTCAGATATACGGTTTGCAAATTTTTTCTCTCCATGTGTAGCTTGTCATCTTATCTTAACAGGATATTTTACAGAACCAAAGTGTTGAATTTTAATGGGTTCACTTTATCATTTTTTCCTTTAATGGTGTGTATTTTTGATGTCAAGACTAAGAACTCTGTCTAGATCCCAAAGATTTTCTCCCATGTTTTAAAAAATATTGTTTATGGTTATACGCTTTACATTTAAGTTTGTGATCCATTTTGAGTTAATTTTACGCATAAAGTATAAAGTTTAGTTAGAGGTTTTCTTTTGGTTTTGGTTTTTGCCTGTGGATATTTAATTGCTCTGGTGTTATTTGTTGAAAAGTCTATCTTTCCTGCATTCAGTTGCTTTTGTACCTTGTCAAAAATCATTTGGGCATATTTGTGTTGGGGTTGCTTCTGGGTTCTCTAAACTTTTCAATTTATCTGTGTGTCTGTCCCTTTATCAATACAACATTGTCTTGATTACTGTAATTAAGATTACTTGACCATAATAAGGCTTAATATTGGGCAGAGTGATTCCTCTCTTTTTATTCTTTTTTGTCAAGATTGTTTTAGCTGTTCTGGGACCTATATGCTTTTCCATATAAGCTTTGGAATGAGCTTGTTTATATTTGCCAAAACCTTGCTGGGCTTGCATTAAACTAATACATCAATACAGGGATAGTTGATATATTTACTCTATGGTCTGCTGATCCTTGAATGTGGTGTCTCTCTCTATTTATTTAGTTTTTTTTTTTTAACCTTGTTTCATTAGCATTCTATAATTTCAGCATGTTTTGTTAGGTATATACCCAGTATTTCTTTTTGGAGGGAAGCAATTGTAAATGGTATTGCATCATTAATTTCAATTTCCACATTTAATTGATGTGATTTTTGTGTTTTTTGATTTTATCTTCTACAGCGTTACTAAACTCATTTATCAGTTGTAGGTGGTTTTTTTTTTTTTTTTTTTTTTTTGTGGGTTCCAGGAGATTTTCTATATAGCCAATCATGTCATCTGTAAATGTGGACAGTTTTATTTTTCTTCTCTCTTGTTTGTGTGCCCTTTATTTTTATTGCCTTATTTTAGTATTTAGAATTTCCAGTACTATGTTGAATAAGAGTGGTGAGAACAGATGTTCTTGCTTTGTTTCTGGCCTTGTAGGGAAAGCATTTTTAGGCCTCCACTGTTAAGTATGGTGTTAACTCTAGATTTTTTGTAGATATTCTTTATCAGTGGAGGAAGGTCAATCTCATTCTTATTCTTTATCTCCAATTTTCTTAGAGTTTTTTTTTTCTCTCATCATGAATGAGTGTTGGATTTTGTCAAATGCTTTTTCTCTATCAATTAATATAACAATATGATTTTTTTAGCTGTTGCTATATTACATTGTTTTTCAAATTCTACAGCAATTGCATACCTAGAGTAATCTCACGTGGTCACAGTGTGTTAATTCTTTTATATTTTGCTGAATTTGATTTGCTAATATTTTGTTGAGGATTTTTTCCCTTAAGTTCATGAGAGATACTGGGTTATAGTTTGCTTGCTTGCTTTCTCCCTCCTTCCCTTCTTTCCTCTTAGTATTAATATAATACTAGCCTCATAAAATGAATTGTGATGTATGCCCTCTGTTTCTGTTTTCTGGAAGAGACTGTATGAAATGTGTTAATTTTTCTTTAAAATTTTTGTAGAATTCTCTAGTGAATCCATTGGGGCCTGCAGATTTATCTTCGGGAACTTTTAAATTACAAATTCAATTTCTTTAAGTTGCAAGGCCATGCATATTTTAAAATTTTACTAGGTCAAGTTTTGGTAGTTTATGGTTTTTGAGGAATGGTCAATTTTTTAAAAATTATTGTGTTATTAAATTTTTTTTCTAGTATTCCATTTTATCTTTTTACTACTGAAGTATTTGTAGTGATATCCCTTTTCATTCCTGATATAGATGATGTGTACCTCTTCTGTTTTTATTTTTACCAGTTTTGCTAGAGATTGAGTGACCAGCTTTTTGTTTTCTCTATCATTTTTCTGTTTTCAGTCCATTCCCTGATTTTTATATTTTCCTTCTGCTTGCTTTGTTTTGCTCTTTTTCTACTTTCTGAAAGCAGAAACAGATTATTGATTTGAAACCTTTTCTTTTTGTAAAAGGTCTCATGTAGCATTATTTCTATAACTCTGTCTCTCAGATGCTTTTGTAGCATTTGCATAGATTTGGATTTTTTAAAAAAACATTATGTAGTTTAATGTATCTTTTTAATTTCCTTTGAAACTTCCTCATTGATCCATGTATTATTTAGGGATGTCTTATTTAATTTCCACATATTTAGAGATTTTTCTGTTGTCATTATGTTATTGATATATAGTTTGATTTTATTATGGTCAGAGAACACACTTGCTGTGATTTCAGTTCTTTTAAATTTGTTGAGGTTTGTCTTGTAGTTTAGTGTATAGTCTATTTTGGTGAATGGTACAGGGCGCTTGAAAAGCATGTACATTCTGCTGCTTGTTGGGGATGTTCTTTATATGTCAATTAGATTTTGTTGTTTCATTGCGTTGTTTAGATATTCTCTATTCTTACTGTTTTTCTTTCTAATATTTCTATCAATTTCTGAAAGTAGGGTGTTGGAGTCTGCAGTTATAATTGTGGCTTTATCTGTTTCTCTTTTCACCTCTAACAATTTTTGCTTTCTAACAAATTTTGCTCTGTATTTGGAGGCCTCATTGTTTGCTGCATACTTACTTAGGGTATTATGTTTTCTTATGTACAGATGCTTTTATCATAATGTAAGTCCATCTTTGTCTCTAATAATTTTCTCTGAAGTTTACTTCATTTGATATTGATACAGTCACTCCTGCCTTTATTTTAAATTAATGTTTGCATTTTATACCTGCTTTCATTTTTTTACTTTAAACTTATCTATATCATTGCATATAAGGCAAGTTTCTTACAGGCAGCACATTGTTGGGTCATAATTTTGTATCACCTCTGCCATTTCTGCCTTTTAATTGGTATGTTTGGACCATTTACATTTAAGATGATTACTGATATGTCAAGGTTTAAGTCTGACATTTTATTCCTTATTTTGTTTCTCTTTACTTACCTTTCTTTGGGTTATCTGAACATTTGGGATTCTTTTATTTATTTATAGCACTGTTGAGTATATCACCTTGCATAGTTTCCTTAGTGGTTGCTCTAGTTGTTGCAATATACATACATAACTTATAATAGCCTCTTAGTCATAATATGTTATCACTGTGAATGAAGAGTAAACACCTAGTTTACTTTTATTTTCCCTACTTTCTTTTTATTTTCCCTACTTTCCCTTTACTATCCCTACTTTTAAAATATAATTGTCTTGTCCAGGCACGGTGCCTGGCCAACATGATGAAACCCCTTCTCTACTAAAAATACAAAGATTAGCCGTGCATGGTTGTGTGCGCCTGTATTCCCAGCTACTTGGGAGGCTGATGCAGGAGAATTGCTTGAACCTGTGAGGTGGAGGTTGCAGGGAGCCAAGATTGTGCCACTGCACTCCAGCCTGGGCAACAGAGCAAGGCTCCCTCTCAAAAAAGAAAAAAAATTGTCTTAAGGATGTTCTCTCTGCATGCATTGAGCAGTTTATCAGATGGTGTTATATTTTTTGCTTTTAATCATCAAATATGATTTAAGAAATTTATTAGAAGTAAATTAGACTGTTGCATCTACCTCTAACTTACTCATTCTGATGTTCTTCTTTTTTTATATTCTTAACCTTCTATTATCACTTCTTTAGGATTAGAGAACTTTCTTTAGACATTTTTTTAAGGGTATGTTTGCTGTTGGAAAAAAAGGTTACTTTTTCTTTGAGAAATCTTATTCCTCCTTTATTCCTGAAGATTACTGCATTTAGAACTTGTAGTTGACAGTTTTTTTTTTCCTTTTTAGTCTTTAAAATTTTTCTACTTTCTTCTGTCCCCTATGGTTTCATATCATGGTTCAAATCTGTTATTTCTGTTAGTATTCCTTTATAAGTAATGTGTTATTTCTCTATTTTGAAGATACTCTCTTTGCTTTTAGGAGTTAGAAGTTTAATTGTGATATATCTTTGGTGTGGGTTATTTGGTTTAATCCTATTTGGAGTTTGATCAGCTTCTTGAATATATAGATTTATGTCTTCTGCTGAATTTGGATATTTTTTGGGCATGATTTCTTTGAATACTTGTTCAGTCCCATTTTCTCTCTCTTCCCCTCTTTGGGACTTTGATGATATGAATGTAAGTTATTTTGTTATTCTCCTACTGATCCCTGAGACTCTATTTTTTTTCTTTTGTCTATTTTTTCTCTGTTTTTCAGATTTCATAAGTTTAATTTATTTGTAGTCATGTCCACTGGTTCTGCTCTCTGTCATCTACACTCTACTATTGAGCTTATCCAGTGAGGTTTTTATTTCGGTTATTGTATTTTTTCAGTTCTATATTGTACATTGGTTCTTTTTTATAACCTTTCTCCTTATCTGAGATTTTAAACAATTTCATTAGTTTTAAGAGAATTTGTAATGCTTTTTGAAACATTTTTATGATAGCTGCTTTGAAATCTTTGTTAGATCATTCTCACATCTGATTCATACTAGTGTAGTATGTGTTGATGGTCTTTTTTGATTCATGCGATTTTCTTGGTTCTCGTTTTGATGAGTGATTTTAGAATACGTCCTGGACATTTTGCCTAGGTCTTGAGTCCTCATCTTGCTCTGTGTCATTAAGTCTTAATGTTGCTGAGTGGAGGTTTTATTGCTGGTTGCTGGACCTCACTGACACTAATTTTGTAGGGGAATCAGATTACTGCCTGCTTCTGCTGGTTGGGAATGGAAGATAGCTCTCCACTCAGACACCTTAATACTGTCACAGCAGGGAAATTAAAGAATGGCCTGTTTCTATTGGGCAGGGAATGGAGGATCAGCCCTCTGCTGGGTCTTATAGACACTACCCCTCCAGGGGAATTGGGTAACTGTTACTGCTTCCACTTTGCAGGGGATGGAATATTAGCTCCCTATTCTGCTTTGCCTGTACTTCTCAGTTGAGGAATTGAAGTGGGCCACCTGTTTCCCTGGGGGTGGGTTAAGGTAGAAGATAAAATTCCCATGGTCCCACTAAAACTGGAGGACTGGGAAGGGAAGGGTTGTATGTGATTTTCTGTTGGTGTGTTGTCAGAGCAGGGCAGGTATTGCTAGAAAGAATTTCTGTTGTTAGGCCATCTTTTTTCACTGATCCTTTGGCCAGGGAAAATAGGCTTTTCTTAGCACTTTTTTGGGGGGACAGTTCTGGGTTGGAGGCTTGTCTAGCACCCTCTTGGAATACATGAGAGGCGATAAAGAAGGGAAGGAGACTTACTGCTATGTTGTTCCTCAGGTCCTTCATTCTGTAGCCAGTCCACCTTTTTTCCACCTTTCAGAGTCTTCCTGTGTTTGTTTTGATCCTACTCCATCTTGGCAGAACTAGAAATCCAAAGTCACTTATAGAGTTGGTGGGATAGTACTTAGCAGAGCTACTTTTCACAGTGACTTTTAAATACTGCTTGAGGAAATGTGAGTTGCTGCAACCTTTTAAAAGGTGATTTAAGTGATTGGAAACATCTATGACTATTAACAATACACATTGCTTTGATTTTAACAGGCATGCATCTGATTTAGCCACTAGAAATAAAAGTGTGAATTGTTCAGGATATATGCTTTAGGTTATTTAATGCAGCATTATTTCTAAGTGGTGAATAAATGGAAATATAGTTAATATCCATTGGTATTGAAATGCTTCAATAAATAATGATATAGCTGTGATATAAATGATTCATTTGATTAACCTGGAAGGATATTCATTGTATATAGATAAGTGAAAAAAGGCAAGAGCAGAGTTATATATTAATTATGAAGTTATGTTTGTAAAGTAAAAGTGGCAAAACTTCTATTTGCATGTATTTGTATACAATTTCGTTAAAAAATGCATATGGAAGAATAATACCAAATTGGTTATCTGAGGAGGATGTGATGGTGAGATTATTTATCTTTACTCATTTGTATTTTTAGGCTGTTGTAATAAGCATGTTTCACTCCTATAATTAAATATATATGTATATATAAAATGAAGAAAAACAAACTAAAGGAAATGTTAGCAATGGGTACTAGTTGGTTAAGAAGGGATTAAGGGGATCCTTGAGGCAGTGAAAGTTCACATCTTTTTAGACTTTTAGATTAAATTTAGTAATATAAATTATTGTCAGAAACGAATAGGCAGCCAGTGCAGACTATGGAAAATAGTTAGTAGCTGTTCCTTTGTGCTTTGCAGCCCAGGTATTGTATTCATGTGCATATAAAATGCAAGGTTGAATATAAAGGTATGCAAAAGAGAGCCAGCCTTCAGGCTAGAGAGATGTTAAAATTCTCTGTGATGAGTTTATACAGAAAATTGTTCTTCCTTCCTTACTTGTCCCTTGAAACTGCACTAGCAACTGGAGTCCTGAACAAATCACAGTGCTGCCCATCTGCCTGAGAATGGAAGCCTCATATCGGTAGCCCAGGATGACCTTTGCTCCATTATGCAAATATGTTTTTCTGCATACCATCATCACCATTGGCCTTTTATGGATTACATTTTACATTTCAGCACATTTTCTGTGATGTCAGCTCTGAAATCTGTCTAGCATGAGACAGGTGGTGAAATTGAGCTGTCAAGATCAGATAAAAATGATATGATGGCTCACAAATGTCCACCTATTTCTCCAAATGGCTTCATACTCATATTACTATGACAGGCGATAAAATAAGGCCTATGCATCTCTCAACATGATAATCCTTTTAGAGGATGAATGGTCTTGTAAGCTGATTGTATAGGTTTGCCGTGAGCTGAAATGTCAGTGGCTCCTGATGGATCAGATTTTCCTAGAGTTTTTTTTCCTTCCCCATAGTATTGTTAATAATGTGGTAATCAGTGAAATAAAAAAAAATCTGCTTTGATTTTAAAAGAAATATTATTTAAAATAAATATTTACTCTGGATAATTGGTTAACTGTGTGGGGAAAAATTATTTTCTCTGCTTACACCGTACAAAAGCCAGTTCCAGATGGATTGAAGAATTATATACCAAAAAGAAACCATAAACAGCTGGAAGAAAATATGTTTAAATATGGGCAAAGAAAGCTTTTCTGAGAAGAAGAGCAATGAAATAAACCATAAAAGGAAATACTGATAGTTTGGCTACATATAAATTAGAAAATTTTATATCTTCCAAAAATCATAAATAAAATTTGTATGCTAACAAAAGCTGTAAAATTTTGCATCATATATAATAGTTAATTTGTGTATTATAGAGAGATTCATAATGATATGAATAGATATTCAGCATCATTAGTAATCAGTGAAATGCAGATTAATATGTTATGAGGAACATTCCTTTTGCTGAGCCCTTGCAGAGCCTTCATCTTTGCCACTTTGCTCCCTGGTACACAGGCCCATTGAGCAAGCCCTGGGTGGCTGGAGAAGGAGTCTTTGTTGACATTTGGAGAAACATGTCATCTTGTCCTCTTGATTATTGAAAGCCTCCTCTGAAGTGGATGCCTGTTAGTGAACATGCATGTGCTCATTCTGAGAAGCCTACCCATGTACTTTCTCAGAACTTCTTGTCACCAGTTTTCAAATTCCTCAGTTTTCTGAGTTCCTGACCATCCTACTAAGCTGTAAGCCCCAGTGCCCATGAATCAGCATATATATGAGTTGCATCTCAGTTTAAACATAGGGTGCAACACAATGTATTATTTGAAGCTCTGCTCACTGGGAGGATGTTCTTTCCAGGGACACTTCTGATTAGGCTTGTAATGCAGCAGTCCACTTTCATTTGGTGCCAGCATCTTGTACTGAACCATTCACTAACCAGATTCAGTGCTTTTCTTTGCCAATTAGCTGGTCATAAACAATTCTTAATCAGGATTAAGTGAGAGAAGGCCACACAGAGGAGTATGTGTTGAAGGAATCTAAGCCACTGTTCATGCAATTTACTGCTATATTTTTTGACATGTTGAAACTCAGTCTCTTATATTGATTGACTCATTTGATGATGGTTTACTGCTTTGCATACTTAACGTAGTGGCTTGGTGACCCAGATTAACGATAAGTAACTCATATCATGTGATCATTTGGTTTCAATCGTAATGTTTATTCTCTATCAGGAGCTGTTTATCAAAAGGAGAATAGTAATCCACATGTGAGAATGTGACTTTGCTCTTAAGCTGCACAGATGTGTATTGTGATTCACTTATTGATGCTTCCCTGGGGCTCCATTTGCTGTAGGGGTTCAAGTAGTACTAGATATGCTAGGTCATAAGGCCTGAGTGGCCCAGCAGCTTGTAGAATTGCTGCAGAGCCTTTACTTACTTCAGCTCCATTCAAAACTAATAAGTTTGTGAATTCTTCAGATAATGAGAGGCACACATTCAAAGGTGGTATGTTTTACCTCTTAATTCACAAAAACCCACCAAACATTGTGCCTCTTTTTTTGGTTACAGTCAACAGAAGGTGCAATAACTTGTTTTTGACCTGGAGGGATGTCCCAACCTGCTGTAGACCTCGGAGCTGCAGAAAACTGACTGAAGTGGTAGCCCCCTGAATTTTTCTGGAGTTTATTGCTCTCTCATGTATCTTACTAAGCCAACTAAAAAGTACTCACTGCTGATATTTCCTGAGGTCCAACCAGCTTAATGTCATCAAAATAGTGTACACATGGGATGTTTGGTGGGATGTCAAGATGTCCCAGATCTTTGCAGAGTGTTTTAGGGCCAATGGTAGCAGAGTTAGCATGGCTTTGAGGCAAGGCAGTGAACATGAACTGTTTGCCCTGATGAGCAACAGCAAACACATGCTGGTGGTTCTTCTAAATTGAAACGGAGAAAAAAAACCTTTGCCAAGTCAATAGCACCCAACATGCCAGGGCTATGATGATTTGCTCCAGTAGAAATATTACATCTTAAATTGCAGCTGCAACAGGAGTCACATATTTACATTTTGGATGATCTGCTGTCATTCTTCAAGATCCACTACAGTCATATTCTAAGATGTTGCATAGGCCAAATAGACTATTTTTAATTTTTTCCAGTATAATCTGTTCTGTTGAACAAATAGTTTAAATGGGAATGATAGATATTATCACCCCTACATATTTTAAGTTTTTGCTCTTGATACTAATTTTTATGATTTGGTTTTATGTTCATATGGCTTACTAGAGAGGGGATGTACCAGATTTTCATTTGTCTCTTCTTACCATACTAGCCTACCTCCACAGATCAGATAGCCAAAGTATGGATTCTGCTAGTTGCTAAGTGGTCTATTCGAGTTACATATTTAGGAAACGAAGAATAATTACAGAGTAGGTCTATAGATGTGCTGGGGTCACTGTAATTTGAATTTGGGCCCAAACTTATTTATCATCCGGCCATCATAAGCTGAGAGATAATAGCTTTAATTACAAACAGAGGCATTGAATTGGACGATGAGTTTGCTGAGGATTCTGGCAGGGAGATGGAGAAGAGGAAAAATTCATTCCATATTTAAAGTACAAATTGTTTCTGCATGGGGGAAAACAACAGTTATAAATTAAAGGATGTGCATTAAACAGATAAAAATGGACTTAGATAGCGTGATGCCTCCAGCTTTGTTCTTTTGGCTTAGGATTGACTTGGCAATGCGGGCTCTTTTTTGGTTCCATATGAACTTGAAAGTCGTTTTTTCCAGTTCTGTGAAGAAAGTCATTTGTGGCTTGATGGGGATGGCATTGAATCTATAAATTACCTTGGGCAGTATGGCCATTTTCATGATATTGATTCTTCCTACCCATGAGCATGGAATGTTCTTCCATTTGTTTGTATCCTCTTTAATTTCATTGAGCAGTGGTTTGTAGTTCTCCTTGAAGAGATCCTTGACATCCCTTGTAAGTTGGATTCCTAAGTATTTTATTCTCTTTGAAGCAGTTGTGAATGGGAGTTCACTCATGATTTGGCTCTCTGTTTGTCTGTTATTGGTGTATAAGAATGCTTGTGATTTTTGCACATTGATTTTGTATCCTGAGACTTTGCTGAAGTTTCTTATCAGCTTAAGCTGGAGGCATCACACTACCTGACTTCAAACTATACTACAAGGCTACAGTAACCAAAACAGCATGGTACTGGTACCAAAACAGAGATGTAGACCAATGGAACAGAACAGAGCCCTCAGAAATAATGCCACATATCTACAACTATCTGATCTTTGACAAACCTGACAAACACAAGCAATGGGGAAAGGATTCCCCATTTAATAAATGGTGCTGGGAAAACTGGCTAGCCATATGTAGAAAGCTGAAACTGGATCCCTTCCTTACACCTTAGACAAAAATTAATTCAAGATGGATTAAAGACTTAAACGTTAGACCTAAAACCATAAAAACCCTAGAAGAAAACCTAGGCAATACCATTCAGGACATAGGCATGGGCAAGGACTTCATGTCTAAAACACCAAAAGCAATGGCAACAAAAGACAAAATTGACAAATGGGATCTAATTAAACTAAAGAGCTTCTGCACAGCAAAAGAAACTACCATCAGAGTGAACAGGCAACCTACAGAATGGGAGAAAATTTTTGCAACCTACTCATCTGACAAAGGGCTAATATCCAGAATCTACAATGAACTCAAACAAGTTTACAAGGAAAAACCAAACAACCCCATCACAAAGTGGGCGAAGGATATGAACAGACACTTCTCAAAAGAAGACATTTATGCAGCCAAAACACACATGAAAAAATGCTCATCATCACTGGCCATCAGAGAAATGCAAATCAAAACCGCAGTGAGATACCATCTCACACCAGTTAGAATGGCAATCATTAAAAAGTCAGGGAACAACAGGTGCTGGAGAGGATGTGGAGAAATAGGAACACTTTTACACTGTTGGTGGGACTGTAAACTAGTTCAACCATTGTGGAAGTCAGTGTGGCGATTCCTCAGTGATCTAGAACTAGAAATACCATTTGACCCAGCCATCCCATTACTGGGTATATACCCAAAGGATTATAAATCATGCTGCTATAAAGACACATGCACACGTATGTTTATTGTGGCATTATTCACAATAGCAAAGACTTGAAACCAACCCAAATGTCCAACAATGATAGACTGGATTAAGAAAATGTGGCACATATACACCATGGAATACTATACAGCCATAAAAAATGATGAGTTCATGTCCTTTGTAGGGACATGGATGAAGCTGGAAACCATCATTCTCAGCAAACTATCGCAAGGACAAAAAACCAAACACCGCATATTCTCACTCATAGGTGGGAATTGAACAATGAGAACACATGGACACAGGAAGGGGAACATCACACTCTGGGGACTGTTGTGGGGTGGGGGGAGGGGGGAGGGATAGCATTAGGGGATATACCTAATGACCAGTTAATGGGTGCAGCACACCAACATGACATATGTATACATATGTAACAAACCTGCACATTGTGCACATGTACCCTAAAACTTAAAGTATAATAATAATAATAATAATAATAATAAAATGGACTTAGAGTGGAGTGAAGCAAGGAGAAAACTGTAGTGTTTTGACTCTCTGTAAATAGCATATACCCTCAGCAAGGAACCACTTGTGATATTGTCCAGAATGAATTCAAATGGAATGGATATCTACAATTTACATGTTATTCCAGTAATATACTGCACATGAGAATATCTGAAGTAGAAATAGGCAGTGGAGTAGCTCACTGATGGGCACATAGAGCTCGGTAGAACTCGAAGGGAATAAGGGTGACCCAGGGGAATTGGGATGATGGCATCTTTAAGGAGAAGCCTGAATTAAGTTAAAAAGCAAGGAGTGTGAATTCTTTATTTTTAAAACCTATATAACTGACTTTACACAATATAAATGGGCCATTCTGTCCATAATATACTACTGGAATCTTTTCTTCTACTCATACCATTTCCAGGCAGTCAGTTCTTCTCTCTCATGTTTCTGTTTCTCCTCTTCACCTGTACACTTGTAACTCCTAATTGCCTGCTTGTCTTCCTTTTCGCATTCATTAGCTTATCCGCTATCTGATTAATATTCCCCAAATGCCACTTTCATCAAATCATTTCTTTCCTTTAAACAATTTCCTTCCTTCAGTCTCCCTGCGATCCCTCTCTTTGTAGTTAGCATGACCTTTGTGCCAGGTTTTCTGGCACCCAATTCCTTTGTTCACAGGGTTGAGAAAACCTCATGTCGTCCCATCAGCACTAAAGCCAAAACTTGTCTTGTTCCCTTGCCATTTAAGGCTTGAGGTGCTGCCGAGGTTCTGCCTACTCACTGGTCAGCGTTTTCCTTTTTGTGTTCTTGGGCCCTCTGTCAATCCATTTAATCTGTACCATCACTGTTAAGAGGTTTTTGAAGGTTCTGACTGTGAATGGTACAATTTCCTGTTTTTAGGGCTAATGTGACTTTCCAGTGGGACTATGTGAAAAAGGGAAGTAAAATGCTTCAGTGCAACTTGGGAATTTAAACTGGAGTTTATCTTTGTAGTTTTAGGGCTCATAATAGGGGCTTAATCTACATTCCTTGCTTTCTTCCCACCTCAGTCTCTTCTTTGTTGGTTTCCACTTTTCTGTTTCATTTGCTGAGCCTTCTTTTTTTTCTCTTTCATCACTGTCCTTAGGTGATTTCATCTAATCCTGTGGCTTCAAACACTACCTATGTGCTGATATACACTTAGATGAACTTTTCTCCACTTCAGGCTTATATTATCTTAACGTATTCAATTGCATACACAAGAGGAGTTTTAAATTTAACGTATACAAATCAAATATGCTTTCTAACTCTCCCATCTCCCAGACTGGGAGTCAGAAACATTCAGTAGCACTTGATCCAGTTACTCAGTAATAGTCAAATACATTCAGTAACACTATATGCAGTTACTCAAACCCAAACTTCTGAGTAACCCATATTTTTTTCTTATTCATTCAATTAATAAACAAGTCATATTGACTCTTCCTCCAAAAAGATGGTCCCCTGCTTACCTACTTTCCGTCTAGACTGCCCCAACCAAGCCAATAGCATCTCTTATTTGCTCTGACACTGGTCTCCTAACTGATCTTCCTGCTTCTAGTTGTTCAGCTCCCCCCACCCCAGTAATATGTTTTCCACACAAAAGCTGGAACAATTTGATGAAAACATCTAGCTGGGCGCAGTGGCTCATGCCTGTAATCCTAAGCACTTTGGGAGGCCAAGGCAGGTGGATCACCTAAGGTCAGGAGTTTGAGACCAGCCTGACCAACATGGTGAAACCCCGTCTCAACTAAAAATACAAAAAAATTAGCTGGGCGTGGTGGCAGGTGCCTGTAATCACAGCTACTTGGGAGGCTGAGGCAGGGGAATTGCTTGAACCCGGGAGGTGGAGGTTACAGTGAGGTGAGATTGCGCCACTGCACTCCAGCCTGGGAGACAGGATGAGACTCTGTCTAAAAAAAAAAAAAAAAAAAAAAAAAAAATCATGTGTTTAGTTGAATTCAAGGCAATCTTGATTATATGAAAGTCTAATTTTTCAATGGAATGTCTAAAAAAGTCTTTTTGGGAGAAAACATGGTAATTATATAAACTTTTAAATGAATTTGATGAAATAGATGACTGTTTACCTCTTTTTATAAATATTTAATTTATTATTATAGTTACACATTTATTTTTAAGTATGTATATAAGATAATGTACTGGTTTGGAAGTCTGCATTCTTGCATTTTGTAAAATAAATGTATTCAACACCTCTTTTTAAACTGCTTTATTGAAGTGTCACCACAGCATGTTGAACATCAGTTCCTTGAGTTTCTCCTGCATCATCTGACACAGTATTCCAAACTAGATCATCTCCTCTTCCATTTAAATGGTTTCAGAGACAACACCTTTTCTGCTTGTGTGTGATGCAGTCACTGCAAATTTTATCTAAACCAAGAGTAGTTCTTTTGTTTTATTTTTACTTGACACATAATAATTGTACATATTTATGGGGTACACTGTGATGTTTAGGTATGTGTATACACTGTGTAATGATCAAATTAGGGTATATAGCATATCACTGCAAACGTTTATTATTTTCTTGTGGTGAGAACATTAAAAATCCTCTCTTCTGGTTATTTTGAGATGCTGAAATATATAATACAATATTGTAATAGTCACCTTACTGTGCAATAGAACACGATAACTTATTTTCCCTATCGAACTGTAATTTTGTACAAACTTTCCCTGTCCTCCCCCTCTCCCTGCCCTTAGCCTCCCCAGAATGTGGTTACCAATATTCTCTTCTCTATTTCTATTAGATCAGCTTTTTGAGATTCCACATATGAGCGAGATCATGCCTGGATTATTTCACTTAACGTAATGCCCTCCAGTTCTATTCATGTTATTGCAAATGACAAGATTTCATTCTTTTTATGGTTGAATATTATTATTGTGTATACTTACCACATTTTCTTTATTTTCTTTATCCATTCATTGATGGACACGTAGGTTGATTCCGTATCTTTGCTTATTGTGAACAGTGCTGCAGTAAACATGGGAGTGCATGTATTCCTTTGATATATTGAATTATTTTTCTTTGGATAAATACCCAATAGTGGGATTGCTTGATTATATGGTAGTTCTATTTTTAATTTTTGAGTACCCCCATACTGTTTTTCATAATGGCCATACTAATTTACCTTCCCTCTAACAGTATATAAGAACTCCCCTTTCTTCACATCTATGCCAATATTTGTCATTATTATTATTATTATTTTTGTTAATAGCCACTCTAACTGGGGTGAGGTGATACCTCATTGTGGTTTTAGTTTGCATTTCCCTGATGATTGGTGATGTTGTTGAGCATTTTTAAATATACCTGTTGGCCATTTGTATGTCTTTTGAGAAATGTCTATTCATTTGCTCATTTCTTAGCAGATTTTTTTTTCTTTTGCTATTGAGTTGAATTCTTTATATATTCTGGATATTAACCTCTTGTCAGATGCATGGATTGAGAATATTTTCTCCCATTCTGTAGCCTGTCTGTTCACCCTTGTTTCCTTTGTTGTGCAGAAGCTTTTTAGTTTGATGCAATCTCATTTGTCTGTTTTCACTTTTGTTGCCTGCGCTTTTGAGTTCTTACCCAAAAAATCATGGACCAGACTAATGAAGCAGTTTCCCTATGTATTCTTCTAGCAGTTTCCTAGTTTCAGATCTTAAATTTAAGTCTTCAGTCCATTTTGACTTGATTTTTGTATACGGTGAGAGTGAGGGGGTCTAGCTACACTCTTCTGCATGTGGATATCCAGTTTTCCCAACTTCGTTTATTGAAGAGATTGCCATCTCCCCAAGTGTGTTCTTGGTATCTTTGTTGAAAATCAGCTGGCTATAATTGTGTGGATTTACTTTTGTGTTCTCCATTGTGTGTCATTGGTCTGTGTGTCTGTTTTTATGCTAGTTCCATGCTGTTTTGGTTATCAAAACTTTGTAGTGCATTTTTAAGTCTGGTAGTCTGATGCCACCAGCTTTTGTTCTTTTTTTTTTTTTTTCCCCCAAAATTGATTTGGCTCTTTGGGGTTTTTAAAAAAAAATTTAGAATTTTTTTTCTGTTTCTGTGAAGAATGTCATTGGTAATTTGATAAGAATTGCATTTAATCTGTAGATCACTTTAGGTAGTATAGATGTCTTAACAATATCAATTTTTCTAATCCATGAACATGGAGTATCTTTCCATTTACTTGTGTCCTGTTTAATTTCTTCATCACTGTTACATAGTTTTTCTTGTAGAGGGCTTTCACCTCCTTGACTAAACATATTAAGAGAATTTTTTTTATAACTTATAAATGGTATTGCTTTCTTGATTTTTTTCAGATAGTTTGCTATTGATATATAGAAATGCTTTACTGAATTCACTTAATATTTGTAAGAGTTTTTTGGTGGAGCCTTTAGGATTTTCTATAGCTTCAAGATTATGCCATTCGCAAGCAGGAACAATTGGAGTCCCTTTTTTTTTCTTATTTTTTTTTCCAGTTTGGATGCCCTTTCTTTCTCTTGCCTACATTGAATAAAAGTGATGAAAGTGAGTATCCTTGTCTTGTTCTAAATTTAGAGGAAAAGCTTTCCATTTATTTTTTTTCCTATTCAGGTATTACATTTAGCCATGGGTTTGTCATATATGGCCATTATTGGGTTGAGGTACAAACATTCCTTCTATGCCTAATTTGTGGAGAGTTTTTATTTTGAAGGATGTTGACTTTTATCAAGTTTTTTCCCTGCATGTATTGAAATCATATGGTTTTTGTTCTTGATTTTCTTAATGTGATGGATCACATTTATTGATTTGCATATGTTGAACCATCCTTGCATCCCTGGGATGAATTACACTTGATTATGGTGAATGGTTTTTCATCAAGGATATTGGCCTGTAATTTCCTTCTCTGGTTTTCAGATTAAAGTGATACCGTAGAATGAGTTTGAAAGACTTCTTTGTCTTCAATTTTTTGGAGTACTTTGAAAAGGATTACTGTTAGTTCTTTAAATGTTTGACAGTATTCAGCAGTGAAGCCATCAGGCTCTGGGCTTTTCTTTGATGGGAGACTTTATTATCGATTCAGTCTTATTACTCATTATTGGTCTCTTCAGACTTTTTATTTCTTCATGATTCAATTTTGATAGACTGCGTGTATCCAGGCATTTGTCCATTTTTGATAGATTTTTCAACTTTTTGGTGTATAGTTGTTCATAATAGTCTTATGATTCTTTTTAGTCTGTGACATACATTGTAATATCTACTTTTTATCTCTGAGTTTATTTATTTGAATCTTCTCTTTTTTCTTAGTCTACCTAAAGGTTTGTTATATTTTCAAAGAACGAACTCTATTTTGCTGACCTTTTGTCTTTTAAAAAGTCTCCATTTCATTTATTTCTGCTCTGACTTATGTTACTTCTTTCCTTCTACTAATGTTGGGTTTAGTTTCTTGTTGTTTTTCTAGTTCCTTGAAGTATAATGTTTGGTTCTTTGAGATCTTTCTTATTTTTTGATGCGGGCATTTATTGCTATAAACTTCCCTCTTAGAAGTGCTTTTGTTGTATCCCATAGCTTTTAGTATATTGTGTTTCCATTTTTATTTGTATCAGAGAATTTTTAAATTAAAAAAATTTTTCCTTGACCCTTCTGTTGTTCAAAAGTATATTGTTTAATATCCATGTATTTGTATAGCTTCCAGAGTTTCTCCTGTTACTGATTTTTAGTTTTATTTCATTATAGTCAGAAAAGATACTTAATATAATTTTGAAAATCTGTCCTATGACATTGGTTGTGTTGGGTTTGTTGGCTTTGGTGTTGAGTAGGTGCAGTAGTGTAGACTTTGTGCCGTTGTTTCAGCTATAGTCAGTATTAACAATGCCTGTGAGTACTTCAGTGGCTTGGGCTGCAGAAGTTTGTGCAACTGTTCTGCCAGCTTGGGCTGCTTCCCTGAGGGCAGGGTGGCAGGCTGTCTCATGCACTACATCAAGGGAGTGCAGGGCTGGTTGACTGGCAGCTCAGCTGCTCCTCACCTCCGGAGTTGAAAGTAACAAGCTGTCTCTCATGCCATGCCAAGAGGGAATGGAACTTGATGAATCAGGCCTTGTTCCTTTGGGAGCAGGTTGGCAGGCCTATTTGCTCCAAGGGGCTGCAGGACTGTTGAGTATTGTGGAGCCTTTGGGGTGGGGAGATACAGTGGCTATTGGGTCCCAGGGAAGGACACGCTCTAGCAGTGGCTCCAGTGTCAAGATGGCATTATGCAGTAGCAGCTTGGGTCAGGGGGAAAATAGGACACAATGTCGGCTTCTTCTCTGGCACAGTGCAGCCACGTGAACTCCTGGTAGCTTCCTGAACTGCAATTGGCCCGTGAGGAGTGCGAGATTCTTCAGCAACGAAAACTGCAGGTTTTCATGACATTCGTGGGAGCTACTGGGGGCTCCTTGCTTTACCTTTTTCTTGTAGGGGGAATTTCCTCATGATTCCGAGTTGATCCCAATTGGGGAGACAGGGTGGCAGAGAGCAGAGTATTTGGATTCCTTCTCAATATAGTCATCCTGAGTCTTCATGTTCCATGGTGTCTCTGCCACTCCCCTGCTGTACTTCAGCGTTCTCCTTCAGATACTCTAGTCAAAATGGAGTTATTTATTCATTGTTTTGGTCTTTTTTTGTAGGAGTTGGGGTCATGAGTATCAGGCACCTTCAGTCAGCCATCTTGGTGACATCAGTGTAAAACTACAAGTTCTTATTTAACATCAGACAGTCATCATAGGCATTGTGTGTTTGTTTATAAGCCATATAGTTTGCTGTGATTATATATCAAGTGGATATACATTATATATGTGTATACATATATGTTGTGGAGATATATATATATCTTTTCATTTTTGTTTTATTTATAATAGAAATGTTTGTCTGAATAACCTAATTCACATTTACCAGAAACTAGAAGTCTACTGTTTCCTTCTTGAAGTACTTTCTTACTTGACACCCAGGGCAGTTTTTTTGGGTTTTCTTCACCCTTCAGTAGTCACTCTTCCTCAGTTTCCTCTCTCATAATCTCAGCCTTTGTAGTAGTTCCATGACTCAGTCCTTGGAGTGATCTCATTTAATCTAATGGCTTCTAGAGTTTGGATGTTTGTCCCTTAGGCCTCCAAATTTGATCTGCGTTGTTGGAGGTGGTGCTTCTGGCAGGTGCTTGGCTCATGAGGATGGATCCCTCATGAATGGCTTGGAGCTGTCCTTGCTCCATTAGTTCTCACCAGAGCTGGTTATTAAAAAGAGCCTTGTACCTACCCCCTCTCTTGCTTCCTCTCTTTCAATGTGATCTCTGCACACCCTGGCACCCCTTTGCCTTCCACCATAAGTGGAAGCAACCTGTGATCCTTGCCAGATGCAGCTGCCCAATCTTGAACTTCTACAGAAATCAGAATCATGAGCCAAATACACATTGTTTTCTTTATAAATTACCCATCCCCAGGCATTGCTTTATAGTGACACAGATGGACCAAGACAATTGCCTTAAATACCATCCATGCATGGCCTACTCTCAGATTAATGTCATCAGCCTAAACCTTTTCTCTGAACTCACACTCACATACCAACTCTCCATGTGCTACCGAAACGTTAATGTCTGATAAAGATTTTTCTGCTCCAGACTTGCTATTCTGGCAGTCTTTACCTATATTAGTAAATGGTGGCTCTGTTATTCCAGCTGCTTAGTTGCATGGAATTATTCTTGACTTCTCTTTTTCACCTCTCCTATCCAATCAACAGCAAATCTAATTATTTGTACCTTGAAAAAATATCCATAATCTCATCAATTAACACCATTTCTTCATTACCACACTAACCAAAGCCACCATGACTTCTCATCCAAATTGTTACAGTTGCTTCTCAGCTGGTCTTCCTTTTTACATTTCCATAGTCTGTCTTCCTCACAGGATCCAGAATGCTGTTTTTTTTTAACCACATGTCAGATCATGCCACTCTTTCTCCTTGAGAGTAAAGTTCAAGCTTCTTACCATGGCATACAATCCCTTACATGGTTTGGAGCCTGGTTACCTCTCTGATCTTTTCTTACACTGTGCTGTAGCTACACAAGTACACAGCAAGCATGTGTTTGCCTTTGGGATGTTGCATGTGGCTTAACAGTTTTCTGGAATGTTTTGTCCACATTGCACGCTTGCTTTACCCCTTCTGGTCTCTGCTTCAATGACATCCTGTCGAGAGGTTTTCTCTGGCAAGTGACTAGTTTTCTTACTCTTTAATTTTCTCCATAGTACTTGTCACCACCTAAGCTATTTTCTGGTTGCTTGTTTGCTGTCTGTTTCATTGGACTTGAATATACACTCCATAGGTTGTATCTACATCAACTAGAAAAATACTTAGCACATAGTAGACACGGTAAATAGTTATTGAATGAATAAACTGATGTCATCATCCTTGTACTCATTGAACTCATTTTGCTGTAGACATTGTACTGGTGTAGATATTAGGCATAGGACTTGCTGAGTTTGGCCTTAGAATCACAGAGGTATAGCAGGAGGTCTTAATAGAAGGCCGATCAGAGTTACGTAAAGGTGGATGTGTGTGCAATGCGCATAGGATTCCTGTGGTGATGAGAGTAAGAAAATTGTGGTCAGATTAGAGGGAATGAATCAGAGAGATAAATGGAGAGAAATGCAGGGGTTTGAGTGACAGTAGTTTGGGAAATGGGTATGTCCTGGGGAGAAATAATACTGTTAAAGATAGTTGGCTAGGCACAGTGACTCATGCCTGTAATCCCAGCACTTTGGGAGGCAGAAGTGGGCAGATCATTTTAGGTCAGGAGTTCAAGATCAGCCTGGCCAACATGGTGAAACCCCATTTCTATTAAAAATATAAAAATTAAATGAAACAAATAAACAAAACAAAAATACAAAAATTAGCCTGGCGTGGTGGCGCATACTTGTAATCAGAGCTACAAGGTGATCCAGGAGAATCACTTGAACCCAGGAGGCGGAGGTTGCAGTGAGCTGAGATCATGCCACTGCATTCCAGCCTGGGTGATGGAGTAAGACTCTGTCTCAAAAAAATTAGTAAGGGACACAAAGGAGAATTGATCTGACCTTGTTTATTTGCAGTTTATTTGGATTTCTTTTCAGTGTGTTATCTTTTTAACTTGATATACCCTTGTAGAACACTGAGAAATATCATTTGCTGCTTTTCGTAGAACGCTTGTGAAGTATTTGTGGGACACTATGCTCAAATGTTTCCACATTTTGTCTCCTTTATAGATGTGAATTCTTTTAGAAAATAATGTTCTCTTGTCAGTAAAGTCAGTTTATTCTACTGTAGCTGTGAAAACACATCTTGTAATGGGGAGGCATTGGGGAGAGCATGAAGAAATGGAGCATCATTCTAGAGTTAGTTTTAAACTGTTATGGATCCCATTAGTTTTTTATTTCTCCCAGCAGATGTAATGGATATTTTCTTATGTATTAACAGTCTGTACTAGTGTTTGAAAATGATTTGAATAGTTTTTTGCCTTAAGTGAAAGATATTTCAAACCATGGTAGTTAAGCAACACATTATCAAATTTTATAATGGATAATTTAAACTTTAGAGAAAAATTTATTCCTTATAGACAAGTGTGAATTTGCTTTTTTTATACTCTGTAAATTTGGAGAGGATTTCATTTGGATTCCTTGACTGCCAAAAGATAACCATTTCTATTTTCTCTGTTTTCTGTTTCTGGGGTAGCTGTTACTGATATAGAGGATTTCCCAAAACAGGGAGAGAAGCTCATTTTTGAATCATCTCAGTCTCTGTTTGGATTAAGATGATCTAGATTGTTTGGTGTTTTAGCTGCCTTCCAGAAGCAAATGCAAATCCTGTCTGAAGAAGTTTAACCGTAACCCTAGGCCTCAGAGTATCTCCGTAGTTTTCAGGTATAGAGTCTAATACTCAATAGAAAGTAGTCAGGCCTATGAGGAGACAAGATGATATGAATAAAAGCAATAAAATCAACAAGAGAGACAGTATCCATAGGGAATACAGACAATAGAGTTATCAGATACAGACTTTAAAATAACTGTGATTAATATAGTCAAGGAATTTGAAAGATTAAGGGTTTCAGTGGAGAACTAGAACTATTAAAAAAACCCAAATGGATATTCTAGAACTGAAAAATACAATAATTGAAAGTAACAAGTCAGTGGATTTGGCTAACAGATTAGACTCTCTGAAGCAGAGAAATGCTATCTGGGAGAAGTCTGAGATCAGTGTAGAGAGACAAAAGTATAGAAGACATGAAGAATAGTGGGAGAGATATAGAGGAAAACAGAAAATTGTGGGTTTTATAATAAACGATAATAGATAATTTAGATATCAATATAGGAAAGAAATAAAAACTTTTACTCCTAAGCTGTACTGTACCAAAGATCAATACAGGTAGATTTTATGATTTTCTGTTTAAATTTGTAAAGGTAAAGCAGTAAAGCTTCTGGTAGATAGCATATGAAAATATCTTCATGACTTTTGTGTAGACTGAAATTTTTTTTAACAGAACACAAAAGCATTGTCAGAAAGGAAAATATTGATAAATTAGGCTACCTTAAAATTATGGTTCATTCAAAGACATTAAAAGAGTAAAAAGGTAAGCCACAGAGTAAGAGACATTCATAATCAACATATATAATCAACAGTGGTCTCTTAACAGAAATATGTACAGACTTACTTCATCAAGGAAAAGAGGACAGATAACCCAATAGAAAAATGAGCACAAGACTTGGACAAACAGTTTACAAAACTGGTTATCTCCAGATGGTCAATTAACACCTGAAAAGATGCTTAACCTAATTAGTCATCAGGAAAATTTAGTTTAATCACAATGAGTTACCAACATATACCCACTAGAATGGCTGTGATTAAAAAGCCTGATAATGTAGGGTTTTGGCAAAGATATAGAAAAACTGGAATTTTTTTTTTGTTTTGTTTTGAGACAGAGTCTCACTCTGTCGCCCAGGCTGGCGTGCAGTGGTGCAATCTTGGCTCACTGCAAGCTCTGCCTCCCGGGTTCACGCCATTCTCCTGCCTCAGCCTCCCGAGTAGCTGGGACTACAGGCGCCTGCCACCACGCCCGGCTAATTTTTTGTATTTTTAGTAGAGACGGGTTTCACTGTGTTAGCCAGGATGGTCTCGATCTCCTGACCTCATGATCCACCCGCCTCGGCCTCCCAAAGTGCTGGGATTACAGATGTGAGCCACCGCGCCTGGCTGAAAAACTGGAATTCTTATATCTACCTGTTGGAGTATAAATTGACATAATGATCACTTTAGAAAACTGATCATCAGTGTCTATGAAACTGAATCGAGGCATGCTTTGTGACCCAGCAAATTTACTTCCAAGGATACAGATATATCCAATAGAAATGTTTATGTGCATCCAGCATAAGTTATGCTTAGCCCTATTCATTAATTGAAATAGCCCAAATGTTCATCCACAACAAAACGAGTAAGTAAATTATGGTATATTCACATACCGGAACACTACACAGCAATGAAAAAGAATGTGGATGAATACCAGCAGACATAAATGTAGAACAGATAAGTCAGGCTTTCAGCTATTTGGTAATGTTTGATCTCCTTATGATTAAGAGTTGAGGGAATGACAGCCTATTTTAGAAGTTCTCAGTGTGTTGGTGAATTTTGACTTTGAGCTTTACATTAAGATCATCTGTACAGGCATTTTTAATGTGAACTTTAGCATGAATGTCTCTGGCTATTTCTCTTGGGCTATTTAGTTTTGCCAAAGAAGAGCACATGCAGAGTGTTCCAGTCACATGCTCGGAAGGAAACGACTGGGCTACCAGAGTCCCAGGCGCCCACTGGGCTAAGGGAGATGAAGTTTCAGTATTTACTGTGCATAAATTTACTTAGTCCCCTGTTTGCAGTTTGGTAGTCCTCTCTTAATCTTGGTCTGCTATTTCTCAGTCCAGATGGTTTTTATTTTCTCTAGAGAATAAATGTTTAAACTTTTGCCTGAGTGCAAGCCTAGTGGCAGTTACCTACATATATTGGCCAGAGGAGGTAATGTAAGGTTCAAACTGCTTTTTAATCAGATTTTGCCAAATATTTGATCTTTTACCCCTCTTTCCTCACTGTTGGTTTTAGAAGTACCTTTTCAATAAATAGTACCAGACAAGTGCTCGTCCACTTGGAAAAACAATGAAATTAGATTCCCACCTCAACCCACATGATCAGTCAATTTCTAGTGGATTGAGGACTTCAATGTGAAAGACAAGAGGAGGAGGAGAAACAAGAAGGAAGAAAGAGGATAAAGAAGGGGACAAAGAGGAAGAAGATAAAAGATCCAGACCATATAATTAATGCCTCCAAATCAATAACAAAAGATCAACAACCCAATGGGAGAATGAGCAAAAGACCTGAACAGGCATTTCAGAAACAGACATTTTCAGGCACTTACTGTTCATAATTCCTCTTTTCCCTTCATTTTCCTGAGAAAAGAGGAATTATGAACAGCAAATAAATACCAAAATATTCTGTCATTAATAATTATGAAAATTCAAATTAAGACTAAAGGTACCACTTTAAACCCCATAAATAGATGGGTAGAAATTAAATCTGATACCAGTAGGTATTGGTGAGGTTGTAACTCAGAGGGAACGCATACACTACTGGTGGGAATAAATTGGGACAACCACTTTGGGAACCAGTTTGGCAGTGTCGTGAAGTTGAATATTTGAGTTTCCATTCCTATACATGTACCCTAGCAACTCTTGCACATGTGTACCAGGAGACAGATGCAACAGTGTCTCTCAAGCATTGCTTTTTGAGAAGAAAAGCTGAAAGCACCCCTCATGTCTTTTAGTAGGATGATGGGTTAAATAAACGGTTATATATTCTGCATGTTTAATGAAGACAAAACTATTTCCTTAAAGAAAATGTTTCTATTCTTCCTATATCAAAAGGAGTAGAACAATTTTAATGGCATCAAATTCTAATCTCTGAAGAGATGTCAGGCTCTCTTTCATTTTATTTTAATTTAATTTTAATTAATTAATTTTTTGAGATGGAGTTTCACTCTTATTGCCCAGGCTGGAGTGCAGTGGTGCCATCTCGGCTTATTGCAACCTCTGCCTCCCAGGTTCAAGAGATTCTCCTGCCTCAGCCTCCCGGGTAGCTGGGATTACAGGCATGTGCCACCACGCCTGGCTAATTTTTGTATTTTTTTGGTGGAGACGGGGTTTCTCCATGTTGGTCAGGCTGGTCTCGAACTCCTGACCTCAGGTGATCCACCCGCCATGGCCTCCCAAAGTGCTGGGATTACAGGTGTGAGCCACTGCGCCCGGTCTGTCTTTCATTTTAATAAGTTGAGGCAGTTCTTCAAAATGCAGGGGAAGTGGGGCAGGACTTTTGAGCATGGTGATTCATGATTCAGAGAGTGGGATGAAAAACAGAGTGTTAGCCTTCTCTAGGGATTTTCTCTTAAGATTTGTGTACTCAAGAAAGCAGTATCCCAAGTTTGGTGGTGGTGATGATAGCAGCTACCGTTTCCTGAGAATTTACCGCATTCATTTACATCCTCACAGCAGTCCTATAAGGCGGGCATTATCCCATTTTGTAATTAGAAAACTGAAGTTTGTAAGAGTTTAATTTGTACAAGATCACACTGTCTGAAAGTGCAACAGGTGAGAATTGCTTCCAGATTTGGTTGACATCTTTGTTTCAATATTGTCAAGGTAAAAGATTTGACCCTGCTGAAAGAAAGAATCTAGGAATTGTAATGGACACAAACCACAATTAAGTTTTGGGGTACTGCTGGAGTACTGTTGGTTTACTTCTTTTGTAAAGTCAGCCTGACACTTGACACTGTGGGAAAGCATAAATCTTACAAATCGGGCTGTCTGTTTGCCTTGCACTCAGCATTTACTATTTGGTAGGGTATCCTGGGAAATTGAGCATTATATCTCCTAGAAAATGTTTTTAAAAAGGCTCTGTAGGACAACAATATTACTTAATGTTTAAAAACATTGGCCAGGCATGGTGGCTCACGCCTGTAATCCCAGCACTTTGGGAGGCTGAGGCGGGTGGATCACGAGGTCAGAAGTTGAAGACCAGCCTGGCCAAGATGGTGAAACCCGGTCTCCACTAAAAATACAAAAATTAGCTGTGCGTGGTGGCAGGTGCCTGTAATCTCAGCTTCCCTGGAGGCTGAGGCAGGAGAATCACTTGAACCTGTGTGGCAGAGGTTGCATTGAACCGAGATTGTGCCACTGCATGCACTCCAGCAGGGGTGACAGAGTGAGATTCCGTTTCAAAAAAAAAAAAAAAAAAATATATATATATATATATATATATATATATTTACATTAAAAGCTTTGAGTAGGTAACACATACTCATGGTTCAAAACCCAAAAAAAAAAAAAAAAAAAAAAAAAAAAATTCAAAGCGAAAAATTTCTCATCTGCTTCCATTACCCTGGATTACCACCATGCAAAATTAAGCATCCTTATTAGCTTATTTATCCCTCTGGATTTTTTAAAAATCTAAGCAAATATGAATATGGATTATTTCCCTCCCTTTATAAGCGAAAGTTCCCTATTTTGAACTTTGCTTATTTTCTTAAAAACATATCTTGTAGCTTTTTCATGTAGTGTATAAAGGGCTGCTTCTTTTTGACAGCCGCATTCTAATTATGTACCATATTTTATTTAACCAGTTCCCTTTTGCTAAATACTTCCTACCCCAATTTTTTGATGTTATAAATAGCAAACTATGTGTATGTGTCATATCATATGTGTACAGGTATATCTATTGAATACTTTGTTCCTAGAGATGAAATTACTAGATTATTAATTTTCAAATTATTGCCAGCTCACTCTGCCTGGGATTTATACTCGATTACATTTCCAACAGCAATGAACTAGAGTATCAGTATCCTCAGAGTCTTGATGGCAGTCTTGTCAAATTTTCTGAGTGTTGGCCCCATGAGGTAAAAATAGATGTCATTGTATGTATATTTCTTTTATTAGGAGCGAAATGGAATGTCTTTTTCTTGAACCATTTATATTTTCTTCTATGTGTACTGCCTTCTCTTAGTCCTTGCTCATTTTTTCCTCTTCTTTTGTTAGTCTTTTTCTAATTATTATCTGGGGGCACATGCATGTGTGTGTGTACATATATAATACTAACATTTTGTGATTTGGAATGGAAATATTTTTCTCCAGTTGGTCTTTTTGCTTCTGGTATTTTTTTCTAGGTGGAAGTTTTTTATTTTTTTAGCTTTTTATATGCGGTATAAATTTTAAGCAAGCACACACTAAATAGCAGAATTAAGAAATGGGCCTTGGGAATAATGAGATGGAATTGCTGTAGAGAACTAGATAGAACTTTATGGCAGTTTCAACAGCAATATTTACTTATTCAGCTAATATGTATTGAACACTTAATTAGAGTTAAGAACTGTGCGCAGAAGTGGAAGGGTGTGGTGAGAAGAATCAGATATAGTCCTTGCCCTTAGGTATTTTTAAGTTTACTGGGGTGACAAACATTATCAGATAATTAAAAATATCTTTTAAAATTGCAGTTGGGTAATCCTTCCATGCTATGAGACAGTACCATAGAGGGCTTTAATTTAAGGAAATCATTGGAGAGTACAGTGAGTTATGAAATATGCATATGAATTTATTGGCAAAGAGGGAAGAGAAGGGCCATCTAGGCAGAGGCAGTAGCTTGTTGCATGGGGAGGTACTGTATTTAAGAGACAGAGAACCCAGTGTGACAGGAGGGAGAGAAAACAAGACGAAACTGGAGAAGTAATTGGGGGTCAGGCCGTGAAGTTCATGATAGGGAGTTTTAAGAACTCCTATGTGAAGAACAATGAGATGCCATGGAAGGGTTTTAAATAGGGGAGTGACCTGATGGACAAGATTAGTTTAGATGTAGAGTGTGCAAGGATTAGAGTGGCAGAGTAGAAGCAGATGGACTAGTTAGCTAGAAGCCTATTGTAATAGTCCAGGAGAAGGAAATATGGTAGCTTGCTATTGGTTTGGAGTGGAGAAGTGAAAGAGTTGGAAGAATATTTAGTGATTGACTTAATATGGGAAATGAGAGAAAAGGAGGTGTTAAGGATGACTCTCCTAGTTTTCTGGTTTGTTTAATAAGGTAGAGAGTGATACTATACAGTAGGATATTGTGCTCTGGAAGACAACCAGGTTTGGTGAGATGATGATTTTTATTTTGGATATACAGAGTTTGAACCTCTTTAAGACAGATAAAATCAGATGTCAAGTCAACAGTTGAATATATTGGCATATAACTTAGATACCGTATTTGAGCTGCAGATATGTAATTGGAAGATATCTGTATAGATAAGTGGTAATTTAAATCATTGGTAGGAATGAGATAGCCTGTGTTAAACAGTTAGAGGATAGTTGTGGGCCTAGAACTCAGTCTTGATAGACTTCAGCATTTAAGAGCATGAACCAGCAAAAGACACAGAGAAGGAACAACCAGAGAAACTGGAGAAGAAAGCTAATAAAGGATGAGGTTATGATAGAGGAACGGCAGGAGTGGCAACAGTATTGAATGCTGTTGACTTGTGTAGTTGAAGGCAGATGAAGGCCCATTGGATTTGATGTCATGTGACTTTAGAGATAGTGATGAGAGAGAAAGCCAGATTGAAGGTGATTGAAGAACAAGTAGGTTGAACAGTGATTATGGCTCTAGCCACATAATTGTTGACTAGAACAGAAGATGCTAACTGATACAGAATCAAGGCTAACTTCCTGATTTGGGTTCATCCTCACGTGATGGGGTGCAAATAGTAATACATGGAAACGCAAATGCATGCATAAGTCTATTGAGAGAGCCACATAAATGCTAAGTATCAAGATTTCAATACATTTTATGTATATATGTATATTATGTATAAAACTCCAATTTACAATGGAAATTGGTTGGAAGTTCTTCCTGAGAAGTAAAAGTTGGGTGGATGGGTGAGAATAACAGAAATGGATAGATGGATGATGGTAACCAGGGAGACTGCCTTACAGGGCCTTTTGCATGGTGAAATCAGTGGACTTGTTGCCCTGTAGGGAGTTGGGGGGAATGGGAACTTGAGAAAATGACTAGTAGGTCCAGCAAAGGGGAGAAAATGTGGAGAGGACCTAAAAGTTTGTAGTAACACCTTAAATGTCTAAGGTGATGGTCCAGTAGACTCCCTAGTTCCGGGTTGGAAGTGGTTGGTTCAGAAATGAATGTTTAAAGAATGCCAGTAGTTTGAAAGAAGAAATAAGTTAGCTTTAAAAGGCAGGTATCATAAAACTAGTAGATAAAGAGACACGTAAAAGCCAGATATTTAGATATTGTCTGCCATCTGTATAACCCAGTGTTAAAATGAAACATTTTCTTTGGATGAGACAATTGAAATTCATGTGAATTATCTAGGGTCCCAAGCAAATTGAATACTAATGATAAACAAATATGCAGTTAACTTGTGGCTTTACTTTGAACCTTTGAAACATAAAGAGCCCTCTTCTGTCCAGACATCTCTTTGTCTTTCATTTATCACCTGGAGAATATTGTTCGTTTCCATTCGCCAAGGCAAATGGAATCAGGATATTAGCAGAGAGATCTGAAGTTGCTTTATTTTCTTTCTTTATAGATGTTTTGAGTTTTCTGAGGCAAAAATTGTGCCCGACAAGTTGCTACAAATCTAAACGTCAATATGATTGGGAGGGTGCCCTCTGGAAACACTTGCCTTGGCGGCATTTTTGGATAGATGCTATCAAGTGTTTTATCATGAGAGGTAATCTTTGCACTTTCCTGTATGTAGACTGGTGATGTACATCGAGAGAGACAGCAGAAAGACCACTCCAGGCAAGGAGCAGCAAAGTGGCAATGAATACCTGTCCAAATGCCTGGATCTTCTCATCTGTCACATTGTGCAGGAGCTGCCACGAATCCTGGGTAAATTGGAGTCTCATCCTCAGGCCCCATTTCTGCTTTTACGTTTCTAAGACTTGGCTTTTAGGCATCAGTTCTTTTTTATTCTTACTTGTCTGTTCTTGAAGGCAAATGCAGACACTTTTTAACGAATATGTAGTTTCAAGATTTAAATTTGCTTTATCTGTTTTTGTAATTATTTTGCATCAATGACATGATGAGGCATGATGAGACAATGCCACATTAAGGTGTGATCCGAGGTAAACTGGCCATTTTAGAAAATATACAAAAGAAAAGCGGTTTAATTGCTTAAAATTGGACTTATGCTAGTATTTGGGGGTAACTTTTCGTAAGTTTTTTTTTGCCTAAATCAGAAGAAAAGAATTTTCTCTTGAAATTAGAGCACAAATTTATTTATTGTTAAAAAAACTTTGAATAGATTTTATTTATTTTTTTTCCCTTGCTGAAACAAGATTTTCTTTTATTTATACAAATGTATTGGGTATATGAGAAATTTTGTTATATGTATAAAATGCATAGTGATCAAGCCAGGGTATTTAGGGTGTCCGTCACCCACCTATAATACATTTTTGTTAACTATAATCACCCTGCTCTGCTATCAAACACTGAATTTATTTCTTCTATTTTACTGTATGTTCATACCCTTTGACCCACTTTTTTTCCTCATCCCTCCACATCCATTCACCCTTCTCAGCCTTTGTTATCTGTCTTTCCATTTTCTACTGCCATATAATCATTTTTTAACTCCCACAATAAATGAGAATAAAAATGCATGGATTTTAATTTTGAATATTAAAATGTGATATTAAGGAATTTTGATATTCATTTAAAGTTCAAAGTTTGAAACTTTCTTTGGTTTGAAAAATTTATCTTAAGATAAAACATCTAATAATGATTTGCAAAGGATGTTTATTACAGCTAAAGAAATACCTTATTTCATTGTTATTTGCAGAAATTAAAATAACCTTGGGAGCATGTATGTGTAGCTTAAATCCCATTCCATGCTTTTCCAGCAGATGTAGCTATAAACCAGAAATGTTTAGAATGTTAAATTTGATCCAAGCTATTATAGTAGAGGGTACTTAGTTTCAGGAATTCAGAACATTAAATCAAAGTAATGAAAATGTCTTCAAGGCTAACTGACAGCAACTTTTTTGCCCCTTACTGATGCTTTAGGAGATTATTTTTGCCTGTTGATGACTGAAAATAGAGCCTCTCAAAATTTATTTCGGATTGTAAGCTTTTTTACCTCAAACCTGAAGGCTATAATTTGGTCAGTTGGTAGCTAAATTCTTTATTACCGGACTTATCCTGTTTTAGGGTATGGCGATAAGATTCTGATGTCCACAAAGCAAGTTTTATTTATTGTTAGATTTATCATCCAATGAGAAGTTTTGGGAATTGACCTCTTTTTACCTCCAACCTATTCTCTTTTTTTTGATAGTTGTAAGTCGTGTTCTGTAATTCGTTCACTTATTATTATTATTATTATTATTATTATTATTATTATTATTTTGTGAGACAGAGTCTTGCTCTGTCGCCCAGGCTGGAGTGCAGTGGCACTATCTCAGCTCACTGCAACCTTCACCTCCCAGATTCAAGTGATTCTCCTGCCTCAGCCTCCCAAGTAGCTGGGACTACAGGCGCACACCATCATGCCCAGGCTAATTTTTGTGTTTTTATTAGAGATGGGGTTTCACTATTTTGGCCAGGATGGTCTCGATCTCCTGACCTCGTGATCTGCCCACCTCGGCCTCCCAAAGTGCTAGGATTACAGGCATGAGCCACTGCGCCTGGCCCATTTATTATTTTAAATATTTTTTCTTGTTTGCAAAAGCAACAAGTGCTCATGATTGAAATTTGGAAAATACAAAAAAAAAATTCTAAAGCTATTACTCTATTATAATAATTTATTAAATTTTATTTTTCATTTCCAAATGAGACGTTAAGTTTATTTATAGTGTCTTTGCAGAATATCACATTCTGTCCCCGGAGGCCATAAGTGTCTGTTGTAATTTCAGTACTTGTGAATAAGTATATCTGCTTATTTTATTTGGAGATTAATTACCTTAGAAGTCCCATGGGTATTCAAGCAATGACCAGTGGCTCCTAAGTATTTGTGGTTTTTAACCTCCACATATGCTCTGGGCTGTGCTTCACAGGTGACATTCTTAACTCCTTGGCTAATGTTTCTGGACGTAAACACCCATCAACAGTTCAAGTGAAACAGCTGAAGTTGTGTCTCCCCCTGATGCCTGTAGTGCTTCACCTCGTAACTTCACAGGTACTATTGTATTGAGGAGGAAAAGGATATAAATTTGCCTCTTCTCTTTGTAAACTGGAGCTGAGAATCCTCAACTCAAAACATTTTTTTTTTATTGAGCTAACGTTGTACATAGCTTCCAGAATTTAATCTGTAGAAACTCTCATCACACAGGTATTTCGACCTCAAGTTGTGACAGAAGAGTTTCTTTTCAGCTATGGAACTATTCTTGTGAGTAACACGAAATTTTCCTTGTTTCTAATAAAATTGTGACTTCCTCTACTGTTTGTAGAATTTGATGTCAGAATGAGGTAATTTAAAAATCCTGTTGGTATTTATTTGTCTCTAGGGAAGTGACCTTTTAATATTTTTATCTGTTGACTGTAATAAAATTTGACATTTGGAGAAAACACATTCTCTCCTGATAATGTATTTTGTTCAGAGACAGCCCAAATAGGGTAAATATGTCCACAGAAACACTTTCATAGATTTTGGTATTAAACATCATGAAAAAATATAATAAAACTGGTGAAAATGGAATGCTGGGAATATAGTATCATTATTATTTACTTCGGCTTATATTGTCCAATCATGTGCAGTTTCTTTTTTTTTTTTAAAGACAGAGTCTCGCTCTGTTGCCCAGGCTGGAGTGCAGTGGTGCGATCTTGGCTCACTGCAACCTCCGCCTCCTGGGTTCAAGCGATTCTCCTGACCCAGCCCCCACAGTGTCTCTTCTTATGATGGCATTTCTCTATGTTAAGCTCAGTTTAGCTTTTTCTTTAATTTTGAGGATACAAGTAGAAATGAAAAGTTATTGCATTATCTTTCACTTCTGTTTTTGCTCACAAAAATTCTTTTTGTTTAGCTCATGAATTATGTTATCTTTTTCCCTTGCTAGTAGTAGTTACAGTATATATGGTTGATAAAATGAGGAGGGAAATACAGAGGGAAAGCTAAAACATTTGTCACAGAGCTTCTCCAGTCTTACTTTGATATTAATAATAAACTGAACAGAGATTTTCAAAATGCCATAGAGGTAACTAGTTAAAATGAGGTCAGCATCTCAATTTTATTGTTAGTTTGGAATTTTTTTAAAAAAAGATTGCCACAACAAGTGAGGATATGGTTTTCTAGAAAGTTCATCATAGGGTGAAGTATGATGTTTATAAGTATAAATGTTGAGTGACTGTTGCTGATTTTTAGGAAGCAATGCAGTAAAGGTCCCTTTGTGCTCAATTTCAGATTTTTATCATTTGAGTACTTTGAATCTTGAATTCCAGAAAGTCTATAATTTTGGTACCACATTTATGAATTTGCAAATTATGAGAATTTTTATTTACCACCATCTTTTTACCTGTTTTTAAGTACAGCATAGGCATCATTTTAACATGACTATGATTTTTCTATTTACAATTCCATTGCGTTGGCATATTGATGCCTGAAATTAGTAATTTTTTTATGGTAACCCACCTTGGATTATTTTGGCACAGTGTTTGTTTGGGATAGGTATAATTGTCTTGTGTTCTTTCTCCCTGTCTTTTTTTTTCATGTGTAGTATTTTCTTCTGCCTACATTAACTGAGTATGCTTTAGGTTTTTAAAGAATTACCAAGATTTTCCAACAGAAAAGTCTTTTTGGACTTTCAGAAATTCTATGTATATTGGGGAGAACTCGTCTGCTCCTTGTAATTCTGTGTTCAGAGACAAGGGAGGAGGCCACACTGAGTGTGTCCATAAAGACTTTTCTATGGGTATTCTGTTGGGTCTTTTCAATATAGGCACCTTTAGGAAATGGAAAATAACTTGGCTGGTGTAGAGATCATTAAGATACTGAAAAAATTTTAGCAGTTTTTTTCTTGATGGTATCACCCAATTAGAGGAAGTTTAGGGAAATAAAATGAAAGTCTTTTGCCTCTCTTCAGTCTATTTTCGTAGTTTGAATCATGCCCAGTCCCAGAATTCTTGAATTATTTTTCTTATTGTGTTTGTTTGTTGGCCTTAACTGTGTGTTCACCTTTTGTATACTCAGTGTTAATGGCACTGATGAAATACTAGCAAAGGGAGAGAATTATTGACTAAAATTCAGGACCTGGATTTAGTTATCCATACAGTTCTTGTGCACATTATTGTGAATTGTTGAGAGTTGAATGTTGCTTCTATGAATTCATAATTTTTCCAGAAGATAGCAAAAATGTTACTCAAGTTACAGTGCCTTACTGCTGCTATGAGGTCTAGTCTACTCATCCAACATTCTACAGACCCTTAGAAATGTACATTGCAAATTAGCATATTAAAGCCCTTTGAGTTTTCTGCTTTAAAATAATTTTTAATTTTTTTTTAGGCAAAGGCTTCCTAAACTATTTGAGAGGGCTTTTTTTTTTCTTTTTTTTGGTGGTAGTGGTGGGGATGCATAGTTATGAACGTTCTGTAGCCCAATCCACAGAACAATTATGTGAAATTGTCCGGAGCATAGTGCTTATTTGGTTCTGGTGACATAGGGAAGTAGTCCATTCATATTTACATACTTAGCATTGTGGATTTTTTTTTTTGCTTGTTTTTTTGCTTTTTTTCTTTTTTCGAGACAGGGTCTTGCTCTGTCACCCAGGCTGGAGTGCAGTGGCACAATCAGGCTCACTGCAACCTCCGCCTCCCAGGCGCAAGCAATCCTACCTCCTCAGCCTCAGATGTAGCTGGAACTATAGGTGTGTGCCACCATGCCTGGCTAATTTTTAAAAATTTTTCGAAGAGATGAGGTTTCACCATCTTTCCTGAGCTGGTCTTGAACTCCTGGACTCAAGTAATCCACCCACCTTGGCCTCCCAAAGTGCTGGGATTATAGGCATGAGCCACCTCTCCCAGCATTGTGTTTTGAAAGACTTACTGGTACATCTGGAGATAAATATTATTTTCAGTATTTCTCAAAATGTATCTCATGCAGTAGCTATTGTCTTATGGCAGGCATATTGTCCTTTCATATTTTAAAGATATGATTTAATTGGGATATTCAAGCTTAGTCCACTTTTAGAAGCTGTATCCAGTAGCAGCAAGCCAAGAACTTCTTGGCTTCCCCTGAGGCAGCTCTTCATGAGCTGCTGGCCTGCCTTGGGGTGGGTGTGGAGATAGCAGCCAGGGTTAGTGTGATCTCTGTGCATTAGAAGGGTTCTTAAGGAGCAGACTGGAGAAGCGGGGATTGGAACTGTGCTTCCCATTGACTTCATTTTTATAATGGCACTAGGGCATGGTTTGCCTATTTGACCTACAGACATTTTTTGTTTTTTTGGTACAAAAATTCAGGATACTTCTTATATATGGAGGCATAAATACAAGAATTAATTTTTTGTAAATTTTTTTCCCCCAAGGAAAATGAAGTTTTGGTCACCTTATATTTTAAAGAGACTAGCATTTGGAAACAATTCAGCAGAGTAATTTTAAACCATTATCAAGCTTTGAAACACTCCTGGAAAAAGAGGACTACCCAGCTGATAATTGCTATTTTCACTTCTTATTGGCAGAAGCAGCCTGTTGTCTTACTCAGCTCCCTCTCCAGGTTTCAGCAGTCTAGTCTCTGGGGAAGTTCTGTGGTGAATACCATGCTTCTTTTGGTCCTCCATTGAATTGGGCTGGGAAACAGGAAGTAGTAAATTAAGGAAATATTTTCAAGAGCTCATGATGTGTATTAACCTAACATTCACTATATTTCCTATGTCCTTTTGAAAATGCATTTGATTAATGATCAGAGGAAGCAGACTTTGTTGTGTTTAAGTTCTGGCCTCATTAGTTTATGAAAGTATGATGGCTTGTGGTGGTTATAGTTTTCTACAAAAAATAACTATGAAAGGTTATACTTCCTGCCCTCTGTAGATTTTTATGTACAGGAATGCTGGTTTATTGATAGATATTGGCTTCAGCTGCAGAAAAGCCAGAGCTAGTGCACTCTTGTATTTTTGAAAACATGATAGTATATATTTACTTATTTGTTGCCACCTAGATATTCTTGTCTTTTTTCCTTTAACATATCATGAATTTGTATCCCAGTTTGCTGTAGGAGCTTTTTTTCAGCCCCTGTTGGGGATCACTGAATGATATTGAGAGCGCTGGCACACACTGCTTCACACCCCCTAGCCAGCAGACCTAGCTCAGGGTGGGTGGTCTTTTTTGCTCCCCTGCTGAAACTCCCATCTTTGAAGTTTGCACCATGAGAAGATATTGTGTCACCCCCTGTGTTGTGGTCATCTGCAGATTTCTGGGTCATTGGCCTTTGTTCCTCAGCATTCCTTTAGCACTTGGCTCACCAAGAGCCTCTCCTTGCCTCTCTTGCATCATTGGTGGGGAATTTGATATCCCTCTGAAGGATCCTTCCAGTGCCTCAGCCTTGCAGCTCCCTGGCTGCTTCTCTCCCCAAGAGCTTGTCTGTCTTCCCATCAGCTGCCTGCTCCCATGGTCAAACACTTGACCTTACTGTCAGCATCCGCTTGTCGGCCCACCACCCCTGATTTTCAGCTCATTTCCTCTCCTCCCCAACTCCCACAACCCTTCAGCTCCTGTGAGACTTAATTGTTCCTACCTGCTTTCTGCTCACCATCCTGCCCTGCCAGGGCTCTGCTTTTTCACTTTCTCTTTACTCCACCTAGAATGCCTGGTCCAGCATTAGTCACAATCTTTTTTTTTTTTTTTTTGAGACAAGAGTCTCCCTGTGTCTCCCAGGCTTGTGCAGCGGAGCGATCTCGGCTCACTGCAACCTCTGTTTCGTGGGTTCCAGCAATTCTCATTCCTCAGCCTCCCAAGTAGCTGGGATTACAGGCGTGTGCCACCACTCATGGCTAATTTTTGTAGTTTTTGTAGAGATGGGGTTTCACCATGTTGGCCATGCTGGTCTCAAACTCCTGACCTCAAGTGATCCGCCTGCCTCAGCCTCCCAAAGTGCTGGGATTATAGGCATGAGCCACCACGTCCGGTTCTCTGACAAATCTTAATGCTAGTTAAATTTAAGTCTCCACCTACCCTAGCCCTGCTTTGAGTGGCTAAATATGGCTGGGGGCAGGGGAGGGGGAAACAGTGCAAATGACAGGTCTCTCTTAAAATTCACATCAGCCAATGACTATATGTTCCTTTCTCCTTGAATCTCCAATGCCTACTACCCCGTCCTCACTCTCACCTCATTACTCCCTATTACACTGAGAATGAGAAGGAAGAAATATATCAAAAAATATTGAAATTGGTAAATGAATGAAAAATTTGTGGGAATTTTTAAAAAATTAAATAGGGGAAGTATAAGGTAGGAAATAAAATAAGCCCATAATTCTTCATAATAAATAATTAATAATAATTTCAGCATTTAGACAAGCTTTATTTATATATATATATGTGAAAAAGACAGTACATGTGAGTGGTTAAAAAGTCGCAAGGGAAGAGAAAGGCAGAAAAGGCAGTGAAGCATACCTCCTCAGGTTCCCAAAGGAAGCAGTGCTTGTCCTTTCCTGTGATCTCTTCCACAAAAATTATTGTTCACATCACCAGCATTTGTGTATTATGTGTATATTTTTAAGAGAATTACACAGAAGGGATTGTTGTTACGTACACTACTCTGTGTCTTCTTTACTTAGTAATCCGTAGACATTTACGTACATGTGTTTAAGTCAAAAGATCTCTCTCTCTGAGTTTCTTATTCAACATCAAATTTATATTTTATTCGATAAAAGTTATGTGTCCATTTTGGAATTATGTGAAATAATTTTAATAAAATTATCATGAAAAGCATACATTGCTGCTTTTAAAAATTAACTCGGCCAGGCATGGTGGCTCACGCCTGTAATTCCAGCACTTTGGGAGTCCGAGGCAGGCAGATTATGAGGTCAGGAGATTGAGACCATCCTGGCCAACATGGTGAAACCCCATCTCTACTAAAAGTACAAAAATTAACTGGGCGTGGTGGCGCGCGCCTGTAGTCCCAGCTACTTGGAAGGCTGAGGCAAGCAAATCTCTTGAACCCGGGAGGCGGAGGTTGCAGTGAACCGAGATCATGCCAGTGCACTCCAGCCTGGTGACAGAGCGAGACTCTGTCTCAAAAAACAAAACAAAACCAAACAAACTCCATTTTAAAGTCCATTTTGTTTATTTGTAGACCAAAAAAGAATTGAAGATGTCCTCTGTTTTCACTTTTTAAAGGGCTTGCATTTTATAGGCTTTCTGATTTTCTTTATAACCTAGACAATAAATGTCTTTAAGTTTTTTTTTCTTATTTTAAAGGTAATTTATGCTTATTTATTTAAATTATAATTCATGCTTATTAAAGAAAATGTGGAAAAGTGTAGTGAAATTTGAAGAAAATAAAATTATCTGTAACTCTACACTAGGAGACAACCATTGTTAACATATTGTTGTTTTCTTACGTTTTCCATTCATATAGATGCATTTGTATTGTAGAAACAATTGTTTATGTATCTATAACATGTATGTGACATACACAAATAAATATGGTTGAGACCTTCTGTATCCATAGATTTGTATTCTACCTTTAAAAAACATAGGTTGCATTTAAGTATTTTCCTATAACTTTAAAACATTCTTTTTAAAAACATTTTAAAATTTAATTTTAAATTGATGAATAAGAATTGTATACATTTATTGTGTACAACAGATTGTTTTGAAATATGTGTACATTGTGGAATGGCTAAATTGAGCTAATAAACATATCTGTTACTTCACATATTTGTTTTTGTGGTGAGAAAACTTGAAATCTATTACCAATTTTCAGGACTACATCTTTATTAACTATACTCACCTACTGCAACCTCTGTTTCGTGGGTTCCAGCAATTCTCATTCCTCAGCCTCCCAAGTAGCTGGGATTATAGGCGTGTAATCCCAGATCTTTACTTTAGATCTCTTGATACCTTATTCCCTCTATATAATCAAAATTTTGTGTCCTTTGACCAATGTCTTTCCCCTACCCCCAGTCCCTGGTAACTGCCATCTCTTCTCTACTTCTGAGTTCAACTTTTTTAGTTCCCACCTGTAAGTGAGACCACATGATATTTGTCTTTCTGTGCCTGGCTCCTTTCACTTACATAATGTTCTCTAGGTTTATCCATGTTGCCACAAATGACAGGATTTCCTTTTTAAAACAATTCCATCGTGTATATTTGCCACATTTAAAAAATCCGTTCATCTGTTGATGGACAGTTGAGTTGATTCTATATCTTGACTATTGTGAAGAAAGCTGCAGTGAACATGGGAGTGCAGATATTTCTTCAACATACTGATTTAATTTCCTTTGGAAATATATATATATATGTATATGTATTTATTTCAGTAGTTGGATTGCTTAATCATATGGTACTTATATTTTTAATTTTTTTGAAGAATTTTCATAGTATTTTTCATAATGGCTGTACTAGTTTACATTCCCACCGACAGTGTGCAAGAGTTCCCTTTTCTATACATCCTCACTGGTCCTTGTTATCTTTTATCTTTTTGATAATAGCCATTCTTATGGATGTGAAGTGATATCTCATTATAGTTTTAATTTTCCTTTCCCTGGTTAGTGATGTTGAGCATTTTTTCATATACCTATTGACCATTTGTATATCTTCTTTCGAGTAATGTCTATTCAATCCTTTGACTTTTTTTTTTTTCTTTTTTTGGAGACAAGGTCTTGCCCTGTCACCCAGGCTGGAGTGCAGGGATACCGTCATAGCCCACTGCAGCCTTGATCTCCTGGGCCCGAGTGATCCTCCACCTCAGCCTCTGAGTAGCTAAGGCTACAGGTGCATGCCACCATGCTTGGCTAATTTTTTATTTTTCTGCGGAGACAGTCTTGCTATGTTGCCCAAGCTGGTCTCAAACTCCTGGCCTCAGATTATCCTCCTGATTTGGCCTCTCACAGTGCTGGGATTGTAGGTGTGAGCCACTTCACCTGGCCTGACCATTTGAAAACATTGGGTTATTTGCCTTCTTACTATTGAGTTGAGTTCTTTATATATTTTGCATATTCACCCCCTCATAGATATGTGGTTTACAAATATTTTTTTCCCATTCCGTAAGTTGTCTCTTCACTCTGTTGTTTCCTTCAGGGTGCAGAAGCTTTTTATGTTGATGTAATCCCATTTGTCTACTTTTGCTTTTGTTGCTTGTGTGTTTGGGTCCGATCTAAAAAAATTATTGCCCAGACCAATGTCATGGAGGTTTACCCCTTTGTTTTTCTCTAGTTGTTTTGCAATTTCAGGTCTTATGTTTTCTAGCATTTTAATGGTTACTCTTCTGTTTGTATGAACTATGTATAGCTTGGTATAATTTCAGTAAGATTCAAAAATACACAAACAATATACTATTTAGGGACACATGTATATGTGTTAAAACTATTTTAAGAAAACCAAGAAAATGATAAATACATGATAGTGGTTATCTCTGGAAGTGAGGTAGGCAGATGGGATGGGGGAGTTTATACAACCAATTGGAAATGTCTTAGTTCTTAACTTGAGTAGTGGGTTTAAGGGTTTTCTTTGTAACACAAAATACATACCTATGTTCTTTTGTATATGTTACATAGATTCTATTCTCTCTCTCTCTCTATATATATATACACACACACACACACACACACACACACACACACACACACATATTTTTTTTTTTTTTTTTTTTGAGACAGAGTCTCGCTCTGTCGGCCAGGCTGGACTGCAGTGGCATGATCTTGGCTCACTACAACCTCCGCTTCCTGGGCTCAAGCAATTCTCCTGCCTCAGCCTCCTGAGTAGCTGGGATTACAGGCGTGTGCCACCATGCCTGGCTAATTTTTGTATTTTTAATTGAGACGGGGTTTCACCGTGTTGGCCAGGCTGGTCTCGAACTCCTGACCTCAAGTAATCTGCCCGCCTTGGCCTCCCAAAGTGCTGGGATTACAGGTGTGAGCCACTGCGCTTGGCCTATGTTAGACCAATTTCTACTGTGGGCTAATCGCTTATACTTAGTTACTTTTTAGTTCCGAGGTCATCTTATGTTTTATTTGCTATTTGTTACCATATATAAAATAATATATGTTATTTTGTTTAATATATATTTAATTATATATATTTAATATATATAAATATATATATTAAATATATATATAAATATATATATATTATTTTGTTTATTAGTGGCAAGAACTCCGTTGCAGCGTTCTTGCTGTCAGTAACATGGGTGCTCTGCCTAGCATGGCAGTGATTGTTTCATTGTCATGGAGTACCTTTTCTGTCCAGAGCATTTGGCCAGAGACCAGGAAGCTCATTCATCTGGGGAGCTGAGGCCTCAGAGCTCACAGCCGAGCTACTAAGGCCTTCCTCTCAAACAGCAATGGGAGTCATCCGGCAAAGGAGGCACTAGCATGGTGCATGGGAGCGCAGATAAGGGGGTTGGAATAAGAGGTATCTAGGAGGAACTCAAAACAGTGGCGAAATTTGAAGACAGGCCTTGAGAGCGAAACTACTATCTTGACACAGTTTGTACTCAGGGTAGCTAAAGCTTGATTGACCTTCCTTTGAGATGACTGTTTTCCCTGGTTAGGTGCCATTCGAACTCTCTTCTGATATGGCGAGCAAGTAATTGTGGTGTATTATTGGACATGGTTATGTATCAGTTATATTATTCTCACTTTCGTAAATGCTTATGTTAACATTGACTTTATTCCAACATTAAATCTCATTGATAGTGATTTGTATATTTAAAAATGATTCTTTGGGAGGCCGAGGCAGGTGGACCACCTGAGGTCGGGAGTTTGAGACCAGCGTGACCAACATGAGAAACCCCATCTCTACTAAAAATACAAAATTAGCCAGGCGTGGTGGCACATGCCTGTAATCCCAGATACTCAGGAGGCTGAGGTGGGAGAATCACTTGAACCTGGAAGGCAGAGGTTTTGGTGAGCCGAGATCGGGCCACTGCACTCCAGCCTGGGCAACAAGAACAAAACGCTGTCTCAAAAAAAAAAAGAGATTATTGTTTAGACTTTATGTATATTATTTAATATACTTTTGTAACTATAATAATATAATATGTATAGAGTATTTAATACTGTCTATGAGTTATTAAAAACAATAGGTACAGTTTTGGGCAAAATGTAAACTACCTATATTTTATTTCAGAGTTACTTTGAAACTCTATTTATTAAAAATTTATTTTTTTTCAGAGTCATATTAAATCTGTAGACTCAGGAGAAACGAACATAGATGGAGCCATAGGTGAGTAGACCCTGGAACATTTTGTGTCTTTGTTTGAGGTACTTTGATATTATGATTTAGAACATGTAAATAAACACCTATAATAATTAACTGTATTTCTAGGACTGACAGCATCAGAAGAATTTATCAAGATCACATTGTCAGCTTTTGAAGCAATAATACAGTATCCTATTTTATTGAAAGACTATCGCTCCACGGTCAGTTCTGGCAGCTTTTGAAAAAAGCTCCTTTTAAATTTACTTGGTAATTCCTTATATAAAGAGGCCTCGTTTACAGTGCTTGGCTCATATGTGTTCCTCACATGAAATAACCATTCAGAACCCCCCTACCCTGGCAGGATGAACATAGGAAATCCCTTCCCTTTGTTGACTTTCTTGGCGTTTTTCTTTATTATTCTCTTTCCTTCCTGGTCCACACCTATCCCTCAGCCTACTTTCTTCTTGCCTGATTATTTGTTGCAACTGGTAGTACAAACCTTCAGTGCAAGGTTTCTCAACCTTGGCACTAAAGGCATTTTGGGATGGACAATTCTTTGTTATGGGGCTGTCCCGTGCATTCTGGGATGTTTAGCAGAAACCCTGACCTCTACTCAGTAGATGCTGGTAGCCCCACTCCGTCTCCCTTCAGTTATGACAACCAAAATTGTCTCTACACATTGACATATGTCCTCTGGGTGGCAAAATTGCTCCCATTTGGGAAACTGTGTCTTAGAAGGATCCTTAGGTGAGCTGCTTGTTGACTTTAGGAGAAGGAAATCCTCCGTCCCTTTCTTTCTGCAGAAAGGTCCCCAGAAGAGGAGCCAGTTAGGAAGACAATTAGCTTATGGTGCAAGGAGCAGTATCAGGTTTTGCCAGGCAGTGGCTTTCCCTAGAAGCTGCTGTGGAGCAGACACATGGTTCCATCCTTCCCTCCTTAACTTTCCCATCTCCCACCCCTGCCCCTCTCACTGAAGCACTGGCGATTTGGTATAGGGAGGAGGTGTTTCTTGTACCCCAGCTCATGCCTGTTTCCAGTGTTCTGTCCCATTTAGCATTTGACCCAAGCAATAGTGACTGCTTTTAGATAACAAATTATGTGGGCATCCACAGCATAACCCAGCAGAGAGTTTGATGTGAAAATGTTTTTCAAATTTCCAACAACTAACCCTAAAGGCAAAATTTTAGATAGCAGTCAATCATGAGTTGTGAATTGCCTGTAATAATGAATAAAAGTAATGAATTTAGAAATAAAAACTGTACTTAGATATTATGAAGTAAAGAAAAAGTTGATTTTGACACCTTCATGGTCACGTAGATACCATTGTAGAACTGAATTCTTCAGTTTGTTTCCTCACATATTTCTCTACCCTCTGCCCCCACCCTTCAAACACAGTTAACTTGTGTGTGTGTGTGTGTGTGTGTGTGTGTGTGTGTGTGTGTGCATGCGCATTAAATCCTTCACTTAAATACTATATTCTGTGGCTTCTGACATGTTGGAATTAGCTCAGTTCTACTTTGGGTTTTTTTTTAAGACAGATTTGGAAATTTGAATTTATAAAACATGGCTTAGAATGCCATTGTTTCATTTTGCTAATAGCTTCTGTTTCTTTGTTCTTTGATTGTTGTAATTATTTTTATTTCCTTTCTTTTTCTTTGGGTCTATTTTGTATTCCTTTTCTAACTTTTTGGGGTAAATATTTAGCTTGTTAATTTTTCATATTTCTTCTTTTCTAATTTATACATTTCAGATTAGGTTTAAATACTGCGTTAGCATCATCCCACAAGTTTTGGTATATATAGTTTTAATCTTCTGGTTAAAATATTTTATATTTTTCTTTATTGACTCATGGGTTATTAATATATATGTACTTAAATGTCATGGATACATTTATCTTTGTATATTGATTTCTAGTTTAACTGCTTTGAAGTTAGAGAATGTAGTCTGGATGATTTTAATATGTTGAAATTCATCAAGTCTTGGTTTATAGCCCATTATGAGGTCATTTTTTGTAGATATTCTGTATGTTTGAAAAAAAAATACATATTTTGCAGCTGTTCCGTGCAGTGTTCAATATATGTTCATCAAGTAATTTATTAGTTATCTTGTTCACATCTTGTCGTTGGCCCGGCATGGTGGATCACGCCTGTAATCCCAGCACTTTGGGAGGCTGAGGCGGGCAGATCACTTGAGGTCAGGAGTTCAAGACCATCCTGGCCAACATGGTGAAACCCCGTCTCTACTGAAAATACAAAAATTAGCTGGGCATGGTGGTGTGTGCCTGTAGTCCCAGCTACTCGGGAGGCTGGGGCAGGAGAGTCGCTTGAACCTGGGAGGCGGAGGTTGCAGTGAGCTGAGGTTGTGCTGCTGCACTCCAGGCTGGTGACAAAGCGAAACTCCATCTCAAAAAAAAAAAACAAAACCAAAAAAAAACAAACAAAAAAAACTTACTAATTTTGGCCTGCTTTTTCTATAAATTACTGAAAGAGATGTGTATAAATCTCCTATTACTATTATGAATTTATCTCTTCTTGTAGTTCTGACAATTTTTGTTTTATGTATTTTGAGGCCATGTTATTAGGTGTATGCAAATTTCAAATTATGTCATCTTATGAAATCAGCCTTGTATCATTGTGAAGTCGCCCTCTTTATATCTAGTAATGTTTTTTGCCTTACCCTCCTTTGTCCCATTCTAACATAATCATGCAAACTTTGTTTTGATTAATATTTGCCTGCTATATGTTTTTTCATTCTTTTCCTTCAGACATCTACTTTTATGTTTTAGATCTATGTAATAGAAACATCATATAGTGTTTTAAAATTAATTTGTCTGGGCCAGGCGGGATGACTCATGCCTGTAATCCCAGCACTTTGGGAGGCCGAGGCAGACAGATCACATGAGGTTGGGAGTTCAAGACCAGCCTGGCCAACATAGTGAAATCCCATCTCTACTAAAAATGCAAAAGTTAGCTGGATGTGGTGGCACTTGCCTGTAATCCCAGCTACTCTGGAGGCTGAGACAGGAGAATCGCTTGAATCTGGGAGGTGGAGGTTCAAGCCACTGTACTCCAGCCTGGGTGACAGAGCAAGACTCTATTTCAAAATAAATAAATAAATAAATACATACATACATACATAATTAAAAAATTAAAAAATTAATTTGGCCAGTTTTTTTACTTCTAACTATAGCATGTACTTCATTTACACACTGTAATTGTTGGTCTGTTTGGATTTCATTCTACTATATTCTTTCAAACATTGTCATACATTATTTTCTTCTTACCTACTTCCACTTTCTTGTTTTATTGACATTTTATTTTTCATTTTGTTTTTTCCCTATATAAGGTTGGTATTTATATATTTTCTTTCTATTCTTTTACTGGTTACTTTAAAATTTACATCATGCCTATTAATGTATTAAAAGCTAAACTTAAAAAGAAACTTTCTTTTCTTTTAGTAATATACAGACCTTAGCCTGCTTAACTCCACTTAGTCCCCTCATGATGTATATGTTATTGTTGTCTGGGATTTTCAAGTCTATCTTGTTTTGTTTCTCTCTTTTAAATATCCACCAGACTTTACTATCACTACTTTAATATAGTTAATGTTCATTTACATTTATTCACGTATTTACTACTTTTGTATGCTTCTTTTTTTAGTTTTCATTCCTGTCTTCACTTATTTCTGACTGAAGTACATCCTTTATAGTTTCCTTTAGCTTACATGTGCTGGTGGCAAACTATCTGTCTGATAAAGTCATTCTTCCTTGAGGGATATTTTGCTGAGTATTAAATTTCAGTTTGGTAGTTGTTTTTGGTATTATTTTTCAGCACTGCCCAGATGTTATTTCATTCTCTTATGTTCTGAATTGTTGCCATTGACAGGTTGGTGACTAATCTCAAGTTTTTCCTCAGAAGGAAATCTCTGTTTTTGTCCCTTGGGTCCTTCTAAAATGTTTTTTGGGGGAGGTGGTGTAGATTTGGTTTTCTGTAGATTCACTATGATGTAACTAAATATAAATTTCTTTTTTACTTATTCTGTTGAGGATTCTCTGTGCTGCTTGAATCTGTGGATTGTTCTTTTTCATCAGTCTTGAAAACTTTCTGCCATTATCTCTGCTTATTCTTTCTCTTGTTCTAGCTCCTTCAGCAAATCAGATCACATATACATTAAACTTTCTCATTTTTTTCTAATTCTTACTGTCTTTTTGTGTATTCCAGCTTTTTCTTTTTTAGTGTTATATTCTGAATGATTTTATTTCTTTTTTTTCCCCTGTCTTCTACTATGCCCCTTCTGCTGCCACATATAGCACGTTGAGTTTCTAATTTTGGTTATTTTTCATTTGTAGAAGTCTGTCATTGCTAGAAATTCTGCTTGTCTTTTTTATTTTCAAATCTGTATTGCTTTTTATGATTTCCTGTTCCCTGTAGATATTTTCTAGTGCGTGACTTATTTATTCATGTTTGTTAAATGTAGTTCTACAGTATATGTGGTAATTCTAATATCAGAAGACTATGAAAGTCATCTTTTGTCTGTGGTGTCTGTTATATCTTGTTGTTGCCCAAATCTTCCTGTTTTCTTGGAGGCCTGAGTATTGTTTATCCTTGCTGGTCATTGTCCCTGAAATCCATTAGCGGGCATTCCCTGAAATCAACTATGGATGTTCCTTCCTCCATAGCATGTTTCCTTCTGCCAGGCACCTAAGGGCTCTGCCAATTGGGACAGTACCTCAGATCAGCATCATTTGTACCCAGTGTGCAAATCCCTGATAATGTAGGTCTGAGATCATAACTTCCCAGGGCAGCCTCCTCAGTTGTCAGGAGTGTGAATGTGTGTGGAGGGGTTGGTGAATGAATCTAGTTTTTCCTTACTTAGAGAGTATAATCTCCTCTCTTCAGGTGCCCATTTCTGTGTAAGGTGACTCATAAAACTCTGTATGCTAGGAGGATGGGAGTGCAGGGGTCCCACTGATAACCTTTGTTTGTGTTGTTGCTAAGTGCTTCCTGGGCAGTCAGCTCCATGCTCTCATGGTCTCAACTCTCTGCCTCCGGTTTTCATCAGAAACTAGTCTGAAAGCTCCCCCTGTTTTCAGAGCTTAGGGTTTAGGGTCTTTATATTTTATCTGGCATTTTTCATTGTTTTCAGTAAGAATGTTAATCCAAGTAACAGTACCCACTATAACTAGGAACCTGTTTGTCATGGTCATTGTCACAGCAATGAATTCCAAGTCATCAAATAAGATATGACTTGCTGGGTCGTTACTTGTTGATTCTTTTGCCTAATGAGCAATAACCTATGGTTAATTTGTTAAGATCCAGTATTTATAAATATCTATTTTGCATTCAAATAGAAATTAATTTTCTAATCATATGAAATGCAAGCATACTAATTATTGTAACTACAGCGTCTATTAGAAGAGGTATTATTGCAACTTACTGGCTTCATAAAAATATTTTTTAATGATATAACTCATGAGAAATTTTCTAATTACCTCTTTTTGAGCATGACTGGAATACATGAAGATGAAGATCCAACACCCCAAGGAACATACTGTTGTTTGAAATGTTAGCACACATGATGTTCAAGGCTGCTGATCAATACTATATTGTATGGAAGTGGCTAAATGCATTTGATTCTTGCTGAGCACGAGCTCTTAATTCAGATTTTTCCCAGAGTTTTAGACCATTTAGCTCCTCAGAGTTGAAATCATCAATCTGGCCTATAGGACAGTGAGAAAGCCACGATTTGTTTTGTACAGCGAATTTGTTCCCCACTCATGGTGGTTTCGGAAAATATTATTAATAGCAAAGGGGAAATAAAGATGACTTCTTTATTAGAAAATTCTGGCTGCAGTATACATAATTTGATGAAAATATATTTCTATTTAACTTTAGAAAGTAAGCTAAGCCTTAATACATTTTAACGAAAAACCTATCCTTTTGTAAATTTTTCAGGGAAAGGCTGGAGGCTAATAAATAATGAATAATCTAGCTTTAAACCAGTTATTTGAGTTAATACTTAGTGTTGGTGGGGACATAGAGCAAATGGAACCCAGAAACACTACGCTCAGTGAGAGTGTACATTGGTACACCTACTCTGAAAAACTATTGGGCAGTAGCTACTAAAGCTGAACATATGCATATACTGTGACTCAGCAATTTTACTTCTAAATATATATTCAATAGAAATGAGCTAAAAGTGCTCATAGCTCCAAACTGGAAACCATCCAAATTCCCATCAACAGTCTATGGATGAGTACATTATGATATAGTCAAATGATGGAAAGCTCTTCCACAGAGAAAACAAATGATCTACAGTTACACTTAACGACATGGATAAATCTTAAAAATTTAATGTTGAGCTAAAGTTAACAAATACGAAATACCATGATTCCACTTGCAAAAAAGTTAAGAATAGACAAAACTATTCCAAGTCATGATAGTGGTTACCTTTGGGTGGTGACTGGTAGGTTGTGTCAAAGGGGGCTTCATAATGTTCCTTCATCTAGGTGCTACTTACGTGAGTATGTTCATATTGTGAAAATTATCTGAATTGTATACTTAGGATAAGTACATCTTTAGTTATCTTATTTGTGAATTAAAAATTTACATAAATATGAAAAAAGGTTTAGAACTTGGTAAAGGTAAGCCTATATACAGGTTGATTATCCCTTATCTGAAACACTTGGGACCAGAAGTGCTTCAGATTTTGGATGTTTTGGAGATTTTGAAATATTTGAATTTTTGGAATATTTGCATTATCCTTATTGGTTGAACATCCCTAATCTGAAAATCTGAAATTCTCTAATGAGCATTGCCTCTGAGCGTCATGTTGGTGCTCAAAAAGTTTCAAGCTGGGCATGGTGGCGAGATCCTATAGTCGCAGCTACTTGGGAGGCTGAGGTGGGAGAATAACTGGAGCCTAGGAGTTCAAGGCCAGCTTGGGCAATGTAGCTATAACCCCATTTCTAAAAAAGAGAAAAAAAAGTTTCAAATTTTAGAGCATTTCAGATTTTAGATTTTTGGATTAGGAATGCTCAGCTTGTATATACAGTCATGCCTTGCTTAAAGATGGAGATACATTCTGAAAAATGCCTTGTTTGGTGATTTTTTGGTTGTGCAAACACCATAGAATGTACTTACACCAACCTAGATGGTATAGCCCATTACACACCTAGGCTATATGGTATAGCCTATTGCTTCTAGGCTACAAACCTGTACAGCATGTTACTGCACTGAATATTGTAGGTGATTGTAACAAATGGTGAGTATACCAATAAAAGATGTGGTGAAAATACCGTATAAAGATAAATGTTACACCTTTATAAGATATTTACTATGAATGGAGCTTGCAGGACTGGAGTTGCTTTGAGTGAGTCAGTAGTGAGTGGTGAGTGAATCTGAAGGCCTAGGACATTACTATACACTACTGCAGACATGATCAACACTGTTCACTTAAGTTACATTAACTTTATTTAAAAATATTTTTTGGTCTGGCACAGAGGCTCACATCTTCACCTGTAATCTTAGCACTTTGGGAGACTGAGGCAGGAGAACCACTTGAGACCAGGAGTTCAAAGACCAACCTGGGCAACATAGCGAGACTCTATGCCTACAAAAAATTAAAAAAACAATTAACTGGGCATGGTGATGCATGCCTGTAGAAAAAAAATGTATTTTTCTTTCTTCAGTATTAAATTCTCTGTATCTTACTGTAACATTTTTACTTTATAAATTTCTAAAAACTTTTTGACTCTTTTGTAATGACACTCATTTTAAAACACACGTTGTACAGTTCTACAAAAATATTTTCTTTATGTCCTTATTTGATAAGCTTTTTTCTATTTTTGAAATTTTTAATTAATTTTTTTTATCCTTTCTAAACTTTTTTGTTAAAAATGAAGACAAAAACACACACAGTTAGTCTGGGCTTACTCAAGATCAGGATCATCAAGACATTGTCAGTAAGCAATAGGAATTTTTCAGCTCCATCATAATCTTAAGGGACCGTCATCGTACATGTGCTCTGTTGCTGACCGAAGCGTCATTGTGCCATGCATGACTGTATATATATATTTAAAGTTAACTGATATGAATAAGCATCTCTATCTTTTATTGGTGTGGATTCATATTCTATATTAGCTTTCTGTTGCTGCTGTAACAAATCACCACAAGCTTATTGGTTTAAAACAACACAAATTTATTATCTTACAGTTCTGGAGAGTCAGAAGCTTAAAATGAGTTTTGGGGCTAAAATGAAGGTGTCAGTATGGCTGTGTTCCTTCCAGAGGCTCTAAGGGAAGGATCTCCTTCCTTGCCTTTTCCAACTTCTTGAGGCCACCTGGATTCTTAGGCTTGTGGCCCCTTATTCCATCTTCAAAGCCAGCAGAGCAGCATCTTCAAATCTTTCTCTAACCTCTGCTTTTATTGTTACATCTTCTCTGACTCTGACCATCCTGTCACCCTTTAAGGATCCTTATTATTATATTGGACCCACCTGAATAATCCAAGATAACTCTCTCCTCTCAAGATCCTTAACCTCATCTGCAAATTCCCTTTTGCTATGTAAATAACAAATTTGAAGGTTCTGGAGATCAGGACTATAGGGACCAGCCCCACAGGGTCGGTGGGTTTTTCTTGCCGTGTGTGGAGGCAAGAGATTGTAGAAATAAAGACATAAGACAAAGAGATAAAAGACAGCTGGGCCCAGTGGACCACTACCACCAAGATGCGGAGACCAGTAATGGCCCCGAATGTCTGGCTGTGCTGTTATTTATTGGATACAAAGCAAAAGGGGCAGGGTAAAGAGTGTGAGTCATTTCCAATGATAGGTAAGGTCACGTGGGTCACGTGTCCACTGGACAGGGGGCCCTTCCCTGCCTGGCAGCCAAGGCAGAGAGAGAGAGGGAGAGAGAGAGACAGCTTACACCATTATTTCTGCATATCAGAAACTTTTAGTACTTTCACTAATTTTGCTACTGTTATCTAAAAGGCAGAGCCAGGTGTACAGGATGGAACATGAAGGTGGACTAGGAGCGTGACCACTGAAGCATAGCACCACAGGGAGATGGTTAGGCCTCTGGATAACTGCGGGTGGGCCTGACTCATGTCAGGCCTTCCACAAGAGGTGGAGGAGTAGAGTCTTTTCTAAACTCCCCCGGGGAAAGGGAGATTGCCTTTCCCGTTCCGCTAAGTAGTGGGTGTTTTTCCTTGACACTGAGGCTACTGCTAGACCACGGTCCGCTTGGCAGCGGGCGTCTTCCCAGACACTGGCGTTACCGCTAGACCAAGGAGCCCTCTGGTGGCCCTGTCCGGGTATAACAGAAGGCTCACACTCTTGTCTTCTGGTCACTTCTCACTATGTCCCCTCAGCTCCTATCTCTGTATGGCCTGGTTTTTCCTAGGTTATGATTATAGAGCGAGGATTATTATAATATTGGAATAAAGAGTAATTGCTACAAACTAATGATTAATGGTATTCATACGTAATCATGTCTATGGTCTAGATCTAGTATAACTCTTGTTGTTTTATATATTTTATTATACTGGAACAGCTCGTGGCCTCGGTCTCTTGCCTCGGCACCTGGATGGCTTGCCGCCCACACAGGACATGGCCATCTTTGGGCGGGCATCATTCAGTCTACCACAGATTCCTGTTTTTATCAATGACTTCATTACTATATTATTTTGGTGCTGATATTTTCCAGATTTGGCTAGTGTAAGCCTTTTCAGGTTGGCTTCTTTCAAGTGTCTTTGTGACATACTCTATTCTTTTTTGAATGCTACCTCATTTTATGTTACAACAAAATATTTTTTCCTCAGTTTGTTACTACTCTGCCCTAGCTATGAAATTAGTCATTTCTCTGAGGAGCTCCGGTTTTCTTTATTGGGAAATGGCATTAGAGACCAAGATGGGGCACGAAGTGTGCTCTTCTCTTCTGGGACACCTTAGCTTCTAGCCCTTCCAAGAAACAGTTAGGAAATATAAGCATGTATATGCATTGTGATGGTCCGAATGTATCCTCAAACTTCATATATTGAAACTTAATCCCCAATGTCATACTATTAAGAGGTGGGGACTTCAGGAGATGATTAGATCATGAGGGTTCCCCTCTCATGAATGGAATTAGTGTCCTTTAAAAGAACTTGAGGGAGTTGGTTTGGCCTTTGTACTTCTTCTGCCATGTGAGGACACAGCTAAAGGATGCCATCTTGGAAGCAGCCCTCACAAGACATTGAACCTGCTGGCACCGTGATCTTGGACTTCCCAGCCTCCTAAACTGTGAGAAACACATTTCTATTATTAAATTATGCAGTGTAAGGCATTTGTTATAGCAGCCTGAGTAGACTAACACATATGCGTATGAACACACATACATACCATATAGTCACAGACGGTTTGGCCCTCCATATCCACAGGTTCCACATCCTTGGATTCAACCAACAGCAGATAAAACATATTTGAAAAAAGATGAAAAATGATAATACAACAATAAAAATAATACAAATTTAAAAAATAGAGTATAACAACTATTTAGCTGGCACTTACATTGCATTAGATATTATAAGTCACCTAGAGATGATTTAAGGTATATGGGTGGTTGTGTGTAGTTTATATGCAAATACTAATGCTATTTTATATAAGGGACTTAAGGATCACTGGATTTTGGTATAGGGAAAGGGATTCTGGAACCAATCTCTCTCAGATACTGAGGCCCAACTATACTCAGCATTCCTTATGTGAACCTAGACTTCTCATCCCCCAGGTCAGATTGTCTGCCCTATCCCATCCTCCTTTTCTCTCTAGGCCATGTTCAAAACTAACTTCTGTGAGACTCCCCTCTACCCATCCAACAGAGTATGTCCCTCCCTGCTCTGGGGTCCATAGCTTTCTATACCTCCCTCCATAACAGTCCCTACGATGCTCCTACTCAATTATGTGTGGACACATTGTTCTGTCCCTGGAGCCAGTCCCCTGTGGATACTGAGGGACGGCTATACGTACTTACATACACGTGCCTATCTGCACACACATACATATTTGAAATCATGAGTTCACACTGCTATCTTTGTATCCAGTCCCCTACACAGTTCTTTCTTGCCATTGCCCGTTCTGTATTTGTGTGTCCCTTTGTGGAAGTTTTGGCTTCCAGCATCATCAGCACATTTTCTCATTTGCTAATCCTGTAATAAATTGTTATGGAATTGCTTCACTGAAACCAGTATCAAAACAAACCAAATGAGGTCACGATTTGTTTGCAGAATTCTTTGCCTTCCCAACCTCTTGTCATCTCCAAGCAACACTGGGAGTATATAGTCAATACTGTGTTCATAAGGTACTTGGATTAGCTCCCTTCCCCACTCCTAGTGTGGTTATAATATTCGTTTGAAGTACAGTTGATTTGTCTCCATTTGCTTTCAATTTTAGGTTTTCTTTTTCTCCTTCCTCTTTTGTTGCTTCTAATTTTTAAAATATGTAGAGCATGAATGTGCTTCCAAAAGAGTTAAAACTATAGAAAAAGATATATTCAGAGCAGTGTCACTCCCTTCCCTGAAATATATATCCCTCCTACTCCATTGCCATTCCATCATACTCTCATTACTCTTGTAGATAAACAGCTTCATTGTTTTCTGGTTTGTCCTTTTAATATTTCTTTCTGTAGAGTGGGCATGTGTTTTCTTATTTTTCCTTCTTATACTGAATGTAACATACTATATATGTTCTTTTGCATTTTGCCTTTTCATTTAATAATGAGTGTTAGAAATTACTCCATATCAGTTCTTAGAGATTTTTCTCACTCTTTATTAAGACAAGTTTAGTATTCCACCAATGTTTGGCCCACTAGGTAGTTGCTAATATTTGTAATTATAAGCAATAAATAACCTTGTTCATATTTAGTTTCCTATTGTTGTAGGTGTATCTTCAGGGTAAATTGCGATTTACTGGTTTAATCGCTAGAAGAGTGATTTTGGGATCAAAGAGTAAATGCACTTGTACTTCTGTTAGATACTGCCAGAATCCCTTATATAGGCTTTTACCATTTTTCTTTCTCACCAGCAATGCATGAGAATGCTAGTTTCGACACAGTCTTCCCAATAGTGTGTTACCAACCTAATGTGGCCATGGGAATTCCTTAACATTTTTATAGCTGTTTAATATTGTAAAGAAGATTTAAACAAAGCATCATCTTGGGCAACAATAACTTTAAGAACAAGTAAAATAAGGTTTAGTGATGCAAGTGTTATTTATGAATTTCCAATGCATTTACTATTATTTAGCTTAAATGTCCCAGAGCTGTCTTAGCATTCCTAAGTCACAGACATTGATTTCATTTGGGACATACCATTGAGAATCATTAACATGCAGAGAAACTGACATACACAGAAGCTAATGTGCATATGTATTCACACATTTTTAAAAAAATGGGTGGGGGTCCTAGTTTTTGAGCAACGAAATAAAAGTCACCAGACTTAGGAATTTCCATTTTCAAAAAGTTCAGTAGGTCTCTGCTTTCAGAGCACATTGTCAAATGAACTTTAGCACAAGTGAATGTCTTTAAGAAATCAATATTACTAGTATTAATTATTAAAATTCCTTGGATTATTCCATATATTATCCCTACACTAAAATAAATAATGACTGATAGAATTTTATAATAGAGATCACTGGTACAGAGGAGCTTGATTAGGGTGCAATGGTATTTATTTTAATACCATTAAATATATATTATATATGTCATAAAATATGTAGCATATAGTAGTATATATAAATATATAACGTATATGTATAAATTCTGTGGAAGATTCTGGAAGGGCAGAACATTGGTGAGCAAATTATCCAACTCCACAGCAGCAAAAAGGTACTCATTGTCTATTGTCTCAATGATTCAGTCTCTATTTTAATAAGGTGACCCCGTACCAGTGAGCAAAGCCATGCCCACTCAAAGGTTTAGAACATGTTTGCTGTCATATACTGTGTCAGATTGTGTCGTCGTGGTTTTCTCACTATGAATTAGAAGTGATTTAATGGGCCGGCGCGGTGGCTCACGCCTGTAATCCCAGCACTTTGGGAGGCCGAGGCGGGCAGATCACGAGGTCAGGAGATCGAGACGATCCTGGCTAACACGGTGAAACTCCGTCTCTACTAAAAATACAAAAAATTAGCCGGGGGCGGTGGTGGGCGCCTGTAGTCCCAGCCACTTGGGAGGCTGAGGCAGGAGAATGGCGTGAACCCAGGAGGCAGAGCTTGCAGTGAGCTGAGATCGCACTACTGCACTCCAGCCTGGGTGAAAGAGCGAGACTCAGTCTCAAAAAAAAAAAAAAAAAAAAAAAAAAGAAGTGATTTGATGAAGATAATTTTTAGGGCTTTGTCCTTTTTTGTTGTTGTTCTTTATTGTCTTGCTGCATTGTTGCTGTTTGGTGTTGGGTTGTCATTAAAGCGTACAATTTTAATTTGATTTCTCAAAATGCAGATTGAGGTTCATCATGTATCAGACTGCACTCTCCAAACATCCTGTAACATGATTAATCAATAAGTGTAGTATTAACTCATTCTTTGTGTTGGTGTGTTAACGGGTTTGAAATTTCTCAGGTCCTAAGACAATTTAGCCACTACTTTAGATAAAAATCAATGGATGTTAAAGGAAATAAATAAATAGATAATACTGTTTAAAATGGATATTTGGAAGAGAGAATTTCCCATCTTTGGGGGAGGTATTGTTAGTGGTGGCAAATCCGTATGGGTCTGCCACAGTTTCAGTTCTTGCCTCCTCAGAAGAAAGAATTTGACTCGGGGGCATAGGCAGACTCAAGGCAAGTTTTAGAGCAGGAGTGAAAGTTTATTTAAAAGTTTTATAGCAGGAACAAAAGGAAGTAAAGTACAGTTGGAAGAGGGCCAAGTGGGCAACTTGAGAGACTCAAGTTTGTGGTTTGACCTTGGACTTGGGGCTTTATATGTTGGCATGCTTCCAGGGTCTGCATCTCTTTCCCCCTGATGCTTCCCTTGGGGTGGGTTGTTCGTATGTGCAGGGGCCTCCAGAACTTGGCAGGGGCTGCATGTGCACTGTGTTTACTGGAGTTATACACATGCTCACTTGAGGCAGTTCTTCCTTTACCACTAGAATGTTCCTAGAAGGTCATATACCAAACTCTGCCATTTTGCCTCTTAGTGCACATGTTGAGCCCAGTCACCTAACTCCTTAGATCTTACGAGGAAGCTTCTGATCACCAGTTTCAGGTGTTTCTATCTAGGGAGACTGCCTTTCCCTAGCACTGACTGTGACCAATAATTTTAGAGAGACAGTTAACAACCGCCTATCACCTGATGTTGCCTGATGTTCCTGGTTGGGGTGGGGTGCCCTCTCCTGCCCTGCTCATGTCTGCCTGACTACCTGCTATAACATTATGAGCTTGGATTATGAGGGAAGTACCCCCCTTTTGCATATAGGTGCTCTGTCCTGGAAAGGTGGTCTGGTTGAAGACAGAAAAGCAGTTACCTGGAAACATATGCCTGGCCTTTCTATAACTATGAGGCCATGGATGGTCTGTATTGAGCTTCTCTTTCTTTTGTAGGTAGGACTGGGGAGTGGCGTAGAACCCTGGATGAAGAAAGGGGATGGGGGTAGCAGAGTAGCTAAAATTTGTCTGCATAAGAAATAAAAATGTATTGGTTGGTGGGAGAGCTAAGAAAAGAGGAAAGGAGGCAGAAACAAAGAGGAGGGCTGCCTAGAAGCCAAAAAGTTAGGCAGCAGAATAGGAGCCCAGAGCTTGTGAAGGAAGAAGGCCTGTGAGAAAAGTTTTTTTTTTCTTTTTTAAAAATTATTATTATTTTTTAATTTTATTATTATTATACTTTAGGGTACATGTGCACAATGTGCAGGTTAGTTACATATGTATACATGTGCCATGCTGGTGTGCTGCACCCATTAACTCGTCATTTAGCATTAGGTATATCTCCTAAAGCTATCCCTCCCCACTCCCCCTACCCCACAACAGTCCCCGGAGTGTGATGTTCCCCTTCCTGTGTCCATGTGTTCTCATTGTTCAGTTCCCACCTATGAGTGAGAATATGCGGTGTTTGGTTTTTTGTTCTTGCGATAGTTTACTGAGAATGATGATTTCCAATTTCATCCATGTCCCTACAAAGGACATGAACTCATCATTTTTTATGGCTGCATAGTATTCCATGGTGTATATGTGCCACATTTTCTTAATCCAGTCTATCATTGTTGGACATTTGGGTTGGTTCCAAGTCTTTGCTATTGTGAATAGTGCCGCAGTAAACATACGTGTGCATGTGTCTTTATAGCAGCATGATTTATAATCCTTTGGGTATATACCCAGTAATGGGATGGCTGGGTCAAATGGTATTTCTAGTTCTAGATCCCTGAGGAATCGCCACACTGACTTCCACAATGGTTGAACTAGTTTACAGTCCCACCAACAGTGTAAAAGTGTTCCTATTTCTCCACCTCCTCTCCAGCACCTGTTGTTTCCTGACTTTTTAATGATCACCATTCTAACTGGTGTGAGATGGTATCTCATTGTGGTATTGATTTGCATTTCTCTGATAGCCAGTGATGGTGAGCATTTTTTCATGTGTGTTTTAGCTGCATAAATGTCTTCTTTTGAGAAGTGTGTATTCATGTCCTTTGCCCACTTTTTGATGGGGTTGTTTGTTTTTTTCTTGTAAATTTGTTTGAGTTCATTGTAGATGCTGGATATTAGCCCTTTGTCAGATGAGTAGGTTGCGAAAATTTTCTCCCATTTTGTAGGTTGCCTGTCCAGTCTGATGGTAGTTTCTTTTGCTGTGCAGAGAAAAGTTAAAGTTGCAAGTGATTGAAGATGATTAAAAACAGATATACTTCAATTTTAAATTGTTGGTGTTGCTGCTATAAACCCTCCATTACTCCAGACTCTCAATAAAGTCTGGTATACATACCAAGAATTTGTGAGTCTTCTAAATTTAATTATTAAAAAGGGGCTATATTCTATGACTTACACTGGTGGGTAGAAATCAACAAAGACCAACCAAATGAGAACAAACAGGTTGTTTTTTCAGAGTTGCTATGGCAAAGAAGTTGGCCAACATCACTAGCATTTGGCAGAGACTTAAAGGCAAGGAGGGGAGTGGGAGAAGGAAGACTTCAGGTGTGCCCTGATTGGAGGCTATTTGGCAGGGGAAACTGGAAGTGGGCTCATTAGAAGCAGGACATCCTATGTGATTGGTTCGGGGAACATTTTTGGCTTTCTCTAGTCGGCCCTAAGTTGGAAGAGTACAAAAAATACTGAAGCTGACAGTTGTTGACTAAATCCTAACCATCCCAGGCTAATGGCTACAGAGGTTGTGGTTTTGGCTTCCCTACTGGTTCCTGTAGAGGTTGTGGGTTAGAGTTCTATTGTCTTATATAGTCTGGCTACCACCAGTATATTCAGGCTTCCAGAAGCAAATAGCAGTTAGGAGAAGGTAAAAAGCAGATAAGTGAGGTAGAAACTCAGAGTTGGCAGTGAATCATGGGAAAGTAAATAAACCTCTGCAAATTCCCAGAAATCTTGGAAAGGACACTAAATTGCTTAATAGCACACAGGGCTGACGGTTTTATTTGAAACTCGAAGTTTAGGGTGACCTCAGCTGATAACTAGGATACAAAAACAAATCAGATTTTGTTTTGTTTTGTTCTAAAGAAATTGACATTCTGTACCACAAACAAATACTTTTATAAGTTCAAATCTTTTAAAAAATACCTTATTTATACAAAAATAGTATGAATAGAGTTATAGCAGTGATGTAAAAAGTGGCCCCAAGAAAACTTTTTAGCTATTTGGTTTACTCATATATTCTTAGTAAGTACCTTTGATAAACCATCTATTTGTTTGTTTATTCATTTTTTAGGGATGGGGGTTCCACTATGTGGCTCAGGCTGGTCTCAAACTCCTGGGCTCAAGCGATTCTCCCACCTCGGCCTCCTAAGTAGCTGAGGCTACAGGTGTGAGCCACCATGCTTGGCTATACCATCTTTGAGAAAGTAGTGAGCCAGATTCAGGTCCTACTCTGAATGGCTCCTCTGTGGTGTCAGGGGAGGGGGTGGGATGAGGATGGAGGGGATGACCAATATTGGAGCACAGTTTGAAGAGTGCTTTATTGGTGTTGTACACCGTGCATGCTGGGAGCCCTATTTAGTCTGACAGAGTCTGGAGATGATCTTAAGAGGAGGAAGTTCTTGACGTAAGTCTTGAAGGCAAGTAGATGTTAACTTCCGGGTGGGGAGTGGGTGTTGTAGGCAGAAAGAATCATGTTTGCGTCCACCTCCCTTCAACTTAGCTTCGGGTTGAGAGTCCACCCATTCCCCCAGCCCTTGTGGGAGAGATGTTTAAGAAAGGAGCCTTGCCTGGGCTGTCCCAGCCTCAACATGCACTTGGGAGCTGGTGGGAAGGATGGTTTACCTGTCAAGTACATTATCAGGAATATAGCCTTCAGGGGTGTTTGGTTAGCATTTGAAACACCCTGATCAGGAGTTCTTATTTGGAAGTGTCTTTATCTTGATGACCCTTTTGTTAGAAAGATGTTTTTCCTTTGGTGAAATTAGTCTTTTTTCAAGACATGGGGATTGGCTAGAAATATTGTACAGGTGCCTCACCCTTATATCCTTATATGGGAAGGCACAGGAATCTAGTCAACCCAGCAGAGTGGTTTTCTTGACATTGGACACTGATTTGTTCATAACTTTATTTCATTGAGTTTCTGCTGCCGCATTCTGACTACACTTAAGGAAATTTAACCTTGTGCCTTAAAGATCTTTGTATCTTGGAAGCCTTTGGTAGTCTGATGAGGCCTATTGATGCATTCTCAGAATGATGATTTTATTATTTATTATTTAAATTTGTTTAATTAATTTTTTTTTTTTTCTTGAGATGGAGTCTCTCTTCATCGCCAGACTGGAGTGCAGTGGTGTGATCTTGGCACACGGCAACCTCTGCTTCCTGGGTTCAAGTGATTCTCCTGCTTCAGCCTCCTGAGTAGCTGGGACTACAGGCGTGCGCCACCATACCCAGCTAATTTTTGTATTTTTAGTAGATACGGGGTTTCACCATGTTGGCCAGGATGGTCTTGATCTCTTGACCTCGTGATCTGCCCACCTTGGCCTCCCAAAGTGCTGGGATTACAGGCATGAACCACTACGCCCAGCCTAAATAATTTTTTTAGACAGAGTCTTTTGTCGCCCAGGCTGGAGTGCAGTGGTGCACTCATAGCTCACTGTAACCTCGAATTCCTGGGCTCAAGCTATCCTCCCACCTCACACTCCCAAAGTGCTGGGATTATAGGCATGAGCCACTGTGCCTAGCCTCAGAATGATGTTTTTAAATGCAGAAAATAAATAAAATGCATACAGTTCTTTAGAAAACTGTATGTATTGAAATATAAAAATATTTTTTTAAAAAGAACACATTTTTCCTGATGCTGGGCCCAGGTAGTCATACTTAACTGTGTTTCCAAGAGCTCCTTTCTGTTCTTGCCCAGCTCTGCCACCTCACTTTGAGTACCCTTGGAGCCGTTCTCTCTTATTTTACAGTAGTCCTCCTCTGTGAGTGTGACCTCCAGGGATTTGGGGCCAGAGGCTGAGGCTAGAACTTTTCCTATGTCATCTTGAGCAAATCTTTTCTTTTAATTTCAAGTTATTTTCTTATCTTTGTCTGGTATCCTCTGGATTATTATCTAGATGACTTTTAATTTTCATCTGTACGTTTTCAAATTAATGTAAAAGTAAGTTACTCTAAATATCTTACACACACACACACATAAAAGACCCAAGTCATCAAATTAGAGGCTCTAATTTAGGCCTCTAAATCTAACTCTTCGTAACTATTTGTTTCTGGTGATTAAACACAAAGGCAACAGCAATGACAATAACACGTACTTCCTTCCTCTTCCAAGAAACCCTGGCTTTTCTACATATCCCTATTTATGTACTGTTGGTTATTTTATATTTGTGTATATACATATTTATAAATTGAGTCTTTTTTTCCTAGCCCTTAGTAGCTATTAAGTTTTGATAGTGGCAGTGACAAAATCCCTTTATCTACATACTGTGTCAGCTCATCTCAATAGTTACTTTCATGTTTGTTTGCTTTTTCTTTGTTGTATGGTTGGTTGTGATGATTTCCAAGCTGTTTACACGTTGGTCTAGAACCCAGAAGTCCATCAATGACTATAGTACCTGTAAATATGTTCATATACATATACACATACACATATATGCAGATATACATTTATATCCATATATATATTCTTGCTAAGATCACGATATTCCTGTTGTAAATTAAATATTTTTTGAATTATGTTATTCAATTGGTTGTTGTAGGTACATATAAATGTTACTGACCATGGTCCTTGGGCTCTCAGTGCAATAGAAATTGACATGAGGCCAAAAGAGTTTTCCCATACAAGGCTTCACTGGAGCTTATGCCCGGGCATAAAGGAAGCATCATGAGAGAGAGAGAGAATTCCCAGACAGACTCTCTGAAGAGCTGGTTGGAAATTTTTATTAGTCAAAACATACGAATTGATAAATAGGATAGGGTATGCAGTCTGGGCTGGGCAAAGAATGTGAAGGGTAGGTATGCAGGTCAGCACAACTGGTTGCGATGTTATCTTGAGAAATGGGCCACCTGGTGGTCTGGCCAATGGCAACAAGGCTGCCATTCCTTCCTGTGGTGGAACACTCTACAATCTTGGTTTATTTTGGATCTCCTAAGGACAGTTCTTGGAATGCCTTAAGTAAAAGGCATGGTTAAACATTATGGGAGCATAGAAGAACAACAGAGTATGACTAAAGCCTTGGGATTAGTGGGTAAGACATCAGTGAGGTAGTGGTATGGGTTTTGTGATCAGTGGGAATGTATTAAAGAATGCTCTGGTGAGGGTGAGCTGAAGCCAAGCCCCATTGCTACTCTGTCTCATTCCCTGCTGAGAAACTTCACCTTCTTTATGCTTAAGGAGAAAGGGCCGAAGATCTCATCTTCAGAAGCTACTTCCTGCTGAACAAGTTATTGTCCTTGCCTAACCTTTTAGGGCAAGCAGTCTTTACAGGATTTATAATCACCTCAAAGGTAGATCAGAGAAAGGAAAATTCAAGACAGGAAGTCAGAAGTTGTTCATGGAGGGGAAAATAATAAATGGCAAAGGTCACACAAATATAAAACCAGAAAGTACTATTCCCTGTGCCAGGTATTGAACCCAGGCAGCCATTGTGAAAAGGCAAAGCCTTAGCTACTGAGCTACAGCATGAGGCAGTTGTCATTGGTCTTCCCAGAAGGAAACTAGAGTAGCCATTTTCAAGCTTGCTAGGAATTTCAGCTGCTCAAGATAATTTGTAAGGTTAGCCACGACATTCTTATGCATCCTTCTTTTAATTTAAACCTTTTAAAAAATTGTTGAGAATAAGAAAAGTGCTTTTCTTTTAATGATGAAATTAGTTTCAATAGCTACTCAATCCAAAAGCCCTTTAAGGCTCAGATGGTAATTTTTCAGGTTTTTATAATATAAGCAAATGGTATTTCTAGAGAGGGGGTAGAGGAGGCATCTCCATGGTCCCCAAGAATTTACTCTCAGGAATAGATTTAAGATAGCAAAAGATGACAAAAGCCCCTTGGGGTGGGACCTTTTAAGACAGAACTCATCCCCAAGTGCTTGACACGTTTGGGACAAAGAACGTGTGCTTATGTGTCTCAGTCTCCAGGTCCTTTCAGACTGGCTACCTGACATGAGCCTCGGAATTCCCACCTTCTGGATGCTAGATAGCAAGAGAGGGTACCCCACCATGGTCATAAGGTCAAGCTCTCAAAGACATAAAATAAGATGAAAGGGAAACCTCGTCCAGTTTTTGTTTCAAGGACCTGCAGCAACGTTTGTAACTGACAAGTCTGCCAAACAGCAGGCTTATAGGGGTCATAGACCTTGAGACAAACAATTATCTTTACCATTTCACTCAACTGGTGTGCACAGAGAAGCAGGTCAGAAGCCTGGCTGGTAAGAAATCCTTAACCTTTTGCTCGCATGCCAGATTTCTGGGTTGCCTTTCTGTGTAGCTTCCGTAAGAGCAAAGCAGCTGTTGATGACTCTTCTCACTGCAGCACAGCTGTGGGGGCCAAGCTGCATTACAAGAGAAAGTCATCTTTTTTCCATTTTTTGGTGGAAGCGTAGGTAAATCCTCTTCTCTTTGCAAGAAGTCATCCAACAGTCTGCATGGGGCAATCAGATGTCAAGTTAAACACACAAGAAGGAAAAATGGATCAGGACGTGAGTGACGCAAACTGTGGACCCACGTGCTATCAGTCCTCTCTTCACAAAGATAGCACCCAGGGTCTGTAGGCTTGCATGCTTGAATAGACAGACGACAAAGTCCACAGCCTTCCCTTTCCCACAAGGCGTGGCAAAGGGAGGGAATGTACTTAAAGAATATTACAGATTCCAGTGCCAGACAGAGTTTCCTACCAGCTGAACTGAATGACTGTTTTTGCCTATGCTGCGTGGGTGTCTATTGAGGTTGAACCAGTGCCACATGGGTGTCTACTGAGGCTGAATCAGTGCCACACGGGTGTCTTCAGACTGAGTCAATTAAGTTAATGAAAAGCGAAGGAAGGGAAGGAAAAAGGAAGAAGAAAGAAAAAGAAAGACCCAACAAATAGAAGACCAGGAGGGAAGGAAAAGCATTGTCTGGGGTGGGTTGTGAGGGGTCACAGGGAGGCTGGAGGAAAAACTCACCAGTTGTAGCAGTGCTGAATCAAAACTTCAGGTGGCCTTCCATCAGTCACGGAGGGGTCACGTCCAGCTGTCCTGCTGGCTCACATGCCTCCCTCCACAGAGGAGAAAAAAGCACCCCATGTCTGGTGATCGCAGACAAGCCCTGAATGAATATGTTACTGACCATGAGTTCTTGGGCTCTCAATGCAATAGGACATGAGGCCGACAGAGTTCTCCCAGACGAGGCTTCATTGGAGCCTCCTGAGGTGGTACACTCCACAACTTTGGTTTGATAGTTTGGGTCTCGTAAGGCCAGTTCCTGGAATTCTTTAAGTAAAAGCCACGGTTAAACATTTTGAGAGCTCAGTGGAACAATATAGCATGACTAAAGCCTTGGGGTTAGCGGGTATGGCATCAGTGAGGTACTGGTGTGGGTTTTGTGATCACTGGGAATGTATGAAAGAATGCTGTAGCAGGGATGAGCTGGAGCCAAGCCTCATTCCTACTCTGTCTCATAAATACTGTTGATTTTTCTGTATTCATCTTCTGACAAGCTTGCTTTTTTGGCCATGTTTATTCGTTTTTAAATTTCTAGAGATGGGCACTTAGATCGTTTGTTTCAGTCTTACTCCTCTCCTGATATACACTATTCAACCTTTAAGATAGCTGTTGATCATGTTGGTAGTATTGATAGCAGTATATATTTCTTTCCTTTGCATAGTTTTTTCTTTAGACATAACTGGAAGTTTGGAGTTCTCAAAGTACCTTGGTGAAGCATGATATCTGTGCTTTCAGTGATGTGACATCACTTAGTGGAAGAGGGTGAAGAAAACACCCCTGGTTCTTAGGGTCCTTGTAAAAATATTGAGATATACTGTCACATATAAATTTCCTATGTCAAGTGGAGATAGAATATGTTAATACTGATGGGCCACCAGCCACATATGGAGATTCTTGCCTGTGCAGGGCGTTGTTTTGTTGGTATGGACGGCAAGATGTCGTTTGGCTGTGCACAGATTCTCCTGCTCTTTTATCAGTATAGAGAGAACAAGTACACAAACAATGGGAATTTTGTTTATTGTCACTAAAATAGTTCATCAAATGAAACAGTAGTTTTCATCATTAGACTGGAGTAGGGATTCTTTCTTTTTTGGTATTTTGGAGGAAAATACTTGTTTTTTGGGGTTAAGTTTTAAACCATATTTGATTGTTCTCTGATACAACTAGGAACTCACAGGGGTGGTTTGTATAGTGGATTTACATCTTTGTGGTCTATTTCTAAAAATAACCAAGACGAACTTGTCATAGTTATTTGATGTATTTGATAAAACATGGGGACTATTGTGTCTTTTTTTTCCCAACATTTTGATTGTTGTTTAGGTTAAACTTGATGTAATGATCACCAGCTTATACATACTAATTTGATGGTTTAATGCCAACCTGTGCCAACTAGATTTTGCATTATATTCTAAAGTTCCTTTCATAGACCCTGAAGGTTTTGATAAATTACTGTTTTGATTTTCATAATGTCATTTTGACCTGAGGACTTTTTTAGATTTAAATGAGCTTGGTGGTTTATTAAATGTCATGGAGAGTTTAAATCCAGGATAAACTTAGCCGTTGCTTTTTTTCACTCCTTTGATTAGGGATTCTGTCTGTGGAAAAAATATAGATAGTGGTTGATATCAGTTTTGTGTTCATAGAGATTCTGAGTCTTTTACATGCTTTCTTTTAGGTTGTTGACTATATACTGCCACCCTTGGTGTCCTTGGTTCAAAGCCAAAATGGTAAGTGTGATGACACCAGCAAGAATTGCATCAGTTACACATTCTATTTTCATTCTGTCTCCATGGAGTCACATTCTTGGCATTTTTTTTTTCTTTCAAGTGGAGTGGAGACTCTTTAGCTTGCGGTTGCTCTCAGAAACCACATCTCTACTCGTGAACCAGGAGTTTGGGGATGGCAAGGAGAAGGCCAGTGTTGATTCTGACAGCAATCTTCTGGCTCTCATTCGAGATGTCTTACTTCCCCAGTAAGTATCATGCAGTTGTATTCATGCAGAGAAGTGTAGGCTATCCAGGAAGCTTCTGTCAAACTAGGTTCAGTGATGGGGTTGGGGTCTTGATGTCCTTATGTTTATACACATATGCTTGTGTACTCATTATAAAAAAAGTTTAGACAGGTGCGGTAACTGTTAGACTGCAGAAGACTCAGAAGGTCTCAGTTCATCTTTGAGGACATCCATTTAAAGCTTAATCTGTTTTTTGCCAGAAACATGATTTTGAAGTTATGCAGATTTAAACGTGTTCATGGCTCAAGGGGTGAGGGTTATGATTCAAGGTCTATATTACACGACTACTGGAACATGAAATTGAGACTTCTCCTGGCTCTACTCAGAAATAATAGAGATAGAGGTAATCCCCTTCTCCAAACTCTTGGAATAGAACTTAGGTTTAGTTCTGAGCAGGACTTTCTCAGGGGTTGGGTGGAGGTGGCGGAACAGGTAATGAGTATGGAGAAAGGGTTTTTGTATTCTTTTACTTCATTGCTCATAAAGCAAACACACAGCAGGATGACTACTGAGGGCACCTAATGCAAACATGCAAAACCCTAAAATCTCACCTTATAGTTGAGGGGACACTGTCAATTTTATCAAAGCTAGTTTCAAAAAGTATATGCCATATGTCAATATTAAAGAAGATTTTGTGAAATCAAACAAATGCTAGATGGTGTATCATGCATTAATATGCCTACCTGATCATGGCTTTCTCCAGGGCCTGGGCCGCAGTCTGGGTCAGTTTGGCAGGTTTATAAGAATGACAGCCTGAGTTAATGCTTCCCTCTATTGTTTCAACTTCTTAAGACCCACTGTTCTCATTTAAAAAAAATTAATGATCATAGTAAAGAAATCAGATGTAATTACATTCTGATTTTGGCCAATGTTAAGAGTTTGAACTCTCTCATATAATATTAGGTTCACATTAAAGAAAACCCAAATAACTGAAATTGCCAGTTGCTGTAGATGAAGCACTCAACCACTCCAGTTGGTTGAGGAAGGTACCTTTTACTAAGTGTGTGGGTGTTCTGTGTCGACCCTTTGGCTCTCTGGGGGAGCCTGTCTTGACTGACTGGAGCTTGATTTCTAGGCCAGCCTCTTGTTTCTTTTTTCCTATTTACACTTCTGCAGCTGGTTTCAGGGACAGCTCTGATAATTAATATGTACTGTAAGAATACTTTTAATGCCCAAAGTAAGACAATTGTTTGAAACTTTGTCATGTGGAGTTTGCTCAGTGATAAACTGTCAGTAGGTACCTTTTCAGTTACATTTGTTATATATGAGTGTATGTCTGTGATCTATACTTATGTGAATTCAATAAAAGATTATACCCTTCTTTAATGGGATTAATGTTTTTAGTGCATTTTATGCTTCTAAAAGTATTCATATATAGTTATATGCATCTTTCTGACAAGAAAATTCCTTAAATGTAGTTTTTGTACAAAATATATTTAAAGGATGTGCTTTGAGAGCTGGGTTCAGTGGCTCGTGCCTGTAGTCCCAGGTATTTGGGAAGATGAGACTGGAAGATTGTCTGAGCTCAGGGGTTTGAGGCCAGCTTGGGCAGCATAGCAAGGCTCTGTCTCTCAAGAAAAAAACAAAAACAAAAAGAAAATATGTGCTTTGGATATCTGCAATGTGAAAACTTGTAGAGAACATTTTTCAGGACCTGAGATGTCTCCTCCACACAGTAGGGATCAGATTTACTCCAACAGGACTTCACAGTTTAGTAATAGCTTTTTTAAAGCTCTGTTAATCTGAAACCACATTTCTGTATATCTGAAGTCTGCCCAGTTTTGGAACAGTTTGTGAAATAAAAAGTGTTAACTCAGTGATCCTGTGTTACTCATTTGAGCTGGAATAAATATTTCCTTTAGTATGAGTCTTTACTTTTTCCAGAGATGAGGAATTAAAGAGGAAAATGTAAATGTAAACCACATGGCAGTTCAATAACATAAATAATGTAGATGAGTTCAAGCTTGTATTACACAACTTGAAATGCACTTCAGATAATGGTATACAATTTATTTGGATGTGATATGGAATGTTTTCAAACCTTTCAGACTGATTCTGTTGTAGCGTATAAGCCTTGAGTCTGCATTTCAGTCTCCAAGCCTTAGTTTTCTCATCTGTAGAACGGGGATAATAGTACCTACCTTAGAAGATAATCCTAAAGATTAAATAGGATGCTTCTTTTGAAACGGTACAGTGTGTGGCAAATAGTACCCTCTTGACAAGTGTTTAGCACCGTGACTGTTATTGTTAGGCTCATTATTTTAATCTCATATTAATCTTTAAAGTAAAGATTGTAATAGGGCAATAATAGTAATGGTACATACTTCATGGAAATGAATTGGCCATTAAAATGTATAATGCTTATTGTGCCTTCCTGGCATATATAGTAAGGGCTCAATAGATGTAAAAAAAAATTTTAAATGAAATGTAAGTAACACATTCATTTAACCTCCTTAACTCTGGAAAACTAGAACCTGGTAAGGAGTTTGATCTTTGAAGATAACTCTTGGTAGTTTTAAGTTTAGAAATACTAATAATGGAAAATTCATGCTCTCCATTGAGTATATAAATATAATAGCTTATGAATTAAGTTTCTAGAGTCCATGGGAACTATATAGCACCCACTTCAATTTGGCAAATAGACACACTGGTGTTGATACTTTTTATTTTGTTAAAGTTTTAGCCTTCCCTTGACCTTAAACAATACTTTTGATGCAGCCAAGGTGACAGCCTTTTCATGCACAGGTATGGTAGGCTCCCCACTTCGCACAGGGAAGTATTGTATTAGTCAAGACTTTATTTGCAAACAATAGCACCCAATTCAAATTAACTTATAAAATAGTTTATTTGCTCACATGACTGAGAAGTCAAAGACTTGTGGATACAGCTGGATTTAGGGGCTTGATTTCTGTCTGTGATGCTCCGTGTATGTGTCTTTCTCGCCATCTCTTTACTCTGCCTACATCTACTCTGCTTTGTTCTCAGATAGGCTCCTATTCTCATCCACTTGGTAGTTAAATGGTTCCTGGTGGAGAGGGTAATCCTAGAAAAAGGGTGGATGTCTTTTCTAATACTTCTGGAAAAATTCTCAGGAAGAACAATAATTTAATCTTGTTAAGTGCCATGTAATACCCACGTTCCAGATGCTTATCAGAACTGCTGTGTAATATGAACAAAGGCTCAGTTGTAAGAATAAATATCTGTATGATGGCTCTCCAGAGAAACAGAGCCAGTAGGAGCTCTGTGTGTGTGTGTGTGTGTGTGTGTGTGTGTGTGTGTGTGTGTGTGTGTATGAAATAAAGATTTATTTTAAGAAACCGGCTCGCGTGATTACAGAGGTTGAGAAGTCCCAAGATCTGCAGTTGACAAGCTGGAGACCCAGGAGAGCCTGTGATGGTGTAGTTGCTGTCTGAAAGCTGGCGGGCTTGAGACTGAAGAAGAGCCAGTGTTTCTGTTCCAGTTCAAAGGCAAAGACCTGTGTCCCAGTTCAAGGCAGTCAGGCAGGAGGAGTTTCCTCTTAATCAGCCTTTTCGCTCTATTCAGGTCTTTGATTGGATGAGATTCACCCATGTTAGGGAGGACCATTTGCTTCCCTCAGTGTACCGATTCAAACGTTAATCTCATCCAGGAACACCATCACAGCCATACCCAGAAAAATGTTTGACCAAATGCCTGGGTACCCTACTTATTGAGTAACTTGATAAATAAAGTTAACCATCACAACGTCTATCATAATACAATGAATGAACCGCGTACTATTTAAATTGATGAATTAATATCAAAGAATCATTATCCTTTCTCATGTGCAAGCTTTACTTGCTAAACAATGAACTTTAGGGGCCGGGCGCGGTGGCTCTCACCTGTAATCCCAGCACTTTGGGAGGCCGAGGCATGCGGATCATAAGGTCAGGAGATTGAGACCATCCTGGCTAACATGGTGAAACCTGGTCTCTACTAAAGATACAAAAAATTAGCTGGGTGTGATGGCAGGCACCTGTAGTCCTAGCTACTCGGGAGGCTGAGGCAGGAGAATGGCATGAACCCGGGAGGTGGAGCTTTCAGTGAGCCAAGATTGTGCCACTGCACTCCAGCCTGGGCAACAGAGCAAGACTCCATCTCAAAAAAAAAAAAAAAAATGAATGAACTTTAAAGTATTTGTTTAGTGCCTATCACATGTGGATTATAATACCATTTATAAAGAGATAGTATTTGAGTTAGATTTTGAAACCTGGGTATGACTGGATAGAAAACAAATGGGGCTGCTGGGTACACCGGCTCACACCTGTAATCCCAGCACTTTGGGAGGCCAAGGTGGGTGGATCACAGGAGACCAAGAGTTTGAGACTAGCCTGGGCAACATGGCAAAACCCCATCTCTAGAAAAAAAATACAAAAATTATCCAGGCGTGGTGGTGCATACCTGTAGTCCCAGCTACTCAGTAGGGTGAGGTGGGAGAATCACCTGAGCCCAGGGGTGTCGAGGATATGGTGACCGTGATTCTACCACTCCAGCCTGGGCAATAGATTGAGACTCTGTCTCAAAAAAAAAAAAAAAAAAAAAGGTTGGGGGTGGGGGCAGGCACCCCAGGCAAGAAGGGGATAAGCAAAGCTATGGAAGAGGCAGCATACTGGGCAGGAAGCAGGCTAGCTTGTTTCCAGCAGAAACCTGCACATTGAGAGTCAGGCGAAATAAGCTGGAGAGACAATATTTTCTCTCTTCATCAGCCCATTTACTTACCTGATACTAAATGTATCTTATTTCACAGACATGTTTCTAATTGTTGGAAATATTAATAACCAAGATAGGGATAGCCTCTGCCTTTTTACAGAGCTTACTCTCTGACAGTTCCAAGAATTTCAGAATTTTTTTTTTTTAACTGAAGAAGTTTGTAAGTCATGTATGTAAAAATGTTTACTGAAATATTAAGTTTATATTGAAGCCACCTTTATTAAACTTTGGGTCTATATAATGTTAGTAAATTTGGAGGGAGCATGTGTTCTTTCTGAAACTGTGCTTTGCTTTTGAGTTTTACAATTCATACTTTCTAAAGCTCAGGGTTTCTCAACACTGTGCTCTTAGGACAGTTTTCCCATGACCTACCCATTTACATCTTTCTGAGCTCTAGTGCTCTTTCCATCACAATTTTAGAAATACTGTTTAATTAAGGACATTTTCACTAAGGTCAAGAAAAGGATACTTACCATCAAAACTTTTATATAACTTTAGATTCTAAGTATTAATATAATAATACAAGACAATTAAACTGTAAATATCTGGTTAGTTTTCTGTTGATACATAAATCACCATGAACTTGGTGGCTTATATCAATGCCCATTTATTAGGTCACAGCTCCATAGGTCAGAAGTCTGCCACAGTGTCCGTGGGTTCTCTGCTCAGGTTCTCACATAGCTGAAATCAAGGCATCCCCTGGGCTGAGTCCTTGTCTAGAGGCTCTGGAGAGAAATCTGCTTCCAGGCTCATTTAGGTTGTTGACAGAATTCAGTTTCTTATGTGTTTGTATTAGTTTCTTAGTGCTCCTATAACAAATTATATAAACCAACTATCTTAAAACAGTAGGAATTCATTCTTTAACAATTCAGGAAGCCAGAAGTCTGAAATCAAGGCATTGGTGGCGTTGGTTCCTTCAGGTGCCCTGAGGGAGAATCCATTCTGTGCCTCTGATGTCTGCAAGTGATATTTGGTTTGTAGTGGTATCACTCCAATTTGTGCTTCTGCTTTCATATGGCTTTCTCCCTTTTATCTCTGTGTCAGTTTTTCCTCTGCCTTTCCCTTATGGGTATACCATCACTGGATTTAGATTTAGGGCCGATCCTAAATCCAGGATGATCTTTTTTTTGTTGTTTGTTTTGTTTTGTTTTGAGATAGAGTCTCCCTCTGTCACCCAGGCTGGAGTGCAGTAGTGCAATCCTGGCTCACTGCAACCTTCGCCTCCCAGGTTCAAGAGATTCTCCTGCCTCAGCCTCCTGAGTAGCTGGGACTGCAGGCATGTACCACCACACCCAGCTAATTTTTGTATTTTTAGTAGAGACAGAGTTTCACCATGTTGGCCAGGCTGGTCTCCAACTCCTGACCTGAAGTGATCTGCCCGCCTCTGCCTTCTAAAGTGCTGGGATTATAGGTGTGAACCACCACTCCCAGCCTAACCCAGGATGATCTCATCTTGGGTTTCTTAACTACATCTTCAGAAACACTTTCTCTTTCTTTTTTTTGAGACGGAGTCTTGCTTTGTCGCCAGGCTGGAGTGCAGTGGAATGATCTCGGCTCATTGCAACCTCCATTTCCTGGGTTCAGGCGATTCTCCTGCCTCAGCCTCCCGAGTGGCTGGGACTACAGGCGTGCACCACCATGCCCAGCTAATTTTTGTATTTTTAGTAGATACGGGGTTTCACCATGTTGGCCAGGATGGTCTCGATCTCTTGACCTCATGATCAGCCTGCCTTGGCCTCCCAAAGTGCTGAGATTACAGGCGTGAGCCACCATGCCCGGCTGCTAGAAACCCTTTTTCTAAATAAGGTCACATTGATGTGTTTTGGGTGTTATGACTTGGACATACCTTTTGGGGGGCAATTACTCAACCCATGGTGCATTTGTAGGGTTACAGTACCCATATCTTTGCTGTCTCATGTGCGTTAAGGTACCTGTATTTCTTCTTACAGAATCCCTCTGTCTTCAAGCTGGAAATGATGTGTCAAATCCGTGTCATGCATTGACTCTCTCTGACTTCATATTTTGCCACCAGCTTGAGGAAACTATGTACTTACTAAGTTGGTGATACTGGCCATGGTAGTCTTTATCTTGTGGTTCTTGTTTGGATTCAAATCTTGACCTTGCCTTTAACTCAGTGTGTATGCATTCACTTCCTCCTTTCAGTTTTCCTCCTTTCTTCAAGGTAGTTGGAATGCCAGTGTCATAACTCAGTTATCTGTGCGATTAATGAGCAAAGATTTTCTTCTCTTCTGGGAGGAAAGATACCACATATACTCAGAAAATTACCGTGATTTTTATTCAGCTGAGAGACAAGATTTAATTTTAAAGGTTTATGCAGAAGAGAAGAGGCAGTGTTTAACAGAACTGAAGCCTAAATTGACCTTATTAATTAAAATCAGCACCTCTCAGAAGTTTAATATCAAAGTCATTATCAAGGAACTCTTAGTACTAAAAGTAGTCTTATGCTGACTATTTGGACATTTTTTTCTGAGACTTGTTACATAAGGTGAGGACATTTGTCTTTTAGTATTTATCTGTAAATGGGACTAGATTTTTCACTCAGGAAACACCATTGTTTATTATTGGGGAGGTGGAGATTTTAATACTCTTATGAGTGTAAATATAATTTGTATTAGTACTGTATCGTGTGATTGTGCATATGCAGTTCAAGACCCTTCCAGTCTTCCTCACTGCCTCTTTTTTCTTTTTAAAATTAATTCATTCCATAAATATATATTAAGTGACTTCCATGTGCTAGGCACTGGGGATGCAATGGTTAACACAATTAAATTCCCGCCCCTCAGTGAGCTTACATTCCTGTGGGCAAGACAAAGCAATAAAGAAATAAATATGTGGGATGACTTCAGCTAATTGTGAGTACTATAAAGAAAAATATGAAACATTGTAAGGGGAGAGTGTGTGTTGGTAAGGGGAACAGAGAAGGCTTAAGTGATGTTGCAAGCTGTGGGAAAAATACGCTGTGCAATTTGCCTTTGGTAGACTGGAACCATTTTGCCAACATATATTTTAGTTATATATATATGTATGTATGTATATATATATATATTTAGGTTTGAGTGTATTGAAAAGAGATCATGCTGATATAAATGTGCTTACAATATTTTTATGACAGTATGGCATTAAACATTTCTCTCCCGGGGAAAATGAGTACAGCCCTTCTTTTTTGTAATTCTTTTGTGACCTGTAAAATCATCAGGGCCATAATAACTTCATAAATTATTAAGGCTTTGTTTTTTAGAATCTGAGAAAGGGATATATTCCTTACAAATTAGAATGGCATTTCCTTTTAGGAACTGGAATTTATAGGTGGATTCTATTAGTGGCAACACACTGTAGGGTTGTGTAGTTGCCTTAGGAATAATGTCCAGCAAAAGTCGTGCGTTTGACTACCTGATTTCTCTATTTGTGGCTCAAAGGACATCGGGGTGGTTCTGTATTGCTTCTTTGTCTCCCTTAGCTATAAGCATTCTATGTTAAAATAGGTATGAACTTGACCATCTTTGATAAGAATCATAATAGAAAGGAGTGTTTCATTTTTGTTCTTTGCTTACATAATTTTTTTTAATTAAAAAAAAGTTTTGGCTGGGTATGTTGGCTCACACATGTAATCCCAGCACTTTGATAGATAGAGGCAGGCAGATTGCTTGAGGCCAGGAGTTTGAGACCAGCCTGGGGAACATGGTGAGACTCTGTCTCTACAAAAAATTAGAAAAAATTAGCTGGGCATGGTGATGTGTGCCTGTAGTCCTAGCTACTTGGGAGGCTGAGGTAGGAGGATTCCTTAAGCCCAGGAAAGTCAAGGCTGCAGTGAACTGTGATTGTGCCACTGTACTCCAGCCTCGGTGACAGAATGAGACCCTGTCTCAAAAAATAAAAATTTTGGATATATGATATTTGTACATACTTATGGGCACATGTGAAATTTTGTTCCATGCATGGAATGTGTAATGATTAAGTCAGAGTATTTGGGGTATCTTATTACCCAAGTATTTAGCATTTCTATGTGTCAGTATATTTCAAGTTCTCTCTTTTAGCTATTTTAAAAGTAGAATACATTTTTGTTAACTACAGTCACTCTGCTTCTCTATCAAAGAGTAGAACTATTCCTTCTAGTTAACTGTATGTTTGTACCCATTAACCAGCTTTTCTTCATTCCCCACTCTACCTATACATCCTCCCTAGTGTCTGGAATGTATCATTCCACCCTCTAACTATGTGAGAGAAACTTTTTTGGCTTCCACATATAAGAGAATGTGGTATTTGTCTGTCTCTGCCAGGCTTATTTCACTTAATATAATGACCTCCATTTCCATCCATATTGCTGCAAATGACATGATTTCATTCTTTTTTGTGGTTGAATAGTATTCCATTGGGTACATATACCACATTCGTTGATGGACACTAGGTTGATTCCTGATCTTTGCTATTGTGAATAGCACTGCAAGAAACATGGGAGTGCATGTGTTTCTTTGATACATTGATTTCTTTTCCTTTGGATAAATACCTAGCAATGGAATTGCTGGATCATGTGGTAGTTCTATTTTAAGTTTTTTGAGAAGTCTCCATACTGTTTATCATAATGGCTATGTTACATTCTCACAACAATGCGTAAGAATTCCCTTTTCTCCGCATCCTTGCCAACATCTCTTATTTTTCATCTTTTTCATAATAGCCATTTTAATCAGTATAAGATATCTCATTGTGGTTTTGACTTGCATTTCCCTGATGAAGTGATGTTGAGCATTTTTTCATGTACCCGTTGGCCATTTGTATGTCTTCTTTTGAGAAATGTTTATATCCTTTGCCCACTTTTAAATGGGATTATTATTATTATTGTTGTTGGTTTTTTACTGCTGAGTTGAGTTCCTTATATATTCTGGATATTAGTTCCCCTCTTGGTTGTGTAGTTTGCAAATATTTTCTCCCAGTAAGCAGTTTATCTCTTCAATCTGTTGACTTTATTGTGCTGCGTAGAAGCTTTTAAGTTTAATATAGTCCCATTTGTCTATTTTTGTTTATGTTGCCTGTGCTTTTGATGTCTTAGCTATAAAATCTCTCCCTAGACCAGTGTCCTGAAGAGTTTTCCCTATGTTTTCTTTTAGTGGTTTTATACTTTCAGGTCTTATGTCTTTATTGTGATTATATATGATGAGAGACAGGTCCAGTTTCATTCTTCTGGATATGATTTTCCAGTTTTCTCAGCACCATTTATTTGAAGAGAGTGTCCTTTCTTCTGTGTGTGTTGTTGATGGCTTTGTTGAAGATTAATTGGCTACAAATGTGTTGATTTATTTCTTTGTTCTCTATTCTGTTCCATTGATCTGTGTGTCTGTTTTTATACCAATACCATGCTGTTTTGGTTACTATAACTTTGTAATATATTTTGAAGTCAGGTAGTGTGATGCTTCTAGATTTGTTCTTTTTGCTCAGGATTGCTTTAGCTATTCTGGCCTTTTTTGTTGTTGTCATTACATATGAATTTTTAGATTATTTTTCTATTTCTTTAAAAAATGACCTTGGTATTTTCATAGAGATTTCATTGTATCTGTAGATTGCTTTGGGCAGTATGGTCATTTTAATGATATTAATTTTTCTGATCTGTGAGCATGGGATATTTTTCACCTTTGATAAATCTTTTGTAGATAAAATTTAACTTCAGATATTTTTGCATCAAAAGCATCATCATATTCTACCTTTTTTCCTTTACTTAATCATTGTATAATGTTTTGAGTCTGTGCCTAAATTGGCACATTTAGGTACAGTGATCTCCCTCTTTGGGTTACAAACTACCGAAATGTAAACTGGGATAGTTTGGGAGTTAACAGTAGGTAGTAGAGCATAAAGATAAATATTATTTGCTCCCTCTCAATCAGGATAATTCTACCACTTCAGTTCTTTGCATATGTTTTGTAAACCTTGAGTGTTATTGAAGTCATTTCTTTTATCTATTTAAGGCTTTCATAATGAAAATTTGCTGTTGATCTAATTGAAGAGACAGCCCAGAAGAGAGTAGAGCTTACTATGTGCAATTATATTTAACACTTATTTTGAAGTACCTACATTTCTTTTACTTAAAAAAGTGTGTGTATGTATATATATGTATATGTGTATGTATATATATGTATATGTGTATGTATATACATATATACATACGTATATATATGAGTGTATATATAGGTTTTCCCACCCAACTGTCCATTTCACTATTCATTTACATATCCATTTAATTATTGATGTACTTTTATCTTTGTATCCATGCAAAACACCAGAGAATCACACAGAGCTCAATCACATAAAAATCACAAGACTGGGAAGTCTTGAAGTTAACCATTGTTTAATTTATACCCAATTTCATTTTATAAAGTTTTGGAGTTGACTAAAGATGTCATCTAGTTCACATTTTGAAAGAGATGTGCAGAAAATGCCAAAAAGAATCAGCCATCTACCCCTTTCTTGTAGCAGTCTAGAGGAATGTCTTTAACCTTCTCAAAAGTTAGATTTTACCTCAGTGTCCTTGCTGTTTGGCAGCCTGCTCTTTACCTAAACCCAGAATATCTCTTTCCACACACATCTCTGTAAACTCTTCAAGCCTCAGATCCATGTTGCATTCTGTCAGATTTGCATTTTAACACATTACCTTCCTCAAATCCTTCCCTTGCTTAGAAACATTTTAACCTGAAGATTGTAGAACACATTAACAGTATTTACCCAACTATTCAAGACTCTCAGGTTTTGCTTCTTGCCTGCCATTTTAAGTTAATATCTTCCTGCTCCATTCTATGGTTTCTTCATTCCTGGTGAGATTTACTTAGTACTTTTTGAAATTCTCTGTTTGGAACCTGTCTGTCCCCACTATTCCTTGACATTGTATTGTTATTGTCTATGTTATTATCTATGTCTGTGACTATATCTACATTTATATAACACTATATTACTGGCTGTCTTATATTATTATTATATTATCTATACCTACATATATAGATGTACTAAAAATCATTTAAACAATTCCCAATCACTGAGTATCTAGGAGTTCCCCAGTATTTTACATTATATATAATGCTACAAAGACCATTTTTTATGGCTGCATCCTTGGACATATCCTTATTTCCTTTTGTAGAATCTCTAGGGATAGAATTTCTGTGTTAAAATTCATATACATTTTGGCCAGGCACAGTGGCTCACTCCTGTAGTCTCAGCAGGTTGGGAGGCCAAGGCGGGAGGATCCCTAGAGCCTAGCAGTTTGAGACCAGCCTGGGCAACATAGTGAGACCTTGTCTCTACAAGAAATAAAACAATTAGTTTGCATGAGCCTATGGTCTCAGCTACTTTGGGGTGGGAGTGGGGAGGGACCTGGGCTGAGGTTGGGGGATCCTTTGAGCCTGGAAGGTTGAGGCTGCAGTGAGCTACGATCTTGCCACTGCACTCCAGCCTGGGCAACAAAGGGAGACCCTGTCTCTCCCCCCGACCCTTAAAATTATATGCATTTTAAAGGTATTTAATACATTCTGCCAATATTTTTACACAGGAAGAACAGTTTATATTACCAGCTTCCCTTTATGAAACTGCCCATTTTATTGTACCCTTCTTAGCTCTAATTTGCATTCCTCCAGATGTTGATGAAGTAGACCATTTCTTCCCGATGCTTCTTGGCCATTTATTTCCTTCTCTGTGAATTTTGTCCATTTTTCTGTGGTTTGTTTATTGATTTGCAAAAGCTCTTTATATAGTAAGAATATTAACTTTTTTGTTTTACCCACATTCTGCAAGTTATCTTTTCCTCATTTGGTTTGTTTATGGTGGTTTTGCCATTGAGAAATATTTAACTTAAAAACTTTAAGAGTATAAGTATTTTTCTCATTCATTTTACATTTGTTATGCTAAAGAGGCCTTCTTACCCAACAATTTACTCATTTTTGGTATTCTAATAAAGTCAAAATTTTTTCCTTAAAATTTTAGTTTATTAGAGATACATTTTCTTGAGATATGGTCTAACCAGCCTAACTCCCTTTCTAAATTTACTCTTTCCTGTCCAGTTCTAGGTGTTACCTTTCTTTTCTTTTGATTTATAGTCATGTGCCATGTGGGAGTACCTTCTGAGAAATGCATCATTAGGCAGTTTTATCATTGTGCAAACATCATAGAGTTTACCTTATACAAACCTAGGTGGCACAGCTTACTACACACCTAGGCTGTATGGTATAGCCTGTTGCTCCCAGGCTGCAAACCTATGCAGCATGTTACTGCACTGAATACTGCAGGCAACTGTAACACAATGGTAAGATTTTATGTATCCAAACACAGAAAAGGTACAGAAAAAAATTTTTATATGATCACTATTGTATATGCCATCTGTTGTTGACCAAAAATGTCATTATGTGGCACATGACTGTATACGTGTATTCTTTATATGTAATAATTATTGTGGTTTTATAATGTAGTCTAGCCTTTCATTTAGCAGAATCTTCCTCATTGTAGGAAGATTCCTCAAACCCTAAAGTTTGCTGATTATTCTGGAATCACTCCTTCAAATTCTCAGAGCACACTCTGTTGAGATGAAAATTTGAGTCTCTGACTTAATCCCTGCAGAATGGACTTCTTTATTATACAGTTCCTTCTCCCTCCTCTCAACAAAATTGGAGACACTTTCCTTCACTTGACCAATTGTTTCATCACATACCTCAGAATATTTTCTCATGATTATCCAGAGTTATTTAGATAGCGAGTTTCAGTTTTCTCCCAGATAACCTAATTGGGCACTGTCTATACCAGGCACTTGACAAGATAGGGATTTATTAATTATAGGATTGGTAATGAAGAATTAAGAGTTGGGGACTGTCTCTTCAAATTCTTGCCTTAGGTCCCGAATATGTGATTTTTTAAAGGGATTTTCTCTTCTTTGGAATGGATCTGAATTTAGTGTGAATGGTCTTTCCTGCCTGGATCTCTGCTGCTTTGGCCCCTAGCAAAGACATCTTGGTTAGAGAAGATCCTAGAGGAAGAAGTGTGAGGTTCAGGGATACTGTCTGGACAGGGTACTGTTATGTCAACAGTGATCTTAGTCTCTGGCCAGCCTCAGGGCACTAGGAGTGCTCCTCTCCAGCCCCTAGTCCATCAGAATGGGCCAGCTCTTCACTGGTTAGTCTTCCCTGAGGCCATTTCAAGAGTCAGGGCTCATCACTATATATTTTTTTCTGCTAAGTTGCATTCAAAGGAGTGCAGGACTCAATTACTAGCTGCTCTTTCAAAGACGAGCTTAATAAATCACAGCCTACTTTTGGCTAGATCTTGCTGACCATTATAAACCTATCATTTGATTAAACTAAAATATATTCAATATCTATATTCTAAACATGCCCATTATGAATTTTGCCCTTCATTTTTTCCAACAGGAGGAAAACAGAACGATATTCTTTATGAAAATTCTTATGCACAAGCTAGTATAAGCTTTATTCTTCCCTCCTGTTTCAAGGTTAGATAACTTCAAACGACCTCAAGACACTTTGATTTCAGTCAGTAATGTTTCAGCAGTGTTTTTTTTGTGTGTGTGTTTTTCTTTTTTTTTTTTAGAGACAGAGTCTTGCTCTGTCACCTAGGCTGAAGTGTACTGGTGCCATCGTAGCTCACTGCAGCCTTAAATGCCTGGGCTCAAGCAATCCTCCCACCTCAGCCTCCTGAATAGCTAGTACTATAGGTTTGTGCCCTTGCACCCAATTATTTAAAAATAATTTTTTTTTCTTTTTTTATAGACAGGGTCTCACGATGTTGTCCAGGCTGGTCTCAACTCCTGGACTCATGTAATTCTCCCACCTTGGCCTCCCAAAGTGCTGGGATTACAGGTGTGAGCCACTATCCCTGGCCAATGTTTTCTTTTTAAATTTAGATTCTGTATCTTTCAAGTCTATTTTAAGATATATTTTCTAGCCCTATTGAGAATGTTTTTTTCTGTTATATTTCTAAGTAGTAGTTGTCCATATTTCCTCTTGTGATTTCCACACAAGCATGTGAATAAGACAGTCACTTGGGAAGCTTTATAAAAATTCATAGGCTTGTGGGTCCGTCCTTCTGTAATTCAAGTATGTCTTGGAGTGGGAACAAGGAGAGCTGGTTATCCAGGGTACACGAAGGACTCATCAGAAGTTTCTCACCATCACTTCAATTTGATTCTGTCTGGCCAGACAATTTCCAAATACTGGTAAGCAGTGGAAGAGGATTCTTATTTTATTTCTGACTTTAATGACAGTGCCTCTCAGTTTCCTTCTTAGGGATGTATGCTATAAAGGGTTAACTCATCATGTGTAGGGTGTTCAGACTTTGCACATTCTAAAGAAACTGGTCCTTGACTGCCACCTGGGAGATAACTTCCTAGCAGTTGGAATATCCTCCCTGGTAAGAGTGCCTTCGAATACATGAGACCTTGAGCCATGCCTGATAATTTATGGTAGTAACATTGTGAGTTATGATGGGGGCCTTGGGCTACAACACATCAGCTTGACCTCTGGAGGAGCTAGAGACTGGGAAACTAAGGTCAGTTCCACAAGTGGTCCATGCCTACATGACCAACCTCCAATAAAAACCCTGGACACCAAGGCTCAGGTGAGCTTCTCTGGTTGGTAGTAAGTACTTCACCAGTGTTGCCACACATTGCTACTGGGAGGAGTAAACACTGTACAACTCCACTGGGAGATGACAGCTGGAAGCTTGTCCTGGTCTTTCCTTGTCTCTGCCCTATGCGTCTCTTCTCTTTGCTGATTTTAATCTGCATCCTTTCACTGTAATAAACCATAGTTGGGAGTATAACAAGTTTTCTGAGTTTTGTGAGTCCTTCTAGCAAATCATTACACTTTGAGAATATTCTTACATACTCTTTACTCAAGATGGCAAGAACCTTTTATTTCATAAGAATTCATGGAGAAAGGAACTAATGATCTCTCTCCAGTATGCTAAGTTGTGTCTTTTTTTAAACAAAATTTTAAGTAGACGTTAGATTTTATCAGACATTTTTATTATCCCTAAAGATTTTTGCTTGATATTTGTTTTATTTATATGATAAAATATATTAACTCATTTCCTAAGATTGATTTTTTTCATTCTTGAAATTACGCTTGATTATACTGTATGTTTTATACATGGGCAAATCTTTTAACTACTATAATTTTAAAATTTAAGCAAATTTTCTAAAATGTGACATTTGCTGACTTCTTAAACGGAACACTGTATTCCACTTAACATTGTCTTGACTCATTACCCCAGTTTTGAACATTATGGTGTGTAGTGGGCTCTCAGGTCCCATTTGAGTATGAGCAATTTCTTACTCTGTATTAAATGCTCCACAGACTATTCTTTGCTTGGGGTTCTTGGGACTGCTTTTTTTTGTTTTTCTTATGCTTTCAAGTCCTACTTCTTACAATTCATTGGTTGCCTTCCTGTAATAGTCCGTCTCTTTTCTTTACTTAGCTCCTTTTTAATGGTTGTGGGCTTACAGGCTATATAATTAGGCTTGTTATACAATGATTTCCAAAATGAGAGTAAATAAGCTCTGAGTAAGCATGGGGCCCTATTCTCTAGATGAAAGGCATCTGTTTTATATCATAGATTTTTAAAATATCCAGTTAGGAATTTTAGAGATATTTTTCTTCCTTTTTAGTTGTTGGCTATTCCAGAGAAGTAAATAATAAAATTGGTTAGTTTGTTCATTTATTCATTTGATGCTTGTTTATTGAGCATCTACACAGTGCTGCATACTGGAGAGCAAACCTCAAATAGGTAAGACATAGTACATAAACCAGCCTCTGCCTAGCAAATCACATGGGAAAACAATCTTGGGAAAATTTTGTTGTGGAAATTGTGATGAAAACATTTTGAGTTTTATTCTCTTTGGTAATAAATTTAATTTAGGATTTTCAAGTATTAATAATAAGAATGCTGTGCAGAAAAGAGTTAACATAGCAGGCCTGATACTGCTATCCATAAAATTTTTTGTTTACAAAAATTTTGTAAACAAAATATTGTAATTGGCTAGACATCTAGGAACTTGGCTGTCAGAGTGCAATGTACCCAGTTAACAGCTGATAAGGGTAGTCCACTGTGCCTCAACTGTTTGAGCAGACAGTCTGGTTTATGCTGAACACAGCTGCTTTCCTTCCGGGAATCTGGAATTTTGATACATTTTAGATAGAGGTTGCCTACATGACCATCCCCTCATAAAAACTTTGGCCATTGAGTACTCATAGACTTCCTTGGGCAGAAACATCACACACACGTGCTGCATTTTGATTGCTGGGGGAAGAGTGTGCTGCGTGTGACCCCTCATGGAAGACAGAGGACATAAGGAAACCGGCACATGACATCCTCTAGTCCTCCGCGTGCACCCTTTCCCATATGATTCAGAGGTGGCTTTACTATGTTGCTGTGCTACATCTTAGCCATGCTGAGTCCTGTGAATTCTCTAGCGAGTCTCTGAATGTGAGGGTGTTCTTGGAGACCTTCAACACAGATGCCTAATGTTTATTGATCTCTTACTATATGCCTAGCTCAATACTAGTTGTTTTACATGGATTATCTCACTGAATCTTCCCAACAGCAATATTTTATGAAGTAAGTGAGTATCATTATCAGCGTTGGAAAGTGAAGTTGTTTCAGACTTCATGAGGTTAAGTAACCTGTGTAGGTCCTGTAACTCATAAATTTATTTCAGAGTCTGTATGTTTTTCAGATTTTTCAGATGCTTGTACCTTATGGTATATTATTTCTATTGTTGAGAGTAGCATTTAAGTGAGGACAACTACTGAGTTGTTTTTCCTTTTGTCTTTCTATATTTGGTTTATTCTCTTATTTCAATAGAGCATATTTGCCAGTAACTTTCTGAGAAGGGGCACATGAGAGGTAAATTACTTAAATCTTTATTAGTGTGTAAAATATCTTTCTGTCTTAAGCTAAATTGATAGTTTGGCTGGATATAGAATTCAAGGTTGGACATAATTTTTCCTACTGAGTATTTTTTAAATGTCTTTACCATTTCAGGTATGAGCACATTCTTTTAGAACCTGACCCAGTACCAGCATATGCTCTGAAACTGCTAGTCGCGATGACTGAACACAACCCAACTTTCACAAGGTACTGGAAGTTCAAATTTCTTTTTCTTGTGTCTCACCTATAAAATGAATTTTATGTGTTGTGAAAATGTTATTAAAGATGAGATTCCAAAAGACTAATGTTTGAGTTGTCAAAATCGTCATTTTTTTAAGTTTCATGGATTGTAATATCTGTCATTTATGCTGTTTTGACTCTCGTTCTCATATTTTTAATTCTTATTAGAGTCAGCATACTGTGGAATGCATGCTGCTTTAAAATGATAACTTCTTTTAAGAGATGAAACAATATATGTACTTTAAAAATTGGTGCCTCATTTTGTACTGAGCAGTTTATTAAATCTCAATAGTATTTATCAACTGTTATTTGCTACCATTTTATGTAGTTGACATACTTTTCTTTTTTTTTTTGAGATGGAGTCTTACTCTGTCACCCAGGCTGTAGTGCAATGGTGTGATCTTGGCTCACTGCAACCTCCACCTCCTGGGTTCAAGCGATTCTTCTGCCTCAGCCTCCCGAGTAGCTGGGATTACAGGTGCCCGCCGCCATGCCCAGCTAATTTTTGTATTTTTAGTAGAGATGGGGTTTCACCATGTTGGCCAGGCTGGTCTCGAACTCCTGACCTCAGGTTATCCACCCACCTCGGCCTCCCAAAGTGCTGGGATTACAGTCATGAGCCACCCCGCCCGGCCGACATACTTTTTTTTTTTATTTTTTATTTTTAAGTGGTAGAGAGCTTTTATCTTTATTGAAGGTACTGAATATGATGATGCCAAATTTCTTTAGAACTAGTTGCTGGGATGTTTTTAGTTTTGTAAAGATTAGTTTGTCTGAGAGGTCCACAGAAGGGGAAGAAAGGAGAAAGAAAGAGGTTCTTTTTGCTTTCAAACAAGAAAACTACTTTTCTTGTACAGGTGGTATCTGAGGACCTTTTGGGGTTTGAATACCATCTGTAGGTGCAGTGCATCTCCAGACCTACCAGTTGGTCTTTAGCAAATAACTAAATCACATAGCCCCAACCATCTTGATTTCCTCTGGTCTGCTGTCCAGTCACAGAAAGTATTGCATTATTATGAGCCACTGTGACTGTTGTTACTAGCAAACAAGAAAGGCTGTTTTTAAAAAGTACTCATATCCAAAACACTCATCCCAGTGGGTGTGTCAGGGCACATAGATTTGCCGTGACTGAGTCACTGGTGACAAGTTGCTCACGGTTTTTGGGTTATACAGTGCTGGGGCTGTAGTAGTTCTCGAGCCTATTACCTTCCCTCATCCATTTCCAAAGGATGCCATGCAAATACTACCATCTATTCTGAGCCATGTTGCAAAAGAATCCGGGGAGCCCTAAGTTAATACCCTTTTTATCTTTGCCAATTGGAAGCAAAGTGTTTGCTTCAGTGTTTCTATAGCCTTTTAGAGAGCCTGAGCAATGAGCCTTCCAAATTCCTCACTCAGAAGGGATTGTTCTCCATTCCTGAAGAAGAAATTTAATTCTAAAGAGTGAATCTGTATTAGAAGTTGCATAAAAATTCAGATAGTTATATATTTCCTGGACTTTTGACATCATGTGCGAATACTGTATCCTAATTTTATCCTTTCATTAGATTGAACAGATTGCAATTACTTTTTTAAATGTAACTTTGGCTCATTCCACATGTCACGTTTTCTAGACTCCTTTTCCTTCTTGCCAACTCTATTCAGCTTAATTTCCTCATATTGAAGAGAAAAACCCTAGAGAAGTAGAAACAGTTATTTGGCCTCTATAGAATCTTTTTTATCTTAAAAGTGATTAGAGACTAGGTTTAGAAGTCCGTTTACTCTAGTTTTTAAAAAAGTTTACAAGCAGAATTTAGTGGAATAGTTTTTGTATTTTTTTGTTTTGATTGAACAAGTAATATTTGAATATACTGTTTTTGCCTTAAATTCTAACAATAAAATCGAGAGATCTCCTTGGCTTCTCCATCCCCCACACCCTCTGCCTCACAGGTTTCTCCCCTAGGGGTAGTAATTGTTATTATTTTGGTGTATGTCCTCCTGAATTTCTTCTGGCTACTTAAATTCTGTCTGTCTGTCTATTATCTATCTATTTATCTATCTATTTATCTATCTATCTATCTATCATCTATCTATCTATCTGTCTATCTGCCTGCCTATCTGTATGTATATATATGTGTGTATGTATACGAGTATACACACACATATGTGTATATACCTGTGTACATGTGGGCACGCACACACACACATAAATACTGAAATAAATTCACTTCGTGGTGATTGACTAAAAAAAAACCTAGATAGTATCATTCTGTATCTATGAAGTTTGCTTTTTCACTTATCAAAATGATTTGGAGATCTTTTCATATCATATTTATTCATACTCTTGCCAATATCTTTGCCAAACTAATGAATGAAAATGGGATCTCATTTTATTTGCATTCACCTAACTACTGATAACAGTGAATCTCTTTGAATATTTGTTCACTGTATTTAATTAAAGTGTAAAGGTACACAGCCTTCAACCTTCAATTCTACTTCGAAGGATTTGTTCTAGAGAAAAACTCACATATACACAAATAAAATTCTACTAAGGCAAATAATTTTAAAAATGATAAAATTGTATAAAATTTATACAATTTTATATAAGTAAAACATAAACTATGATATAGCCATAATATAGAACACTAACAGTTTAAAAAGGCAAGATACAGTTTGAATATTGATATACAAAGATATCTAAATCATTTTGTTGACTGAAATTACTTATTTACCACCCCTCTCCCCATTAAATGCTACCTTTGTCTTATTTGTGAGCTCTTTCTGGATACCTGTGTCTTATTTGCAGTCTCTTTCTGGATTCTGTTTGGCTTTTCTTGAAAAACAGCGTTAAAATAAGTCTTGCCTCATGTCAGTTATGGCTGAGGCTCCAAAGGTCAAGGGGATCAAGAGCAATGCATTAAAGACCAATTATTGTCCCCCTTACTTCAAAGGGAGGTCCTAGCAACATGTGTGCAACTTGCAAAGTCCATTTTTACATACCTTAAGGAAGGGATGAAGAAGGAAAAAGTAATTAGACTTTTGAATTTGTTTTATTTCCCTAAATGGATTTTTAAGAATGCATTTTAAGTCTAACATTTTGGAATGAGTAATTGATTTTTAGTGGGAGAAAAAAGAACAGTATTTTTAAAAAGGTAGATACTGAGAAGTCTCATTTCTTTCTCTGTTTATTCTGTTCTTTCCTCATCTTCCCCTATGGTTAAGTATTTTTATTCATTATGTATCCAAATGCAAGCTAATGTGAATAAATATTTTTTCTTTTCTCTCTTCTTTTTTTTTTGAGACGGAGTTTCACTCTTGTTGCCACAGGCTGGTGTGCAATGGCACAATCTCGGCTCATCACAACCTCCGCTTCCTGGGTTCAAGCTATTCTCCTGCCTCAGCCTCCCGAGTAGCTGGGATTACAGGCATGAGTCACCACACCCCACTAATTTGTTTTTGTATTTTTTAGTAGAGACAGGGTTTCTCCATGTTGGTCAGGCTGGTCTCGAACTCCCGACCTCAGGTGATACGCCCACCTTGCCCTCCCAAAGTGGTGGTATTACAGGCGTGAGCCACCTTGCCCAGCCTCTTTTGTTTCTTTTATACACAACCAGCATGTTACATATGTTTTTCTGCCCTTTGATTTTTTTTTCACTAAACTGTCCTCTAGATTTGCTTCTGTATCAATACATAGAGAGCTTCTACATTGGGTTTTACAGTGGTAAGATCTTCCATTGCATGGATGTATTATAACTTTTCTAGTGTCTAATTGATAGACTTGTTTCTAATCTTGTGTAATTGCAAATAATGAATACTCTCATAAATGTGTTATTTTGTACATATGAATGTATATCTTATAGGATAATTCCTATAAATGTATTGATGTATCAAAGGAGAAATACACTGAACTTTTTTTTTTTTTAATATGGCCAAATTTCTTTCCCTTGGGTTTACTATTTTATGCCTCCAAAGGACATATCTGAGGATGCTTACTTCTCTGCAAGTCTTGCCATCAAAACTCATTAAACTTTGCAATGTTGCCATTGTGGCAGTTGAAATGAGTTATTTCAGAGTAATTTTAACATGTATTTCTCTTACAAGTAAGAATGACTACCACTTCATATGGTCAAGGAATGTGTGTGTATCTTTTTCTGCTTATGCCCTTTGCCAATAGTTCGTTGGTCTGGGCAATGCTACTTTTCAAACCAAATCCTCTTCTCTTGGCTTTCCATTGCACAAATACACCACAGTTGCCCAATCCATTTTACTTTTAACAAAGTCTGGGTTCCGTATTTTTGCTGTCATGAATAGTGCAGCCATGAATATTCCTATGCAGAGGTGAAAATGCTGAGTCCGAAGGCTTTTGGTAAACCAGATCCAACAGATACACTGTACCACAAAGGAGTTTTCCAGGTGGGTTGTACCAATTTACATTTCTATCAGCATTGTTCAAGAGGCCTCGGGTGTCATGTAAGCTTTAAATAAATAAATAAACAGGTTTATTGAGATATAATTTACATGGATTAAAATCACTCATTTGAGGTATACAGTTCTATGAGTTTTGAAAATGGTACACAATTATGTAAACTACTATCACAATCAAAATAAAGAGGGTTTCTATCATTCCAAAAAGTTCCCTTGTGCCGCTTTGAATGTTACCTCATAAAAATTCTGTTTGATTGGGGAATATGACTACATTGGTTTTATATTTCATTTTAATTTTAAAAATTTATTTTTCAGAGTTAATACATAACATGTTCAGAACTTCAGTATTTGAAGGGTATACAGAGAAAAGCAATTATTCCTCCACAGAGAACCACTGCTGCCAGTATATATGTGTGTGTGTGTGTGTGTGTGTGTGTGTGTACTGTTTTTCACATACACAGTAGCATGCTGTCTATACCATTTCTGGACCTCTTTTAAAAATTAACAGTTTTATTGAAATGTAATTCATATACTATCTGTGCCACTCCTTTAAACAGATACATAGCGTTGCATTTTATCAATATTACATATTGATTTAACAAGTCCCCTTTAGGTGAATATTTGTTCTTTCCTAATCTTTTGGTGTTACAAAACAAAGCTACAGTTAATGAAATAGGACATTGATCATATGTGTGAATATATGTGCACCATAAATGAGACGTGGAATTGCTTATCAAAAGATATTTAAGCAAGCGATTTCCAAACTTGGCTGTACATTAGTATCACTTGGGGAGCTTTTTAAAAATTTGAAGTCCAGGCCATACCCTAGGCCAATTAAATCACAATCTCTAGGGCTAGACACTGGCATCAGTAATTAGACGCTCCCCATCTGTTAAATGTGCAAACAAGTTTGAGAACCACTGGTGTAAGTATTTGTAATTTTGAGAGATGTTGCCAAATTTTCCCCAATCTAAGTTGTGCCAGTTTTCTGTCCACCATCTGTGTACAAGTGCCTATTAATTCAAAACCTTTATCAAATTAGTGTATATGTGATCTTTGCCATTCCCTTATGTGACGATTAAGTCTTTGATATTAATTTCTAGTTTCATTGCATTGTGATCAGGTAATATTTTTTGTTCTATTTCTGTCTTATTATTTGCTTTGGCCTAATATATGGTCAATTTTTGTAAGTGGTCTGTTTATTTGCTTACTGTAACCAAAAGAAAATTAGGCCTAATGCTGGGGAATGTCACCCCTGATTTTGGCAAGTGCCTAAAATGGCAACTCATTAACTTTAGAGATCATCCCCAGTTATTTGGTATCAGTGGTGTGTGTTTTTTTTTTTTTTTTTAATGAGATGGAGTCTCGCTTTGTCACCTAGGCTGCAGTGCAGTGGTGTGATCTCAGCTCACTGTAACCTTCACTTCCTGGGTTCAAGTAATTCTCTGCCTCTGCCTCCTGAGTAGCTGGGATTACAGGCGTCTGCCACCACACCTGGTAATTTTTGTATTTTTAGTAGAGATGGGGTTTCACCATCTTGGCCAGGCTGGTCTTGAACTCCTAACCTCATGGTCCACCCACCTCGGCCTCTTAAAGTGCTGGGATTACAGGGTATCAGTGGTTTTGAGGCAAAATGGTCAACTATAGATGTACATCAAGAGTAGAGTGCCTTAATTGTTTGTGCAGATAGATTTCCAAATATGTAAAAATAACCATGAACCATTTGTTACAAACTTAACTTGCTTATTAATTGTATCCAACAGCATCATGTTGTTTGAAGGATATGCGTTTTAATTTTGTTTGTATATATTATGAGTTTAGAGTACCATGTAATAACTATTAGAACATTAAACCATCCTATGTTAAGTGGAGCATTATGATTTTTATGTGTTTATTCTTATTTTATAGAATTCTTAGTTGCTGGAAGCCCTCAAAACTTAGTCATATTACCATTGGGTATTTATTGTTCCCTTTCAAGTGAGGGACGAGCATAATCAAATCTGCATTGTACATGACCAGGATTTTTTTTTAAAAAAACAGTACTGCCCTGGTGGATCTAGTTTATTATTGAGTGTATAGCAGAAAGGTAAATTGTTTGCCATGTTGGTGCAGTTTCATTGGGAGGGAAGTGTTAACTCCCCTGAGCACTGCCCTTTTCTCTCTCCTTAATTTTACAGTAGGTTGCACCAAAACCATTCCTCTCAGAGAAAGCAACACTCCAGTATCTTGTTTCCATTAAGAGATAATTAGCTTTCAGCAAATCTTCCTCAGCAAACAAATTACATTTTAACTTCTTTGAGTTCTTTTGGAGCAAAATTTAGCTGTTTTCCTGTATTGCAAAAAAAAAATTGTTTATGTTCTGTATCTAAGAATTGTTGTTATTTTAGTTTGCTTGTTAGAGCTATTTGTTTTATGACAAGATTCATAAAAGTGCTGTTCACCACAGTGAAATTTTAGGGATCTCTTAAATGAAGTTCACAGTGAATTAATGGTATAGTGTTGAGTGAAAAGTACTTCTGGCCATACAGTCACCTGTCTTCAGTTGACTTCTCTAATTAGTTTTTGGTTCATTTGTTCATTCTTTCATTAATTTATCAAACATCTTAATCAGCAACTACTGAATGATGACAAAAATCAACGATAAGAAAGTTCTTACTCTAAGGATGCTTAGTATTTAATGGAGGAGATAGATTTATAAATAGACTTTTATTAAACAATGTAATGGTTTTAATACATGTAATGATTTTTTAATGCCATGTCTTTTGATGATGGTAGCATCTAAAGGAATTTAACCCAAGTAGCTGTATGATTTTGGCCAAGTTACTTCATTTATCTGTACCTAAATTCCCTCCCCCTGGAAAATAAGAATAATAAAAGAAATATTAATATTTCTGTGAACCCCCTAGTCCATAGAAAATGTTGTATAAGTGTTCCTTCTTTCCCCCCGCCCCTTCCCTTTCTTCATCCTTTCATTATTCTTAGAGGAAGAAATATTAATATGAATATTCCTAGAGGAGGTAATCCCATTGACAGAAGGTAGAAATGTCTAGTGATATTGATTCAAACCACAGCTCCAGCACCCTACAAAAAACTGGGGGGAAAAGTTTTTCAATAGCAGAAAAAAACTGCATGGGTGGGACAGTGTTTTTGAATTGACTTTGGAAAGCGGTTGTGCAAGCCATTAAGGGATACCCCAGTCACAAGATAGCTTCCACATCAGCTTGCCTTTCAATTTATTATATGCCTTAATAAAGTTAGGCTTTGCCATATTCTTTTATATTTCAATTCAAATTTTGTAGTCTGGTAAAAGTAAAAGCCCAAATCATCAGAGATGTTTGAGATATTTGTTAAACTGTTGTTAAAATAAGCCATTTAAGTTTTTTACCCTCAATTAGCTGAATTTATACAGCTAAAATATTTCCTTTGATGAAATCTCAATAGGTGAAATAACTATGTAGCTATGTAATAAATTCATTCAAATGTTGCCCAGGCTATAGAGCACTGTTGTGATCACCACTTACTGCAGCCTTGAACTCCAAGCCCCAAGCAATCCTTCTGCCTTAGCCTCCTGAGTAGCTGGGACCACAGATGCATGCTGCTACACCTAGATAATTTTTTAAATTAATTTATTAATTTATTTTTATTATACTTTAAGTTGTAGTGTACATGTGCACAACGTACAGATTTGTTACATATGTATACATGTGCCATGTTGGTGTGCTGCACCCATTAACTCGTCATTTAGCATTAGGTATATCTCCTAATGCTATCCCTCCCCCCTCCCCCCACCCCACAACAGTCCCCGGTGTGTGATGTTCCCCTTCCTGTGTCCATGTGTTCTCATTGTTCAATTCCCACCTATGAGTGAGAACGTGCGGTGTTTGGTTTTTTGTCCTTGCGATAGTTTGCTGAGAATGATGGTTTCCAGCTTCATCTATGTCCCTGCAAAGGACATGAACTCATCCTTGTTATGGCTGCGTAGCATTCCATGTACACCTAGATAATTTAAACGATTTTTTTTTTTGTAGAGATGGCATCTTACTATGTTGCCCAGGCTGGTCTCAAACTCCTGGGCTCAAGCAGTCCTCCCACCTCAGCCTCCCAAAGTGCTGGGATTACAGGTGTGAGCCACTGAGTCCCACCAACTTTATTAGAATGAACTGATTTCTTCAGAAATAATTTGATGCTTCTCAAGCTGCCTGTGTATATTGAAAAGCCTCACAGTGAGAAGCAAGTCAGTCTCTGAGTCTGTAAGACTGTTTTTGTTTTAGGATCACTCATACATGGTTTCTCATTATTCTTCACTGTTACTCTGCAGAATAAAATACAAGGTTTCTCTAGTGGGGACTGAGCTCTTGAGCATCTGTTTTTAACTTGCCCTTTCTTCTTTTTGTAACTGTAGCTTGTGTTCCAGTGCTCTCAGCCACTTGTTCAAATTGGGTGCACATTCATAGTTTTTGTCAAGGTGGAATTTCACGGGATAACGCAAGCATAAAATATTTAAAACAGTGAGCAAATTTTGAGTTTTTGCTTCTTTTATCAGTCTCTTGAATCGAAAGCTTTTTAAAGACTCCCTTTCTCTCTGCCTTGATTTTAGGATTATAATGCTATATACTTACCCAGCATGTATTATTGGTGTTTAAAAATTACTTAAGGATTTTGAAGTTAAATTAAAATTGTCCTAATTGTTGGCTTTGCTAAAGTATTTTGTATTCTTTCACTGAGATTATCATTTAACAGTTTTGAGCATAACATTTTATTTTACTGTTGAAAAATTTAGCATTTTGTTTTTCCTGTGGAAATCCTTTTTCTTGATTCAACTGCTAATGGTTGTTAACTATCTTTGAAAGGTGTTAGTAAAATAGCACCTCTCATTCTAAAGGAAATGTTGATAGTTGGATGTGTTTGTTTTTTGTTGTCTTGTCTGGTTCTAGAGAAATCCACAATTTATAAGTATATTTAGAATAGATACATGTTGTCCTTGCAATAGATACATGTTATCTTTGCAATGGATTTCTTGATTTGTGAACCTGTTGAGTTTGTGTCTGTTGGACTCCAGCCAGGATAGTTATTTCAACACAGTGATATTTTCTCGTTGTTTTCTTTTAACATAGATGTGAGTTTACGGTCACATGAATTCTTAACAGTTATTTCTGGGTCAGAAGTGAATGGCTTTTTTGGTGTGAGATTTACAAGGAAACAACTTAGGTTTATTGCATACATTTATAAATAGTGATTCCCATTGTGCATTGCAGAGTGGTTTTAAATCTGACTATGGATTCAGTAAAGCTTTTTATGTTTTCCAAGACTTCCTAAGGTCTGTAAACTTTCCCTTGTCATCTAAAGCAGAGACTGGCAAACTGTGACCCATATGGCTAACTGGCTTGCAGCCTGTTTTTGTGTGAGGCCTGTGAGGTAGGAGTGGTGTTTACATTTTTAAAGGGTTGTAAAACTTAAAGAGATGAATGTGAGACAGAGATTCTGTGTCTGGCAAAGCCTAAAATACTTACTTCTGGACACTTTTCAGAAAATGTTTGCTGATTCTTGCTTTAAAGGAATAGAACTTTTTGGTCTTTATTCATGTGAACACAGAAATATTGGAATTTTAGAGCTAGATGGAACTTTGGAGATCATCTGGGTCGTTTAAAATGTGAATTTTATTATTCAGGTATGGTGAGGCCAGTAGATCAGGAGACAATTGCCATTGAAAAAATAGTTCGTTACTAAAAGATCCAAGAGGAAGGGCATACCATGCCACTGGGTGCCATGTGAGGAAGAACCAGGGCCAGTCAGGGGGCAGAGGAAAATGTGGACAAGAACTTTTACTGTGGTTTTCATGGGAAGGAACAGGCAAGACAGGGTAAGCAGGCTTAGGATTGGCTAGTTTGAATAATTTCAATGGGCTCTGGAGTGTAAGGGCTGTCCCTGGGTGTCTGGTACCTGGCTCTGGAGTGATCAGGGCAGGGGAATATTGGCCTGCAGTGTTAAGAGCTCAGTAACGGAGGTGGTTGTGGGTATGAGCTAAGGATTGGTTAGTTTGCATTGGAAAGATATGCCCGAAGGCTAGTTCTTTGCTGTCTCTAGGAATTAGCTGGGCCCGGGATAGGCATTCCTTCTAGATTAGTAAAACCCCAGGATATCAAAGCATCACAAATACAGAGTACAAAGATATTGTTAGTATACTGTGCCATTGTCTTCATTTTATACATTAGGAAAATGAGGCCCCAGCAGTAATTTGTGTGTCCTAAGCCCCACAATCAATGTGAAGCAAGATCAAATTTTGGGTTCACATCTCCTGGTTTATTCATGGTGCTTTGTACTACTCAGCAGAGTCCCTTTCTTTTAAAAATCCAAATGAATATCACAAAGAACTTAAAGTGTTTTAAGTTTCATTGTGTCACACTTATAAGAACAGTCCAATTTCTCAACACAGTCGTTCTCAGTGTCATGTGGATAAAAACAAAAGCATGATTCTCCTGTTTCCGCCTGCCATCATCATGAGATTCTGACCCCCACCTCTTTCTGCTTTTCACTACTGCGTTGCTCTTGGAACTATTTGATTCGTAGTTTGAGTCTATATCCTTGTTCAGTTCAGCCTCTTCTTTCTCCCACTGTCATAGATTTTGAGCCCTGTTCTGGCTTATGACTTAAACAACACTGATAGGGCTGATATCCCTCCTTTTTATGTTAATTATGATATAACTCGTCACTGTATCTCCTGCAGAAACAAACCCAGGTCTTTACATAAGCACTGATGAAATAAGTGTTAATTATCTCCATCCACTCCAGTATTGTTTTTCTGATAGGATTGTAGAAAAACACCAACCTAAATTCTTAGGAGTTTTGTCCCAGGTATTCTATTTTTTTTTACTTATTCATAAGGAAGATCAAAGGTAATTGATCTAAGCTTGTTTTGATGTTATTTATATTTTCAGGATGTAAAAAACTCTAGGTGGTAAATATTTCTGCTTATTTTCTTCCATTATCTTGCTTCCCATCATAGAGGTTTCCCCTTGTTTCATGATAATTCAGTAAACATTTCATTGCCTATCCATATCTTATGAGGCTCAGTTGGGTCCACTGAGACTGTTCATCTCTGCTGTCAGGGACAACTTAAACTTTTGAATCCATATTTTCATAGCAGCCCTATAGGCTGGGGGCTTGCTTATTATAGTTATTCTTCTCTGGCTTTCATGGGTTCAGTGATAGCTTTTCTCAAGGAGGGGTTAGCAGAGAGCTCTCCATGGTGATGTCTCTTTGGTCACATGGTGCCCAGGCTTGAGTCACTCAGTGCATGCTTATGTTGGAAGCTAGCAGTTAGTTGGTCTTTGGTCAGAACTGCCTGGGTATTTTGGGGGCTACAATCAACACTAATTCACAGTTCCTTCCTTCTGTATTTAAATAGAAATCTAGAGATCATCATTGTTAATGGAATGCTACCTAACATTTTCTCCCAAAGTATTTCCTTAGTTGCCCACAAGAAAATTCCTTTTTACTTTTCTGTCTCTTGAGGTCTTATAGTTTATTTATATCATAGAATCATGGAACTTCAGAACAGAATCAGGTTGGCATTTTTCTGCCTGCAAAGGAGTTGTCATTCATTCATTCATTCATTGAGTCACTTCACAACTAGTTATATTCACTGAGGTGGGCAAAACAAACAACGTCCTGGCATTAGATGGAGCTTATGATTGGATGGAGGTATATACTAGACAATAAACAAGGAAATCAACTTAAACAAACATACCTTCCACTAGTTAGAAGTGCCGTGGAGAACAGTGAAGCATATTAAGAGAATGGAGAGTTTTATGAGGTGGGGTGGGCTGTTTTTGAGAGGGTGGACAGAGACAGCCTCTCTTTGGGAAGGTGAAATGTAGGATTGAGGAGAGGGAGCTAATTGGCTGTGCTAGTGCTAGCTGCAGTATTTAAAAGCAAGCCCCCAATTTTCAGGGACTTTAAGAAGGAGAGAATAACAATATCCAGGGCTGCTGAGAGGGTCAGTATGATGAGGACAGAGGATTACCATTATTTTAGCATCAGAAGGTGTAACTTCCTTAAGGATAATTTTCAGTGCTGTGTGGGACAAAAGCCTGGTGCAGTGGATTGAGGAGGAGATAAAGAAGTAGAGACAGGGAACATCAATAACTCTAAAGGAGTTCTGCTGCAAAGGGGAGAGCTGAAAAAGAGAGAGCTAGAAGGAGATATGGGGGTCAAAGGAGGTTTTTCATTTGTTTTTAAGATGATAAATATTTTAGTGTTGTCTCTATGTTAATGAGAACAATCTAGTGCAGGGGGCTGATAAATTTTGGCTTTCCTGGCCAGATCCAGACCACCACCTGCTTTTATAAATAAAATATTGTTGGAACATAGCTGTCACAGGATCCTTAGGGTGTTGCTTTTGCAGCTGGAAACCTCTGTGGCTGCTGGCGCCTTCGCCTGAGTTTTGCTCTGGCCTGCTGGGCTCGTTCTGCCCACTCGGCTCAGCAGGCTGCACTCGGCTTGTGTTATCAGCCTGGATCCTATGCCTGCCAAAGGCCAGCCAGGCACATAGTGGCATGGGGTGTGTGAGTGAGCATGGGGTCTGTCCACTGCGCACAGTCAGGTGTGCCGTCTGCGGCAGGGTGGGCAGCTCCAAGTGCCAGCGCTGTGCGAGGCTGTGGCTGGATGAGGCATACCACAAGCAGCCTCCACTGTGGGCACTGGGGAACGTGGTAGCATCCAGAAGCTTGGAGGTGCTGGGAACCCCAGAGCCCCAAGGAGGGTATCACAGCCCTGGCTCAGGAAGCCCCTAGGTCTGGGTCTGGGCTCCTTGATGGGCTGCAGCTCTTCTCTCCTTCTTGTCTCTTGCAACATGGCGAGCAGGGGGTGTGTTTCAGCCCTGTTTGTGTTATAGCTCTTTCAGTCCTGGCATTTGGTGGGTCCTGAGTTCTTGTGCTGCATCCAGGAAGAATGAGGAATGTGGACAACTGTATATTGAGCAAGACGGAGAGGAGCTTCACTGAGTGACAGAATAGCTCCCAGGAGACCCAAAGTGGGTAGCTCCTCTCCACAGGCAGGTTGTCCCAGTGAGTCTCCAGCTCTCAGCAGAGAGGAGACCTGTGGTGGGTAGCTCCCTTCCACAGGCAGGTTGTCCCGAGAAGTTGAGTATACCCAAAGTGGGTAGCTCCTTCCCTCAGCTGGTAGTCCCAATGTCTGTCTGAGTCTGGCTGAGTCTGGGGTTTTCATGGGCTGAGAAGGAAGTTCATGCTGATCGGTTCATGGGTGGAAAAAGCACCATAAGTTCTCACTCTGGGCCATGTACTCTACCTGGAACTGGCAGCCGGTCACCAGGCTTCAGGCTATCCCTGGCTTGAAGGTGGAGTTTCACTGGGAATCCTCCCTCTTCTGCCCAGGAACCTGTCTGCCTTCTGCCATCAACATGCCATCCATGGTGGGCCAGGCTGTTTGTGCTGTGGGGCACCTGTAGGCCTGTGCCAAGCCACCCTCAGCACCCCCACCCAGCCTTCTTCCCATGCTCATTGGCACCCAAAGTCTGTAGGGGGCTGAGGCAGCAGGGGGCTGGTGTGTCTGCACCACCCTGAGCACGGACACCCCCAGCTGGGTTGCGACAGTGCCCAGGCTCGGCCACAACCGGAGGAGGTGCCAGGAGCAGGGGGAGGCCAGGGAGCAGGAGCAGGCACTTCTGAGCGTAGGGGTGGCAGGGGGTACAGGGGCTTTCCAGGCCTGGAGAGCACAGGGGTGCCAGGGTCTGGAGCTGTGGCCAGGCAGCTGCAGCTGCAGCTAGGTGCACAGGTACCCTGCCCTGCTGACTCAGTAGGGGGTGGGGCTCCTGCCTGTTCCTGCCTCTTGCTGGCCCCACAGAGTGTGCATCCTTGGCCACACCTCCCCCACTACAGCTGGCATCTTTGGAGAGGCCGCTCCAAATGGGCCGCTGCTGCCATCACAGCCATACCTATTCTGTCTGCGCCTGTATTTGCATTACAGTGGCAAAGTTGAGTAGTTGTGAAGGAGATTTTCTTCTGGCTTTTTTTTTTTTGTTTTGGATACAGGGTCTCACTCTGTCACCCAGGCTGGAGTGCAGTGGCGTAATCTCGGCTCACTGTAAACTCTGCATCCTGGGCTCAAACAACCCGCCTGCCTCAGCTTCCCAAGTAGGTGGGATTACAGGCATGTGCCACCATGCCCGGCTAATTTTTGTATTTTCAGTAGATGTGGGGTTTCACCATGTTGTCCAGGCTGGTCTCCTGGGCTCAAACGATCTGCCCGCCTTGGCCTCCTAAAGTGCTGGGATTATAGGTGTGAGCCACCATGCCTAGCCTACTTCTGGCTTTTTACTGCGTTTTCTGATGCTTTCTCTCCTGGAAAGGGTAAAACTGGTGATGTTGGAGAGCAAGTGGTGACCTGCTAGATTGATGTTCTTACCCACTTGGGGATTCCTACCCTCCTCCCTCAACATTCCCTAAAGGAGAAGAGAAGTGTCACAAGTGGAGAGGGGTAATTGAGCTGGAAAGTTAAGAAGTTGTGTTTTGGCTTTGAGATGCTTAAAAGTGAGATTTTTGAAATGGTGCTGACTGGGTGATTGAGGGTAGGCTAAGAAAACAGTTTGCAATTGATGAGGTCTATCAATTGGGCAGACAAGGTATTGAATTCTTATTTGGGTAATTAGAAACTATATTACATACTGCTATTTTTAGAATATTTATAAAAACAATGACTAACATTGTCCTAAGGCCTTGTTATTGTTTACATAATTCTATTTGGAGCTGTAGTCATTTGGTACTATCCTTTGTTTCTTACTTTAAGATAAAGAGTAAAAACTGGGGAGGGCAGCCAAGATGGCCGAATAGGAACAGCTCCGGTCTACAGCTCCCAGCGTGAGCGACACAGAAGACCGGTGATTTCTGCATTTCCATCTGAGGTACCGGGTTCATCTCACTAGGGAGTGCCAGACAGTGGGCGCAGGACAGTGGGAGCAGCGCACTTTGTGGGAGCTGAAGCAGGGCAAGGCATTGCCTCACTCGGGAAGCGCAAGGGGTCAGGGAGTTCCCTCTCCTAGTCAAAGAAAGGGGTGACAGACGGCACCTGGAAAATCGGGTCACTCCCACCAGAATACTGCGCTTTTCCGACGGGCTTAAAAAATGGCGCACCACGAGATTATATCCTGCACCTGGCTCGGAGGGTCCTACGCCCACGGAGTCTCGCTGATTGCTAGCACAGCAGTCTGAGATCAAACTGCAAGGCGGCAGCGAGGCTGGGGGAGGGGCGCCCGCCATTGCTCAGGCTTGCGTAGGTACACAAAGCAGCTGGGAAGCTCAAACTGGGTGGAGCCCACCACAGCTCAAGGAGGCCTGCCTGCCTCTGTAGGCTCCACCCCTGGGGGCAGGGCACAGACAAACAAAAAGACAGCAGTAACGTCTGCAGACTTAAATGTCCCTGTCTGACAGCTTTGAAGAGAGCAGTGGTTCTTCCAGCATGCAGCTGGAGATCTGAGAACGGGCAGACTGCCTCCTCAAGTGGGTCCCTGACCCCTGACCCCCAAGCAGCCTAACTGGGAGGCACCCCCGAGTAGGGGCAGACTGACACCTCACACGGCCCAGTACTCCTCTGAGACAAAACTTCCAGAGGAATGATCAGACAGCAGCATTTGTGGTTCGCGAAAATCCGCTGTTCTGCAGCCACCGCTGCTGATACCCAGGCAAACAGGGTCTGGAGTGGACCTCTAGCAAACTCCAACAGACCTGCAGCTGAGGGTCCTGTCTGTTAGAAGGAAAACTAACAAACAGGAAGGACATCCACACCAAAAACCCATCTGTACATCACCATCATCAAAGACCAAAAGTAGATAAAACCACAAAGATGGGGAAAAAACAGAGCAGAAAAACTGGAAACTCTAAAAAGCAGAGTGCCTCTCCTCCTCCAAAGGAATGCAGTTCCTCACCAGCAACGGAACAAAGCTGGATGGAGAATGACTTTGACGAGTTGAGAGAAGAAGGCTTCAGACGATCAAACTACTCCGAGCTACAGGAGAAAATTCAAACCCAAGGCAAAGAAGTTACAAACTTTAAAAAAAATTTAGACGAATGTATAACTAGAATAACCAATACAGAGAAGTGCTTAAAGGAGCTGATGGAGCTGAAAGCCAAGGCTCGAGAACTACATGAAGAATGCAGAAGCCTCAGGAGCCGATGCGATCAACTGGAAGAAAGGGTATCAGTGATGGAAGATGAAATGAATGAAATGAAGCGAGAAGGGAAGTTTAGAGAAAAATGAATAAAAAGAAATGAACAAAGCCTCCAAGAAATATGGGACTATGTGAAAAGACCAAATCTGTATCTGATTGGTGTACCTGAAAGTGACGGGGAGAACGGAACCAAGTTGGAAAACACTCTTCAGGATATTATCCAGGAGAACTTCCCTAATCTAGCAAGGCAGGCCAACATTCAGATTCAGGAAATACAGAGAACGCCACAAAGATACTCCTTGAGAAGAGCAACTCCAAGACACATAATTGTCAGATTCACCATAGTTGAAATGAAGGAAAAAATGTTAAGGGCAGCCATAGAGAAAGGTCGGGTTACCCACAAAGGGAAGCCCATCAGACTAACAGCGGATCTCTCAGCAGAAACTGTACAAGCCAGAAGAGAGTGGGAGCCAATATTCAACATTCTTAAAGAAAAGAATTTTCAACCCAGAATCTCATATCCAGCCAAACTAAGCTTCATAAGTGAAGGAGAAATAAAACACTTTACAGACAAGCAAATGCTGACAGGTTTTGTCACCACCAGGCCTGCCCTAAAAGAGCTCCTGAAGGAAGCACTAAACATGGAAAGGAACAACCAGTACCAGTCGCTGCAAAATCATGCCAAAGTGTAAAGATCATTGAGACTAGGAAGAAACTGCATCAACTAACGAGCAAAATAACCAGCTAACATCATAATGACAGGATCAAATTCACACATAACAATATTAACTTTAAATGTAAATGGACTAAATGCCCCAATTAAAAGACACAGACTGGCAGATTGGATAAAGAGTCAAGACCCATCAGTGTGCTGTATTCAGGAGACCCATCTCATGTGCAGAGACACACATAGGCTCAAAATAAAAGGATGGAGGAAGATCTACCAGGCAAATGGAAAACAAAAAAAGGCAGGGGTTGCAATCCTAGTCTCTGATAAAACAGACTTTAAACCAACAAAGATCAAAAGAGACCAGGAAGGCCATTACATAATGGTAAAGGGATCAATTCAACAAGAAGAGCTAACTATCCTAAATATATATGCACCTAATAAAGGAGCACCCAGATTCATAAAGCAAGTCCTGAGTGACCTACAAAGAGACTTAGACTCCCACACAATAATAATGGGAGACTTTGACACCCTACTGTCAACATTAGACAGATCAACAAGACAGAAAGTTAACAAGGATACCCAGGAATTGAACTCAGCTCTGCACCAAGCAGACCTAATAGACATCTACAGAACTCTCCACCCCAAATCAACAGAATATACATTTTTTTCAGCACCACACCACACCTATTCCAAAATTGACCACATACTTGGAAGTAAAGCTCTCCTCAGCAAATGTAAAAGAACAGAAATTATAACAAACTGTCTCTCAGACCACAGTGCAATCAAACTAGAACTGAGGATTAAGAAACTCACTGAAAACCACTCCACTACATGGAACTGAACAACCTGCTCCTGAATGACTACTGGGTACATAACGAAACAAAGGCAGAAATAAAGATGTTCTTTGAAACCAACGAGAACAAAGACACAACATACCAGAATCTCTGGGACACATTCAAAGCAGTGTGTAGAGGGAAATTTATAGTAATAAATGCCCACAAGAGAAAGCAGGAAAGATCCAATATTGACACCCTAACATCACAATTAAAAGAACTAGAAAAGCAAGAGCAAACACATTCAAAAGCTAGCAGAAGGCAAGAAATAACTAAAATCAGAGCAGAACTGAAGGAAATACGACACAAAAAACCCTTCAAAAAATTAATGAATCCAGGAGCTGGTTTTTTGAAAAGATCAACAAAATTGATAGACCCCTGGCAAGACTAATAAAGAAAAAAAGAGAGAAGAATCAAATAGATGCAATAAAAAATGATAAAGGGGATATCACCACCGATCCCACAGAAATACAAACTACCATCAGAGAATACTACAAACACCTCTACACAAATAAACTAGAAAATCTAGAAGAAATGGATAAATTCCTCGACACATACACCCTCCCAAGACTAAACCAGGAAGAAGTTGAATCTCTGAATAGACCAGTAACAGTATCTGAAATTGTGGCAATAATCAATAGCTTACCAACCAAAAAGAGTCCAGGACCAGATGGATTCACAGCCGAATTCTACCAGAGGTACAAGGAGGAACTGGTACCATTCCTTCTGAAACTATTCCAATCAATAGAAAAAGAGGGAATCCTCCCTAACTCATTTTATGAGGCCAGCATCATCCTGATACCAAAGCCGGGCAGAGACACAACCAAAAAAGAGAATTTTAGACCAATATCCCTGATGAACACTGATGCAAAAATCCTCAATAAAATACTGGCAAACCGAATCCAGCAGCACATCCAAAAGCTTATCCACCATGATCAAGTGGGCTTCATCCCTGGGATGCAAGGCTGGTTCAATATACACAAATCAATAAATGTAATCCAACATATAAACAGAACCAAAGAGAAAAACCACATGATTATCTCAATAGATGCAGAAAAGGCCTTTGACAAAATTCAACAACCCTTCATGCTAAAAACTCTCAATAAATTAGGTATTGATGGGACATATCTCAAAATAATAAGAGCTATCTATGACAAACCCACAGCCAATATCATACTGAATGGGCAAAAACTGGAAGCATTCCCTTTGAAAACTGGCACAAGACAGGGATGCCCTCTCTCACCACTCCTATTCAACATAGTGTTGGAAGTTCTGGCCAGGACAATTAGGCAGGAGAAGGAAATAAAGGGTATTCAATTAGGAAAAAAGGAAGTCAAATTGTCCCTGTTTGCAGACGACATGATTGTGTATCTAGAAAGCCCCATTGTCTCAGCCCAAAATCTCCTTAAGCTGATAAGCAACTTCAGCAAAGTCTCAGGATACAAAATCAATATACAACAATCACAAGCATTCTTATACACCAATAACAGACAAACAGAGAGCCAAATCATGAGTGAACTCCCATTCACAATTGCTTCAAAGAGAATAAAATACCTAGGAATCCAACTTACAAGGGATGTGAAGGACCTCTTCAAGGAGAACTACAAACCACTGCTCAATGAAATAAAAGAGGATACAAACAAATGGAAGAACATTCCATGCTGATGGGTAGGAAGTATCAATATTGTGAAAATGGCCATACTGCCCAAGGTAATTTATAGATTCAATGCCATCCCCATCAAGCTACCAATGACTTTCTTCACAGAACTGGAAAAAACTGCTTTCAAGTTCATATGGAACCAAAAAAGAGCCTGCATCACCGAGTCAATCCTAAGCCAAAAGAACAAAGCAGGAGGCATCACGCTACCTGACTTCAAACTATACTACAAGGCTACAGTAACCAAAACAGCACGGTACTGGTACCAAAACAGAGATATAGATCAATGGAACAGAACAGAGCCCTCAGAAATAATGCCGCATATCTTCAACTATCTGATCTTTGACAAACCTGAGAAAAGGAAGCAATGGGGAAAGGATTTCCTATTTAATAAATGGTGCTGGGAAAACTGGCTAGCCATATGTAGAAAGTTGACACTGGTTCCCTTCCTTACACCTTATACAAAAATTAATTCAAGATGGATTAAAGACTTAAACGTTACACCTAAAACCATAAAAACCGTAGAAGAAAACCTAGGCATTACCATTCAGGACATAGGCATGGGCAAGGACTTCATGTCTAAAACACCAAAAGCAATGGCAACAAAAGCCAAAATTGACAAATGGGATCTAATTAAACTAAAGGGCTTCTGCACAGCAAAAGAAACTACCGTCAGAGTGAACAGGCAACCTACAAAATGGGAGAAAATTTTCACAACCTACTCATCTGACAAAGGGCTAATATCCAGAATCTACAATGAACTCAAAGAAATGTACAAGAAAAAAACAAACAACCCCATCAAAAACTGGGCGAAGGATATGAACAGACACTTCTCAAAAGGAGACATTTATGCAGCCAACAGACACATGAAAAAATGCTCATCATCACTGGCCATCAGAGAAATGCAAATCAAAACCACAATGAGATACCATCTCACACCAGTTAGAATGGCGATCATTAAAAAGTGAGGAAAACAACAGGTGCTGGAGAGGAGGTGGAGAAATAGGAACACTTTTACACTGTTGGTGGGACTGTAAACCAGTTCAACCATTGTGGAAGTCAGTGTGGTGATTCTTCAGGGATCTAGAACTAGAAATACCATTTGACCCAGCCATCCCATTACTGGGTATATACCCAAAGGACTATAAATCATGCTGCTATAAAGACACATGCACACGTATGTTTATTGCGGCACTGTTCACAATAGCGAAGACTTAGAACTGATCCAAATGTCCAACAATGGTAGAGTGGATTAAGAAAATGTGGCACATATACACCATGGAATACTGTGCAGCCATAAAAAATGATGAGTTCATGTCCTTTATAGGGACATGGATGAAATTGGAAATCATCATTCTCAGTAAACTATGGCAAGGACAAAAAACCAAACACTGCATGTTCTCACTCATAGGTGGGAATTGAACAATGAGAACACATGGACGCAGGAAGGGGAACATCACTCTCTGGGGACTGTTGTGGGGTGGGGGGAGTAGGGAGGGATAGCATTAGGAGATATACCTAATGCTAAATGACGAGTTAATAGGTGGAGTACACCAGCATAGCACATGTATACATAAGTAACAAACCTGCACGTTGTGCACATGTACCCTAAAACTTAAAGTATTAAAAAAAAAGAGTAAAAACTGTTACGTATTGGCTGGGCGCAGTGGGTCACGCCTGTAATCCTGGCACTTTGGGAGACCTAGGCAGGCGGATCACCTGAGGTCAGGGGTTCGAGACCAGCCTGACCAACATGAAGAAACCTCGTCTCTACTGAAATACAAAATTAGCTAGACGTGGTTGCATGTGCCTGTAATTCCAGCTACTTGGGAGGCTGAGGCACGAGAACCACTTGAACCTGGGAGGCAGAGGTTGCAGTGAGCCGAGATCACGCCATTGCACTCCAGCCTGGGCAGCAAGAGTGAAACTCCGTCTCAAAGAAAAAAAAAAAAAAAAAGGTATTAATTGTCATTTTTATGAGCTCCTTTTTTTTTTTACTTGCATTTTAAACAATTATTAGGAAACAATTACTCTTCTTGGGTAATTGGGAAAAATATGTTACATTTCCTCTCATAAATCGTTTAAGCATGTTCAGAATTTACTAAATTTACTTCTTTCACATTGGACAGAAGGACTCATGTGCTTGAGTCTCTCAGCCTGCTCTGGAACTCTTCCTAGAAGTGGGTTTTAGCCTGGGTCTTCCAGGCTTTAGGGCCAGTGGTTTTTATGATTTAAAAGTTTTAGCTGTGACTACAGACACATTATCATTCTGCCTGGCTAATTTTTTTATTCTTTGTAGTGATGGGGTCTCCCTGTGTTGCCCAGAGTGGTCTTGAACTCCTGGGCTCAAGTGATCCTCCCACCTTGGCCTCCCAAAGTGCTGGGATTGCAGTCATGAGCCACCGTGCCTGGCCTGGTGTAGCTGTTTCTTGAAGCAAACTATTCCACTTGATTCTCATAGTTTTTGTTTTCTTTTTATTACCTCGACAACTTAGCCCCTACTAATATGCACAGTCTTATCTTCAGAAGCAAAAGGATTTTATCTTCTGAATGGCTTAGATGTTGTATATCATAATTGACATCTAGAAAGTGCGTGTTCCATCTTCCACTGCTGCACCAGGGCTGATTTGCCCAGAGAAGATTTCACAGGAGGGTGACAATGGATATTGCGTATTCAGCCTGTCTCCTCTCAGGCAACACATCAACTGGAAAAGACTTATAGTGGCTGCAGTCTGAATCTCAGGCTGGGGTCCGGGTCAAACTCAATCAAACTCAATGCATCTTATAACTGCAGTGATTAGAGCAAAGCCTTGACCATTTGCTTTGAACTGTATTGATGAGTACAGGATTCAAACAATGAATGGGAATGAAGGATAGCTTTAGATTGAAGACGTGGGAAATAGATGGCAAGCTCTGAGAGTTTCCAGGGACAAAGTGTTCTTGATCTTCACTCCAGTGAATTGACATCTTCCCACATTTTGAAAATTTTTATTTTTACCATTGAAAAGAAACAATTCAATTAAAAAAAAGTTGTATATATCGTTGGATTATTCTTCCATTTTCTTTTTGAATTTCTGCTTAAAGTATGTCTCTTCCAGGTTCCTTGCTACATATATATCTAGAATATTGATTAAGTCTCAGGTACACTATGCCTTTGGCCATATTTTATTATCTGCTCATTATTTGCTCAGACTTAAGCATTTTGAGACAAAATTTGGGGCAGTGATTCTCCGTGTGTTTCCTATTGAAGCTTGACAGAGCTCAGGAGGGGTGGGCAGTGGATGTAGCCCACAGGTCTCTGGTCACCTCCTCAGTTCTTTGCTAGGAAGAGCCTTAGGCTTCCTGGGACACTAGGCAAAACGAGAGACCATTCTACATTTTGGAGATGGCATGAAAGCATTGTGAAAACAGTAGCACTCAAATACCGTAATTATTTTATTGCAGGAGGTCTTGCCTGGGCTCTCGGAGTGTGATGGGAAATACAGAGCTAGGCTCCAAGCAGGCAGTGGCAGGCTTCTCAATTCACCAGTCATTTTTAAGAAATGACTCACTTGTATAGAGCTACCTTTCTAAGGAGTTTCTACAGTTTTGTATGTATGAGTGCATAGTGAGCTTTCCTAGCTGGTCCAGTGGGGGAGGTGAGAGCTGTAAGTGGCCTGTATGCCAATAGAAATGGGACCTCCCTTTTGTATTTGCTAGGATAAGGACGCCATTGCCCATGAGAAGATGATGATTATGTTAACACAGGTAAAACACAAACCATCACAAGCTTTTATGGGCCATCAGCCATCCAATCATTGATATCCTTCAGTGGATGCTTGGTTTCTCATACACACACAGGTCTGGCCTCAAAGCAGTCAGTCTACTTTGTCATTTACCATAATACACAGTTTTCTATTTCTTTACCCAGTCATCACGGGTATCATTATCTTTAGTATTTAAAGGAAATAGTCTTCAAATTACTAATTTTTTGAAAAAATATCAGATTAACATCTTAATTTTACTGGTTTATTAAATAATGTATAAAAATGACAGTTGCCTTAGACCAGAATATTAATGGTGGGCAATATATACTTTGACAGATACATGTATTTATTTATTGAGATGAAGTCTAGCTCTGTTACCTGGGCTGAAGTGCAGTGGCGCAATCTTGGCTCACTGCAACCTCCGCCTCCCAGGTTTAAGTGATTCTCCTGTCTCAGCCTCCCGAGTAGCTGGGATTACAGGCATGCACCACCACGGTCGGCTAATTTTTGTATTTTTAGTAGAGATGGGGTTTCACCATGTTATCCAGGCTGGTCTTGAACTCCTGACCTCAGGTGATCTGCCTGACTCGGCCTCCCAAAGTGCTGGGATTACTTACAGGTGTGAGCCACCACACCCAGCCATTTGTTTATTTTTTGTTTGACTAGAGTTTACAACTTTTCTTTTTGTCTTCTTTGATTTTTGGCTCATCAGTTAATGTCTTTCAGGTATTTTGAACTTGTCAAACATTTATTTTGCTTCTGATGATGTTAAAATATGCAGCACTGAAGACAGTGGCAACAAGAAACATTGTCTTGCAACAAAGAATTTCTATGGTGTCGTTATATTTTGTGTTTATGTGGTTATTGGGTCTCTCTGTGTATCATACAGCTAATTCAGAAACTGTTATTTGCTTTTTGCAGCCAGTAAAACCATCAGCCGATCGTATCCTAATTATGGAAATAATAGCTACACAAAATCTCCTGATGTGATCAGTGTACTTTCTGAAGTATGAGAGAGTCAGTTCCTTGATAATATTCATATATGACCTGTTTTGGCATCATGGTTCTGTTTTAATATTTACGCTTTCTTTTGGTAATTTGCCAAGGTCATTTACCATTTTAGAATTAACAAAGTACTTGTGCTGTGAATTCTTTTTTGATGTTATCCTCCCTTAATAAAGTAATATATTATTGTGAATATATTGCATACACCTGCCACTGGCAGTCTACTAAGTAGAACAAAGTGAAGCCTGACTGAATGGAATGTAACATGAGGCATAAAACATGGACTCTTAATTCATCTGTCATGTCTCAACAGCAAATCTTCTTCCATATCAAGAGTCTTCTGATTTTATGTGATGACAGTTATTGGCCAGAATACATTACAGTGTTTGCTATACAAATGTGGCTTTAGCCATGTAATTAAAGAGCACAAGAGCTGCCAGACTAAACTGTGGTCTGAGTTTCAAATGATGTTCTGTGACTTGCTTGGTACATTTTTGTTACCATCTCAAACATGTGGTATCACTTAACATTCTTTGCCATAGCATATTACATAGGAAAAAAAACCCAGGCGGTGAAGTCATGGTTCTTCAGTGATGCCAATGCCTCGGTGACACTTTGTATCTTCAGAATACACCATTTTTTGGGGTGCATTTCTTCTCTCTGCTTGGAGTCACAAATTCTGCTCAACTCAGTTGTTTACAGGATAAACAAATGGTCAGTTTTTAGGGACAGGTTTTATTAGATATCTTGAAATTCCGACAGAGAGTAGGCCCAAAGGGAAAATGGACAAAGGACATGAAAAGGCTGTTCCTAACAATAAACATGAAAAAGAATCACTCTCATTAATAATAAAAGAAAATTTCATTAAGATAACAACATACTTTTAAAAAACAAATTGGTAGAGTTTGTTTTTTGATAGCATTTATTGAGAGTCTAGTGAAATATGTACTTTCGTACACCACTGTTTGCCTTTTAAATTGGTATATCTTTGAACTCAAAGCAAAGGCAACAAAAAGCAAAAATGGACAAATGGGATTCCATCAACCTAGAAAACTTCTGCACAGCCAAGGAAACAATAGAGTGAAGAGACAACTTACAGAATGGGAGAAAATATTTGTAAACCGTACATCAGATAAGGAGTTAATATCCAACATATATAAGGAACTCAAACAACTCAATAGTAGGAAACCAACCCAATGATAAAATGGGCAAAGGATCTGAATGGACGTTTCTCAAAAGAAGATACCCAGATAACCAACAGATCTATGAAGAAATGCTCACTATTACTAATCATCAGGGAAATGCAGATTAAAACCACAATAAGCAATCACTTCACACCTGTTAGAATGGCTATGATCCGAAAAATGAAAGATAACAAGGATTGGAGAAGGTGTGGAGAAAAGGGAACTCTTACACATTGTTGACAGGAATGGAAATTGTTACAGCCATTATGGAAAACAGTATAGAGGTTCCTCAAAAAATAAAACTATAGCTGCCATGTGTTCCAGCAATGCCACTACCGAATATTTATCCAAAGAGATTGAAATCACTATCTGAAAGAGATATTGCACTCCCATGTTCATTTCAGCATTATTCACAATAGCCAAAATATGGAATCAACCTATGTCCATCAATAGATGAACGAATAAAGAAAATGTGGTAGATATACACAATAGAATACTATTCAGCCTTTAAAAAACAAAGAAATCCTGTCATTGGTGGCAATATGGATGGACCTGGAGGATGTTATATTAAGTCAAATAAATGAGGCACAAAAAGACAAATACTGCATCATCTCACTTATATGTGGAATGTAAAAATTTTGACTCAGAAGTAGAGAGGAGACTGGTGGTTACTGAGGGGTGAGGGAAGGAGGTAGAAGGTTGGGGAGATGCTGGTCAAAAGCTAAAAAATTTCAGTTAGGATGTAATGTCCAACCTGGTGACTACAGTTAATAGCAATGTGTTATATTTTTGAAAATTGGTGAGAGTAGATTTTAAGTATTCTCACCACAAGAAGATAATGTATATATTAATGAGCTTGATTTAGCCATTCCATGATGTATACATATTTCCAAACATTTTGACATGTTGTACACAATATATACATTTTAAAATTAAGATTAATAAATAAAGGTTCAGATTAGTGTGTCCTTTGTGATGAGCACACTGTCGGTATATATTAAACATCTTTAATTCCACTGTTCGAAATATATCCTAAGAAAATAGTAAAAGATATTCACAAATGTTTATATACAAGAATGCCCATTAAAATGTTATTTAAAACAATCACACTCTGGGGACTGTTGTGGGGTGGGGGGACGGGGGAGGGATAGCATTAGGAGATATACCTAATGCTAAATGACGAGTTAATGGGTGCAGCGCACCAGCATGGCACATGTATACATATGTAACTAACCTGCACATTGTGCACATGTACCCTAAAACTTAAAGTATAATAATAATTAAAAAAAAACAACAATAAAAATAGTAAAGACAGCTATTTTCTCCTCTCTTCTCTTCTTTTCTTTTTTTTTTTTCTTTTGAGACAGAGTCTTGCTCTGTCGACCAGGCTAGAGTGCAGTGGCAGGATCATGGCTCGCTGCAGCCCTAACCTCCCAGCCTCAAGTGATCTTCTTGCCTCAGCCTCCCAAGTAGCTGGGACTTCAGGTGTGTGACACCATACCACCTAATTTTTGTATTTTTTGTAAAGATGAGGTTTTGCCATATTGTCCAGGCTGGTCTTGAACTCTTGGACTCAAGTAATCCACCCACCTCGGCCTCCCAAAGTGCTAAGATTACAGGCATGAGCCACCATACCCAGCCTAGTATCTGTTTACAGAGAGAGCTTTTTATGGACCAGACAGTGTTGGGTGCTTCACAGGCACAACCTTATTTCCTCCTCACTGTCACCAAGTGAAGTAGGCAATGGTAATACATGTAATGAAAGTAACACTCAGAGTTTATGTAAGTTGTCCAAGAATACAAAGGTAGAGAATTGAGTGAGGACTGGAACCCATTTGAAGTGATTTCTAAACCCCACTAGGTTTATTTTGTTTTCTATGTCTAGGAGTACAAAATGGAAAATGGGACCATCCAGGGAGGACTAGTTAAATAAATGACAGGTTGGAAAACTATGTATCTAAAAGAACTAATATTTTAAATGAATATTTAATGACATGGGAAAATGTTTTTCATATATTTTTAAAAACCCAATAGAATTTGAACTTTTTATCCCACCCTCTATCCTGATATAATATATCTAACAGGCTCTTAAGTAGATATCCGTTCTAATCTCAGATCAATTACTTACTGTTTGAGTGACTGTGAGCAAATTGCTTCACCAATCTATGGCTCAGTGTCTTCCTCTGTAAAATGGGCTTAACCTCATAGAGTTGTTAGACATTAATTGAAGCATGGATGTCCAAGCACATAGCACAGTGTGACACAGTACATGCTCACTAAATGGTAGCTATTATTTTAGAGATTGGGTTGATCCTATGTCATGTATAAGTAGAAAAAAGACAAGTAACATATCAAAATTCATTGATTTGTTTGGAATAGTGGGATTATATTTTATTTGTAATACTTTTCTATTTTTTCTAAATGTAACATTAATATATTTATGCTTCTATATATTTATATAAATATGTACAGTTGTAAAATTATAATTCTTAATAATTATTTTTTATAATTAGGACAAAACTATAGATTTGTTAAGTACACACACAAACACAGGCTAGTGGTTCTTATGAAACTTTAGTGTGAATGATAATCCATAATCCATCTTAAGGTTTTCATGGTCAACAAGATAGCCTTTTCAATGGTTTCAAGTTGATCATCAGTCTTATTTTTGTTTCTTAGTAACTTTAGTATCATGACTGATCTTAGAAATAGTTCCTAAAATAGGCTTGGGGATACTAAAGTTACTCAGTATATGCAATAAAAGTACCATTTATAGGAAATGGGACTGAACCTAAAATCTAAACAGCAAGGAGAATGAGTACAGTGTTAACCCATTCTTTTTGACCGTTTTCATTTCACCTTCATTGATGTTCTTTCGCCTTCCATCATGTGAACATTGACACCACCAGGTTTTATTTTTCCTACTAACTCTTTAAGTGTTGATATGCCCTGAGATTCCTCCCTCAGTTTCTTCTTATTCTTCTTTTCCAACTTTGCTCTTCTCATCCAACCATGCCTTTCTTCTCTGTACATTGCAGCAGTTAAGGTTATAAACTCTGAAACAAATTAGCTGTGTTAACCTGATGTGGTGAGTTCTTGTGATTTTATGTTGCCTTGACATCCATGTTTAACATAAATTTAACTTTTCCTACAGAAATCAAGGCTCAGTCACCCTTGACTCAGTTTCCATGTCTACACTATACCCAAATCGCTCAAGCCAGTGGTCAGAGATGAGAACCTAGAGGCATCTCTCCTGCACAGCAGAATGGGCTCCCGCTTTCTTGCTGCTTCCTCTAAAGGGACCATGCAGACATTTGCCTGTTAACTTGAAGTGACCCACACGCTATTCTCTTACATATTCTGCTACTTGCCATGCATTTTTCTTTTTCTCTGTCTGACGCCATTCCTGCCTCATGTGACCCAGGGATGGAGGGCTGCCCTCCTGACTCATTATACTCTTTTTGCCCAGGATTTGTAAATAAAACTCTTTCATCTTGTTTCCTGTTGTGGTGGTATACTGAGTTTGTACCTTCCAGATGAAGAACTAGGGGATGCTTCAGGCAGAGTTTTCCCCAGGATGCCTGGGAGAACACAATGTCAGGCTTTCAGAGCCAGAGTGATGGTCAGGCAATCATAAACTGGACATGGGTCAGGCAAAAGCACAAGGACATCTGCCAGTATAAGCAAGTTCCCCATGTGAAGGATCCCTGGTAATGGGTCAGAAAATTAGGCATTAGGCCATCCATCAGGTGAAAGAAGGATCCCATGAAAGGCACAGTGTAAACAGCCACATCCCAGCTCCCTTTCATTTCCTGTTAGGGCAGGGTTGCTAGTGACTCTGGCATTGGAACATCGATTTTGCTGGGGGCTTTCAGACCACCTGGGTAAGGTTCAGTGCTGGTTTTCTCTATTGTAGAATGAGGTTAATGATTACTACCTCACAATAAGGATCAAGTGAGAGGTAAAGCACTAAGCACTGTGCATCATTGCACAGGGAGCTCCAATAAATGACATTGCGTGGTGTGCTGTTTATTGCTCTGGGTGGTGGTCATGGTAGTGGCCTCCTGGTAGGACAAATCAAGTACCTGGAGTCATTTTAGATCTCTTCTCTCCCCTCATGCATTCAGTAGATTATCAAGTCCTATTGATATGACTTCATTAATACCCCTCATCATTGCTTTTTCCTATGGATTCCTGCTTTGATCATCTTGAGATTAGTCATAATCTGCTAACTGATCATGTTCCCAGTCCTTTTTCATTTTCAGTTTATTCTCCTTATTGTTGCCTGAATAATCTTTGCAAAAAATATAAATCTGGTAATGACATTGCTTTACTTAATCTTACCCTTAATGGCACCCAGCCACCTAGAGAAAGGCTCAGCAGACCTTTTCTGTAAATGGCTAGATAGTAAATATTTTAGGTCTTGCAGGCCATATGGTCTCTGTTACAGCTACTTAACTCTGCCATTATATCATAAAAGCAAACGCAGACAGTATGTAAATGAATACACAGGATTGTGTTCCAAAAAAATTTTACTAATGGAAACTGAAAGTTGAATTTCATACAGTTTTCATATATCATGAAATATTCTTCTCTTGATTGATTCAACCATTGAAAAAACCCACTAACTGTTCTTGGCTTATGGACTATGCAGATATAGGTGGCTGGCAGAGTTGGCCTGTGGGCTGTAGTTTGCCAGCCCTGACCTGAAGGATAATGTTCAAGCAACTCAGCATGACTAACATGATCTTCTGTGATCCGCTGTGGCTTACTCTTCTAGCTGGATCTTTCGCTACCTTCTTTTTGCCTCTTCCACTTATGTAATAAACTTGCTCTTTCACTTAAACCTTTCACTGCCTTTAATGGACCATCCTGTTTTTGGCTGTCATGCTATTCCCTTTGCCCAGGACACACTTCATCTCTATCTGTCCACCCTTCCCTCATGCACTTTCCTCCACCTGCTGTCAGAAACCTGCTCCTTTGCTGAACCTCAGGCTGTACCTACCCTGTAGAATGTGGACTCTGATCTCAGCTGCCTAGGTTTATATCTCAGCCCCTCTACTTGCCACTTAACTGGTTTACTTAAGTTCTTTCTGCCTTAATTTGTCATCTGAAGTAAAAAGATAGTAATGTCTAACTATGAGGTTTTTTTTTTTTTGTTAGAATCCAGTGAGTTAGCACATACACAGCATTTGTTACTGTGAGTTCCAGATAGTAACTGTGCAATCCATGTTTACTGCTATTGTCATTACGGGTTGCACTGTGAAGCCTTTGCAATGCTCTTCAGATAGAAAAGGTTATTCTGTTGTCTCTTCTGTACCTTTATAGATCTTTATCTTTATGTATCTATCCTAGCATTTATGATACCTGCTGCAGCTCTCATTTGGCCCAGTGCATGGCACATAAAAGATACCAAACAAATGTTTATCAAGTGAATGAAGACAGAGAAATCTTAGCTTGATTTCAGGTAGATTCCAAAACAAAAAATCTCTTGTATTCCATTAAGTTATCCGGACCAAAAAAATTACTTTAGGAAGTAAGCATGTTCATTAAATGGAAAATAATTTTAAAAAATATGGAATTTCTGTTTTTTATTATTGGGTTCGTATCTGTAGGAGAAAAGAAATGCTGGTACAATCTAGTGGTCCTCTTAGGGACTTGCCTTTGGTCTCTGCCACTGTCAATTCTTTCTCTTACTGATACTGCCTCTTCCTGTTCACTCCCCTTCCAGCTCTGGTGCAAGGATGTGCATACCTCTTACATGTGAGCATGCTTCTTACATGTGGTTTCAAACTGGGAAGCTGTGGGATGAATACAGAATCATGTCTTGGGGAGAATGCCAAAGATTCAAAGAATCATTAGAGAAAGGTGGCCAGCTGCAGAGCGACGAGGTTCAGAGAGAGAGTGAAGGCTCAGGACCCAGAAAGAATGGAAAGCACTGGACAGAATGTGGGAGTGAGAGGCCAAAGCCCTCAGCTGGGTAGCAGGAGCATTACAGACCATGATGTAGGGACAATTTCTGTAAAGCCCTGGACGAAACAGGACTTGCAACCACATCATAGCAACCAGGGTTGGAAGGAGTCAGAGGTGCTTCATAAAAGAGTCCTGCACACTGTATGGAGATCCTCTTGACTTCAGCTTTCCCATTTCTCCTTTTGTACTCTCTGTGGTCGAAACACTCCATGGCCTTATTTTGTTCAACAGGTGTGGAATATTACAGGGCTGTATTGGACATCTATTGAGGTAATAAGCGTAAAAGCATTTTACAAAGTTATTAATGCAACATAAAACTATTCTGTTTACATTTAAAATCTCCATTCTGTTGGAAAGTATTTGCTTTTAACCTAACCGAAATTGTCTTACTAAAATCCATATTTTTAATGCTGGTAGGCAATGGATGATTTCCCTAAATCAGAGATATATTACTAGTATAGCTGCATATTCTAACTTAATTCTAAGACTTTCTCAGTAAATTAAGCAGTCAGTCTTATAACTTGGATTAAGTTATTTTTATGTACGTTTTGTGCCTACTGGAGTATAAACTTCCTTAGGGAAAAAGTGTAATGCCTGTCCATAAGGAGGACGCTGTAGATCTTTGTAAAATGACCAGTTCTAAAATTTATTTATACTAACGCTGCTGAAATCTCAACCCTGCCCTCCTTTTTTTGTGTGAAAAATAACTCCCTATATATGTACCTTAATGGTAAGACTTCTGCCAGTTCTCTGCAGAATTAGCAAGAATTGCAGGCAAGGACAAACATTTCAAGGAGAAATGTTACAAATGTTATTGCTTTCAGGGTAGACATAATATCATACCATAGCTAAACATTATGAAACTGTTTCTTTTTGAAGCTGATTCACTGATCCAAAAATTTGAAATTCAGCTTGATGTTAGAGATTTTCAATTTAAAATGACTGTCCTTGGTCCACTAGACTGGTAAATTATGTAAACAAAAAAGCTTTGCTTGTAGTCTAGTGCTCAGTCAGTTGCTGAGCAAATATGAAATCTAAACCTCCTAACTAGCATTGTTGGAAAGCTAAACAAAGCCCAGCTTCTATTTTGGTTGGTACACAAGTAGGCCAGAAGCAGCTTATTCAGAGAACCAAATATGCATTACTTTTAAGAAAGGAGGCAGGGGGAAGGGAACTGGGACCAGGGGCAAGTTCAGGCTCTGGTAGGCAGAACTGCAAGATGGCCTTGGAGATTTCCAGCCACTGGTGTATCTATAGCAACTTCCAGTCAATTAAACACTAATTTAGTGCTGTTATGAGGGATATTGCAGATGTAATTAAGGTTGCAAATTAATTGACCTTAAAATATGGAGATTATCTGGGTGGGCCTGACCAATCGTAAGAGCCCTTTAAATGTGGTCTAGAGGTCAGAGACAGAGAAGTCCAAGAGATTTGAGGCTTGAGAAGGATTTGACGTGGAGGAGATCCTCACTCGCTGGTTTAGAGAAGGAGAGGGCCACATAGTAAGGGATATGTGTGGCTCTACGAGCTGAGAGAGATCCCTAGCTGGCAGCAGCAAGGAAATGAGGACTTCAGCCCTACAACTGCAAGGAACTGAATTCTGCCAACAATAAGAATGAGTTTGAAAATGTATCCCCTCCACCTCCAGCCTCCAGACTGGAACTTAGCCCAGCTGACACAATGATTCCAGCTTTGTGGTATCCTGATATGGTTAACCAGCCATGCTGAGATGGACTTCTGACCTGTAGGACATTGGAGTAATAAATGGGTATTGCCTTAAGCTGCTGTGTTTGTGGGAATTTGTTAGGCAGCAATAGAAAACTAATACAAGGCCCCATTGGTGTCCCCCTTAGATTGCTGTAGTGGCCTATTAACAGGTCTCTCTGGTTACGTAGGCTAGTGCTACTCAGACTGGTGAGGAAGCAGTTATTTATTTATTTGAGACATTGAGCAGTGGCATTATCACAACTTACTGACTTACTGCAACTTTGACCTCCCTGGGCTCAGGTGATCCTTCTACCTCAGCCTCCTGAGTAGCTGGAATTACAGGCACCCACCACTATGCCTGGCTAATTTTTATATTTTTTTTTTTTATAGAGACCAGCTTTCTCCATGTTGCCCAGGCTGGTCTCAAACTCTTGGTGCTCAAGTGATCTGCCCACCTTGGCCTCCCACAGAGCTGGGATTATAGGCATGTGCCACCATGCCCGGCCAAAGAAGCAGTTTTAAATTTTTCTATTTGTTGCAGACTCATACTGTAGTAGATCATATTTTACAAAAATGTCTGTAATAATATTTCCCATTCCACATGCCCTTCTGTATTGTAGCTGTGCCATACTCCATCAAGAGGTGGAGTCTAGTTGCACTCCATTTGAATCTGGACTGCCTTCATAACTTGCGCATGCCCACTTAGAACACAATAGAAGTGATGTTATGACCTCCAAAGCTAGGTTAGAAAAGCCATCTGGTTCTCTTTGAAAGCCTACTCCTTGGATGCTTCCTCTTGGCACCCAGCTATCATGCAGAGAGAGGCCAAGCTGCATGGAGAATGCAGCTATAGATAGATGCTCCAGTCAACAGAATTAACTGAGCCTTCCTTGAATCATCCCAGCCCAGGTGCCAGAAGTGTGAGTGAGGAAACCTTCAGGTGATCACAACCCCCAGCTGTTCCCATCCCCCACAGCTTTTGTGTCTTCCCAGCTGAGGCCGCAAACGTCATGAAACAAAGACGAGTCATCCCCACTGTGTCCTGCCGAAATTCATGACCCACAGAATCCATGAACTTCATAAAATGGTTATTGCTTTATGCCACTAAGTTTGGAGTAGCTAGTTATGCAGCAAAAGGTAACTAGAATATTTTTATAAAACACTATAAAGATGAAATTCAAAAAAGACACACAGAATATAGGCACATAGAAAGTGTCACTTCTATGCCACTTTCTTGGTCAAAGCAGTCCTAAACTTGCCCAGACTCACAGGAAGAAGACACAAATCCTTCTTCTGAGAGAAGAGTCAAATAAATCAGAAGTCATTTTAAAAAACTTTTAAACTTTCAAATAATTTTAACCTTACAGAGTCAAAGTAGTACAAAGAATTTCCATGTGTCCTTCAGCCAGCTTTCACTACTGTTAACATGTTACATAGCCATAGAACGGTTATCAGTTATCAAAATCAGGAAATTAACATTGATATACTGTTAACCGAACTGTAGATCATACTCCAGTTTCACCCATTTTCCAAATGATATACTTTTTCTGGTTCAGGATTTAATCTAGGATCCCACATTACATTTGTTTCTCTGTCTCCTTAGTCTGGAACAGTTCCTCAGCCTTTTCTTGTCTTTCATAACCATAATACGTTTTTGTGTACTAGGTAGTTACTTTGTAAGATGCTCCTCCATTTAAGTTTGTCTCATGTTTTTCCGTGATTAGATTGAGGTCATGCATTTTTGGCAAGAATAACATGGAAGTGATGCTGTCCCCTCCTCAGTGCATCATATTGGAGTGTATACCATGGGGATATGTCTTATGACTGTGATGTGAAACTTGCTCCCTTTGTGGTGTTTGCCAGGTTTCTCAGATATTATAAATATCTTATGGGGAGGTACTGTATAAATATCCTGTTTTTTATATTTTGGTGGGGCCATATTTTAAAACTGTCACAAACTTCAAATTTTTTATCATTAGAGCCAACAGAAATAAACTATCTTTCAGATTTCTGTAGTTATCTTGTCATAGACCTGTGACAGTTTGTAGGCTATCTTTGGTCTGCAGACCACACTTTGATTAGCAGTGTTCTAGACTACACTTCTTCCAGTTCATTTTTCCTGTTACAATCAGATTGGAGTTTGAACAGCAAATCTTTCTGTGTCATTTTGCTTAAAATCCTTGGAGGTTACCCATAACCTTTAGGGTAAAACCCAAACTTCTTAGCATTTCTTAGCATGGCATTCAAGGCTGTATCATTCTGTTCCATCTGTCACACTGACCTTTTACAATGCTCTCCTGGTAGTCCTCCTTACCCTCCTCTATCATGCCTGCCCCTCCCCACATCATAACTGGCCAATTCCTACAGTCTTTCAAGGCTCACGAACACCTCCTCTCACCAGTTTGGGCTAGCTAGGTTTTCTTCGTGTCTGTTCCCTTACATCCTGTGCATACATGCATATCTGTGATAGAAGTTAATTCTACTTTTATATTTGTTTGTATATCTGTTAACCTGCTTGACTCTGGAGTTTGAGGGCATGGACTTTGAGTTTATAAGATTAGCCCATGGCAAGAGCTCAGTAATGTTAATCATAAATTAAATACTGAGGTAGTTGCCAGAAAATCAAGTCTGTATCTAAGTAAGAACTGCATGACAAGGTGGATGCCCGAAAGGCAGAGAGCGTAGATGGAGATGGAGAATCCCTTTGGAGATGACAGTGTGTCCTTGCCGGATGGGGGCTCAAAGACAGTGGATCGGGACTTACGCCTCTTGTGTCATGTGTCTTGCTTCATGTGTCTTGTCTACTCTTTTTATGAGTAGATAAAAACTGCAAGCAAGCAAGGGAACCTAAGATGGGGCAGCTCCATGGACCAACCCAGTGATCTCCATGGACCTGTCCTGTCATTCTTGGGGGAGCTAATGTCTTTGTCCTGCAAAACTGAGCTCAGAACAGGCAGAGATTCTTTCCCTTCTTTATTTACCTCTCCCTTCTCCTGATTCCTCTGCTCTCTGAATAAATAGGACTAAGGTGGGGGTAGGACAGAGAGACTTCATTCCTCTTAATTTTATTCTTGGTTCATCCCTACATGGCCTTGAGGCAAAAGTTTTAAATTTTAAAGGAAAGTTAGAAAATGTTAATAATGGTGTGAAATTTAGCTCAACCCACTTCTTTATCTCTCTGAATATAAATGAAGTTAATCTCCTTATTCCTACTTTTCCTAAATTGCAGCTAGTAATTTATATCTAAATATTATCAGATTTACTTTATATTTAGCCTTTGTTTTCAATGGACATGAAATACAGCTGTGCCAGAAAATAGAGAAAGACCAAGGCCACCATATTCCATAGGCCACTGCTATGACTTTACCTCAAAAGCAAGTGTACTTTTGGCCAGGCACGGTGGCTCACGCTTATAATCCCAGCACTTTGGGAGGCCGAGGCGGGTGGATCACGAGGTTAGGAGATCGAGACCATCCTGGCTAACATGGTGAAACCCCGTCTCTACTAAAAGTACAAAAAAAATTAGCCGGACATGGTGGCGGGCGCCTGTAGTCCTAGCTACTCGGGTGGCTGAGGCAGGAGAATGGCGTGAACCTGGGAGCAGAGCTTGCAGTGAGCTGAGATTGCACCACTGCACTCCAGCCTGGGTGACAGCGAGACTCCATCTCAAAAAAAAAAAAAAAAGCAATGTACTTTCTTACATGAAAAGTATTGACTCATTCTTTAAAATTTGCATTTTAATTATTTAATAATCACAGCACATTTCGTGACAAAATCATCTTAAGATCAATTTGTGCTTGTAGCTTCCATAGATGAATCTCAACTAAATAATTATCCTAATTTAAATACATAGTTTATTTAAATAGTACTTAAATACATGACATTTAAAATATTGTGTATTGACACTTGGACTATCAAACATTAATAAATAAATTAAAAAATTTTTTTCCAACATTAAGGGTAACATTTAGGCACAGGAGGGAGTTAGAGTGTGAAATAATGTATTCTTAAAGGTTTTATAAGTTTATTCCAAACTTGGTAATTGAAACACTACCTCCTTTGTTAATAATATAAACCACAGATATACAAAATGGTTTCTGAACCCAAACTTTGTAAGGGAGACTCTTTAACCACATGAAATCTGTCATTAAATGGCACCATTAAAGGGGAAACAAACCAACCAACCCCAGGGTAAAGTGGTCCTGGAAACTGCATTTGGGAAGTGCAGTATATTTTAGTTTACCCATCTGGAGTTACTTAAACACAGTGTGCTTAGCTGGCTAAAATAAAGGAAGAAAAGTATACTGTAACATAGTTAATATGTTGAGAATCCTTTGAAGATCAGGGATAATTTCAAAAAGGTCTTCATTTTGTTTGGTTTTGGTTTAAAAAAATTTAGGTAAATCTCTTCACTTCTTGTCCTTCAGGCTGTCTGTAAATTATAGACATTTCATTCTTTTCGGATTTAGGATATAACAAGCCCATGTAGTAAAATGACAGATGATTTAAGTCATGGTGGCCAACCACAACAGAGCCCGATAGTGAAAGAGTCTTTTGCGTCATTATTTTGTAAGATCTGCTATGATTATTGAATACTTGTTGTCTGATAATTCTCTAGAAATCAGCAACATCAACTTTTTTTTAGTGGTAAGCCTCATCCTCCTTGGCCTCTGCGAGGCCTGAGCACCGGAGCTGCTCTCCAAAGTACTGCATCAAATGAAGGGTGCGCTGAGTAGATGGCGCCACAATTCAGAGTGCGTTGGGGTTTGATCACTGTCTCCACCAATTGGACCTATGCTTGTGTGAGAGGAGATGCTTAAAGTAAGGAGACCGATTTTTTAAAACCACATTTTAAGAAATTACTGAAAAACAAATGAATATTGTCTCTAAAGCAATCTCCTTAAATCCGTGGATATCAGATATTTTATCAAAAGTTATTCAATTCATGGTTTAAAAAAAGAAAAGCATTTTATGCTACCACTCAGTACATTACAGAACAATACTATGTGCGATACCCTTGGATATTCTGTTTTATTCTTTTAATTAAAAACATGCTAGTCAATACCCAGTAAACTAATCTCATTGTCCACTTATTGATCACCTCTCACAATTTAGAAAAATTCTGCCTTAGAGAATTGTAAATGTTTGCAGCCACCCTTCTTCCTTACTTGCTTTAACATCCGTCAGTTGAAATTACATTTGAGGTGAGTTCATAAGTCATAGAAAACAATACAGAAATTTTTTTTAACAGAGATTTACCAAAGACTGAAGCACTTAGAAAGTCCACCTTGATGTCTAGCAAAAAAAAATGTGATTACTATTCATTGCAGCATTATCCATAATAGACAAGATACGGAAACAACCTAAATGACCATCACTGGATGAATGAATAGAAAAAAACGCAGCATATGTACACAATGGAATACTCATCAGCCTTAAAGAAACAAGAAACTCTCATTTGTGACGATAAGGATGAATTATCGTCCTTATTAGGCTTACCACTAAAAAAAATTACTTAGCTTGAATTCTCTTTTTATTTACCCAGGAATAATTTATGTAGCTCTAAATTATGTTTAGAGCTACATAATTAGTCAAATCAAAGAACAAAAATTGTTATGGTATATTGTATTCAGAAGAATGTGAGAATGGAATGTTAGCATTTATAGTCAAAGAGACTTAAGAGGTAATCCAGGCCAGCGTGCGCATCATGCAGAGACCTGGAGAAGAACTAGCTGCAGTTCTTAAGAAGGAATTAAGATAGTTTTGTGTGGTTATGCCTTAGTAGAATATAGTTTAAAATACTACCGTTAAAGGGCCGGTGTTGTGAGTGATGCTCTGGATCGTCCAGGTACCATTGGAGAAGTCGTGGCATTTATGTTCTTCTGACTTCATTGGCCTCGGTTGCCAGGGCAACTCTGAGATGTATGTGCTTGGTTATTTTAGCCCAGGCCTAATAATAGTATAAATCATAAAAACTTAAGAAGACAAATTTAAGGAAACTGAGGAAGAAGACTGTGAATGTGCTGGACCTGAAGTTGTTCGTGGTTTTGAGTCTGCGTGTTTCCTGTCCTACCTAGGCATGATGTAAGGAGCCTCAGCCTCACGTCTGAGCCTTCATTCAATTGCCCAGGAAAGAGAGAAAATATAAATGAACTTAACATTTGTCACCAAAACTGTTTTCATTGAAACTACAGAAGTGATCACATCTATTTATTTTTAAACTTTATCAACATTATTTATTTAAAATTATTTTTAACTGACAATTATAATTGTGTATTTGTGGCATAGAGTGTAATGTTATGATATGTGTATACTTTGTGGAGTGAGTAAATCAGACTAATTAACATGTCCATCACTTCACGTGCTATCATTTCTTTGTGGTGGGAACACTTAAAATCTACTCTTGTAATAATTTTGAAATACATACTACATTATTATTAACTAACTTATTTCTCCTGTCTAACTTAACTTTATACCCTTTGATTTATATCTTTCCTTTTCTTGTCCACACCTTCCCACTCTGGTAACCACCATTCTACCCTCTACTTCTCTTGAGTTTGACTTTTTTAGAGTCTACATATAAGTGAAATCATGTAGTATTTGTTTTTCTGTGCTTGACTTATTTCACTTAGGATAATTCATCCTTATCGTCACAAATGAGAGTTTCTTGTTTCTTTAAGGCTGATGAGTATTCCATTGTGTACATATGCTGCATTTTTTTCTATTCATTCACCCAGTGATGGTCATTTAGGTTGTTTCCGTATCTTGTCTATTATGGATAATGCTGCAATGAATAGTAATCACATTTTTTTTTGCTAGACATCAAGGTGGACTTTCTAAGTGCTTCAGTCTTTGGTAAATCTCTGTATCTCATTTTCCCTTCACAAGTGTATGTAAACACTGTGATCTTTTTTGGTTAGTCTCATAGGCTTTTCTTTTATCAGTGTGTTATCATAGACAAATAAGCTCCTGGGAGGCCAGATGTTAAAATTCCCTTTCTATCCGTGAGCATTTAATCATACTATTAAATATCTGGTGTTTTCTGTGAAATAGACAAACTACACATACCTACAACATATGTAACATGTTTGTCTTAAGCTCTGTAATTTATCATACAAAATTCTAATAAAATAGTAGAAAGGAATATGATTTTATTTTATTTTTTGGACTGAAGCGGTAACCTGCAAACTGTAGCTTTCCCCTAAACATGGCCCACTGCCTGTTGTTTATAAATAAAGTTTTATTGGAACACACCCATGTTTATTTCTTTCTATATTCTTTATGGCTGCTTTTACTTTATGATGACAGAGTTGAGTAGTTGCTATAGAGACAATGTGGCCTGCAAAGCCTGAAATATTTGGGCTATTAGCTATTTGGACTGTTACGGAAAAAATCTTTTCTGAACCCTGGACTAAAAGAGTATTTAGAGATTCAAATATTGTTCTTTTTTAAATTTTAAGTTTGGGGGTACATGTGCAGAACATGCAAGTTTGTTACATAGGTATACATGTACCATGGTGGTTTGCTACACCTATCAACCCATCATCTCGGTTTTAAGCTCTGCATGCATTAGGTATTTGTCCTAATGTTCTCCCTCCCCTTTCCCTCCACTCCCCGACAGGCCCTGGTGTATGATGTTCCCCTCCTTGTGTCCATGTGTGTGTTCTCATTGTTTAACTTCCATTTATGAGTGAGAACATGCAGCGTTTAGTTTTCTGTTCCTGTGTTAGTTTGCTGAGAATGATGGTTTCCAGCTTCATGTCCCTGCAAAGGACACAAACTCCTACTTTTCATGGCTGCATAGCATTCCATGGTGTATATGAGCCACATTTTCTTTATCCAGTCTATCATTGATGGGCATTTGGGTTGGTTTCAAGTCTTTACTATTGTAAATAGTGCTGCAGTAAACATATATGTGCATGTGTCTTTATAGCAGAATGATATACAATCCTTTGGGTATATACCCAAATGGGTCAAATGGTATTTCTGGTTCTAGATCCTTGAGGAATTGCCACACTGTCTTTCTCAATGGTTGAAGTAATTTACACTCCCACCAACAGTGTAAAAGTGTTCCTATTTCTCCACAGCCTTGCCAGTATCTGGTGTTTCCTGACTTTTTAATAATTGCCATTCCAACTGGCTTGAGATGGTATCTCATTGTGATTTTGATTTGCATTTCTCTAAGGACCAGTGATGATGGCTCTTTTTCATATGTTTGTTGGCCACGTAAATGTCTTCTTTTGAGAAGTGTCTGTTCATACCCTTCGCCTTTTCTGTTGGGGTTGTTTGTTTTTTTCTTGTAAATTTGTTTAAGTTCTTTGTAGATTCTGGCTGTTAGACCTATGTCACACAGAAAAATTGCAAAAATTTTCTCCCGTTCTGTTGGTTGCCTTTTCACTCTGATGGTAGTTTCTTTTGCTTTGCAGAGCTCTTTAGTTTGATTAGATCCCATTTGTCAATTTTGGCTTTTGTTGCCATTGCTTTTGGTGTTTTAGTCATTAAGTCTTTGCCCATGCCTATGTCCTGAATGGTATTGCCTGGATTTTCTTCTAGGATTTTTATGGTTTTGGGTTTTACATGTAACTATATAGTCCATCTCGAGTTAATTTTTGTATAAAGTGTAAGGAAGGGGTTCAGTTTCAGTTTTCTGCATGTGGCTAACCAGTTTTCCAAGCACCATTTATTAAATAGGGAATCCTTTCCCCATTTTTGTTTTTGTCAGGTTTGTTGAAGATCAGATGGTTGTAGATGGGTGATGTTATTTCTGAGGTCTCTGTTCTGTTCCATTGGTTTATATATCTGTTTTGGTACCAGCACCATGCTGTTTTGGTTACTGAAGCCTTTTAGTATAGTTTGAAGTCAGATAGCATGATGCCTCCAGCTTTGTTCTTTTTGCTTAGGATTGTCTTGGCTCTACAGGCTCTTTTTTGGTTCCATATGACATTTAAAATGGTTTTTTCTAATTCCATGAAGAAAGTCAATGGTAGCTTGATAGGAATAATATTGAATCTATAAGTTACTTTGGGCAGTATGGCCATTTTCATGATATTGATTCTTCCTATCCATGAGCATGGAATGATTTTCCATTTGTTTGTGTCCTCTCTTATTTTCTTGAGCAGTGGTTTGTAGTTCTCCTTGAAGAGGTCCTTCACATCCCTTGTAAGTTGTATTTCTAAGTATTTTATTCTCTTTGTAGCAATTGTGAATGAGAGTTCATTCATGATTTGGCTCTCTGCTTGTCTTTGTTAGTGTATGGGAATGCTTGTGACTTTTGCACATTAATTTTATATCCTGAGACTTTGCTGAAGTTGCTATCAGCTTAAGGAACTTTTGGGCTGAGATGATGGGGTTTTCTAAATATATAAAAATGTCATCTGCAAACAGAGACAATTTGACTTCCTCTCTTCCTATTTGAATACCCTTTATTTCTTTCTCTTGCCTGATTGCCCCAGCCAGAACTTCCAATACTATGTTGAATAGGAGTGGTGAGAGAGGGCATCCTTGTCTTGTGCCGGTTTTCAAAGGGAATGCTTCCAGCTTTTACCCATTCAATATTATATTGGCTATAGGTTTGTCATACATAGCGCTTATTATTTTGACATATGTTCCATCAATACCTAGTTTATTGAGAGTTTTTAGCATGAAGGGATGTTGAATCTTACTGAAGGCCTTTTCTGCATCTATTGAGATAATCATGTGGTTTTGTCATTTGTTATTTTTATATGATGGATTACATTTATTGATTTGCGTATGTTGAACCAGCCTTGCATCCCAGGGATGAAGCCAACTTGATCGTGGTGGATAAGCTTTTTGATGTGCTGCTGGGTTCAGTTTGCCAGTATTTTATTGAGGATTTTCACATTGATGTTCATCAGGGATATTGACCTGAAATTTTTTGTTGTTGTTTTTGTTGTGTCTCTGCCAGGTTTTGGTATCAGGATGATGCTAGCCTCATAAAATGAGTTAGGGAGAAGTCCTTTTTCTGTTGTTTGAAATGGTTCCAGAAGGAATGGTACCAGCTCCTCTTTGTACCTCTGGTAGAATTCGGCTGTGAATTTGTCTGGTCCTGGGCTCTTTTTGGCCAGTAGGTTATTAAATACTCCCTCAATTTCAGATCTTCTTATTGGTCTATTCAGGGATTCGAGTTCTTCATGGTTTAGTCTTGGGAGGGTGTATGTGCGCAGGAATTTATCCATTTCTTCTAGATTTTCTAGTTTATTTGCATAGAGGTTTTTGTAGTATTCTCTGATGGTAGTTTGTATTTCTGTGAGATCAGTGGTGATGTCCCTTGTATCATTTTTTGTTGTGTCTATTTGATTCTTCTCTCTTTTTATTAGTCTAGCTAGTGTTCCATCTGTTTTGTTAATCTTTTCTAAAAACCAGCTCCTGGATTAATTGATTATTTTGAAGGGTTTTTCGTGTCTCCATCTCTTTCAGTTCTGCTCTGATCTTAGTTATTTCTTGTCATCTCCTAGCTTTTGAATTTGTTTGCTCATGCTTCTCTAGTTTTTTTTAATTATGATGTTAGGGTGTCGATTTTAGATCTTTCCCGTTTTTTTCCTGTGGGCATTTGCTGCTATAAATTTCCCTGTAAGCACTGCTTTAGCTGTGTCCCAGAGATTCTGGTACATTGTGTCTTTGTTTTCATTGGTCTCAAATAACTTTATTTCTGCCTTCATTTCGTTATTTACCCAGTAGTCGTTCAGGAGCAGGTTGTTCAGTTTCCATGTAGTTATGTGGTTTTGAGTGAATTTCTTAATCCTGAATTTGATTGCACTGTGGTCTGAGATACTGTTTGTTATGATTTCCATTCTTTTGCATTTGCTGAGGAGTGTTTACTTCTAATTATGTGGTCAATTTTAAAATACATGCTATGTGGCACTGAGAAGAATGTATAGTCTGTTGATTTGTGGTGGAGAGTTCTGTAGGTATCTATTAGGTCCACTTGGTCCAGAGCTGAGTTCAAGTCCTGAATATCCTTGTTAATTTTTTGTCTCGTTGGTCTAATATTGACAGTGGGGTGTTAAAGTCTCCCACTATTATTATTGGGAGTCTGCTTCTCTTTGTAGGTCTCTAAGAACTTGTTTTATGAATCTGGGTCCTCCTGTATTGGGTGCATATATATTTAGCACAGGTAGCTCTTCTTGTTGCATTGATCCCTTTACCATTATGTAATGCCCTTCTTTGTCTTTTTTGATCTTTGTTGGTTTAAAGTCTATTTTAAATCCTAGAGACTAGGATTGCAACCCCTGCTTTTTTTTTTCTTTTCATTTGCTTGGTAAATATTCCTCCATCCCTTTATTTTGAGGCCATGTTTGTCTTTGCATGTGAGATGGGTCTCCTGAATACAGCACCCCAATGGGTCTTGACTCTTTATCTAATTTGCCAGTCAGTGTTTTTTAATTGGGGCATTGAACCCTTTTACATTTAAGGTTAATATTGTTCCGTGTGAATTTGATCCTGTCATCATGATGCTAGCTGGTTATTTTGCATATTAGTTGATGCAATTTCTTCATAGTGTCATTGGTCTTTATATTTTGGTGTGTTTTTGCAGTGGATGGTACCAGTTTTTCCTTTCCATATTTAGTGCTTCCTTCAGGAGCTCCTGTAAAGCAGGCCTGGTAGTGACAAAATCCCTCAGCATTTGCTCATCTGGAAAGGATTTTATTTCTCCTTCACTTATGGAGCTTAGTTTGGCTGCATATGAAATTCTGGGTTGAAAATTCTTTTCTTTAAGAATGTTGAATGTTGGCCCCCACGCTCTTGTGGCTTATAGTATTTCTGCAGAGAGATCTGCTGTTAGTCTGATGGGCTTCTCTTTGTTGGTAACCTGACCTTTCTCTCTGGCTGCCTTTAACATTTTTTCCTTCATTTCAACCTTGGAGAATCTGACGATTATGTTTCTTGGAGTTGTTCTTCTTGAGGAGTATCTTAGTTGTGTTCTCTGTAGTTCCTGAATTTGAATGTTGGCCTATCTTGCTATGGTGGGGAAGTTCTCCTGGATAATATCCTGAAATATGTTTTTTAACTTTGTTCCATTCTCCCTATCACTTTCAGGTATACCAGTCAATCATAGGTTTGGTCTTTTCACATAGTCCCATATTTCTTGGAGGCTTTGTTCGTTCCTTTTCCTTCTTTTTTCTCTAATCTTTTCTTCATGCCTTATTTCAGTAAATTGATCTTCCATCTCTGATATACTTTCTTCCACTTGATCTATTCAGCTATTGATAGTTGTGTATGCTTCTCAAAGTTCTCGTGCTATGTTTTTCAGCTCCATCAGGTCATTTATGTTTCTCTGTAAACTGCTTATTCTAGTAAGCAGTTCCTGTAACCTTTTATTAAGGTTCTTAACTTCCTTGCATTGGGTTAGAACATGCTGCTTTAGTTCAGAGGAGTTTGTTATCACCCGCCTTCTGAAGCCTACTTCTGTTAATTTGTAAAACTTATTCCCCATCCAGTTTTGTGCCCTTGCTGGAGAGGAGTTGCAATCATTTGGAGGAGAAGAGGCATTCTGGATTTTGAAATTTTCAGCATTTTTGTGCTGACTTTCCCTCATCTTCATGGATTTATCTGCCTTTGATCTTTGAGGCTGATGACCTTTGGATGGGGTTTTTGTGTGGGGGTTTTTTATGTTGATGTTGATGTTGTTGTTTTCTGTTTGTTAGTTTTTCTTCAAACAGTCAGGCCCCTCTTCTGCAGGTCTACTGCAGTTTGCTGGAGGTCCATTCCAGACCCTGTTTGCCTGAGTATCACCAGTGGAGGCTGCAGAACAGCAAAGATTGCTGCCTGCTTATTCCTCAGGAAGCTTTGTCCCAGAGGGGCACCGGCCTGATGCCAGCCAGAGCTCTCCTGTATGAGGTGTCTGTCGACCCCTGTTGGGAGGTTTCTCCCAGTCAGGAGGCTTGGGGTCAGGGACCCACTTGAGGAGGCAGCCTGTCCCTTAGCAGAGCTGGTGCTCTGTGCTGGGAGAATCCGTCTTGTCAAGAGCATCAGCTGTTCTCTTCAGAGCTGGCAGGCAGGAACAATGAAATCTGCTGAATCTGTACCCACAGCTGCCCCTTCCCCCAGGTGGTCTGTCCCAGGGAGATTGGGGTTTTGTCTGTAAGCCCCTGACTTGGGCTGCTACCTTTCCTCAGAGATGCCCTGCCCAGTGAGGAGGAATCTAGAGAAGCAGTCTGGCCACAGCTGCTTTGCCCTGCCCAGGCTTCTTAGCACTGTCAGGGAAAAACCACCTACTAAAGTCTCAGTAATGGCAGATTCCCCTCCGCTACCATGCTAGATCATCCCAGGTCAATTTCAGACTGCTGTGCTGGCAGTGAGAATTTCAAGCCAATGGTTCTTAGCTTGCTGGGCTCCGTGGGAGTGGGACCCATGGAGCAAGACCACTTGACTCCCTGGCTTCAGCCCCCTTCCCTGGGGAGTGAACGGTTCTGTCTAGATGGGGTTCCAGGTGCTGCCGGGTATGAAAAAACACTCCTGCCGCTACTGCTAGCTTGGTGAATGCCCAAACAGCCTCCCAGTTTTGTGCTTGAAACCCAGGACCTTGGTGGCATAGGCACACGAGGGAATCTCCTGATCTGCAGATTGAAAAAACCGTGGGAAAAGCGTAGTAACCAGGCCGGGTAGCACAGTTCCTCACAGCTTTCCTTGGCTTGGGGGAGGGAGGTCCCCAGCCCCTTGCACTTCCCTGGTGAGACGACGCCCCACCCTGCTTCTGCTATCCCTCTGTGGGTTGGACCCAATGCCTAATCAGTCCCAGTGAGATGAACTGGGTACCTCAGTTGGAAATGCAGAAATACCTGCCTTCTGTGTTGGTCTTGCTGGGAGCTGCAGACCAGAGCTGTTTCTATTCGGCCATCTTGGCTCCTCCCTGGATGTCACAAATATTGTTCTTAATCAAAACTGTGACTTTTGAATGATTTAGGTTTTACCAAGGCTGTTTTCTCTTTTATGAAAAAATTCTTCTATTACAATTGATGACAATTGATAACTAGATTTGATGAGGGAAAGTGCCTAGTGTCTACCAGGTGACTGGTGTCTAATTTTTTAAAAATTAAAGATCATTAAAATTCGTCATACATTAATTTCTTAATGCTGAGAATACAGCTAATGAGGCATATATAAAAAATTACAGTGTGTCATTTTATGATTTAACAGTGCAGAGAGGGTTGGTTACATTATTTCAGCTGATATTACCTATTTTGATAGTCTTTATAATAATTGTGAATTTTAATCCCTGCATTAAAAATACCAATCTATTTGAGATTTCACTTGCTACACATCAATAAGGCTAAGCTAGTAGTCACTTGCAAAAAAGCCTCATATTTCTTGTTTAATAGCTATAGTTCAGTGTCTTAAAAAGAATGTTTAATCATACTATTTCTTATCATGGAATTTTAGCAATAAAACATGGGGGCTGAGGTGCTTTATATCAGGCCATCAGTGCAAATATGAATTGTCTAATGTGCACTTATCTTTTTTTCTTGTTTTTAACAGACTTGTGGAAGAAAGCAAACTGATCCCACTCATTTTTGAAGTAACTCTGGTAAGAACGGAAATGTGCATTTGAAATTCAAATGAAATTTTGAAATTGTAAAGATTTTAACCATGTTGTAGGACTGTGTTGCTAACCCTGCCTCTGCCCTGAAGGATTGTACGTCCATCATCATCACACTTAACCTCCTTGGACTTCAGCTTTCTTATCTGTAAAGGAATGTCAAGCTCTGAAATTAATGTAGGGCTACTGGCTAATGACTGCCTTCTTTCCACAAATCTTTTAAATTTTAGCTCTGTTGTATTACACAATATATATTTTCTAACATAGATTACTTTATCTGAGGTTGGTTTGTATAGAGAGGGAAGAATGATTATTGCTACACTTCAGTATGAATTTTCTGGTGCTCAGTATGAAGCCCTCTGACTTTGCAGTTACTGGGTACCAGATCAGCAGTTTTATGCCTGTGGTCAGAAAGTTGTCTTCTTCAGAACCTAGAATAGCTTAGCTTCCATACACCATTTTTCTGTTCACAGAATACAATTTAATTTAAAACCATCTGTTAAAGAAAATCTTTCCTCTGTGTTTCCTGTGTGTAGAGAATAAAATGGGATGCGGGGTCAACTTTCTTTGTCTCTGATAAATCCCTAATTATACCAAATACAGATCTATGAATTAGGCTGAAAATTGAGTTGGTGCTTGCAAGCAAGTGCCCATTGCCAAAGAAAGGTTCTCTTGTGCCTGGGTATGTTATTCTCTTTTCCTAAGTACTTTACCTCCCTAGCTCAGTAACAGCACAAGGCACAACAGAGGGGGCACTTCCCCAGCCAGATCAGCCTAACTTACCTTGGTCATCAGTAGGGGAGCATTAGTTGTGATAGTCTGATAACCCTACACATGGGAAATCAACTTTCCTTAATCATCTTAAAATATTATTCTATAAATCGTTTGTGTGCTGTCATGTCCATATGGTGAAAACTTTATTTTTCTTAGCTGCAGATTTTCAGGAGAGCTGAGTGGATTTGCTGAGTTATTTGCATTGCATGGGGAGTAGAGATGGGAATGGGTACTATTCCCAAAGCATGTTCAGGTGACAAGATGACAGCTGCCTTGATGAGTGGAACATGTAAGGTTAGAGCCTGGACTGAGTTGCTTAGAATTGTAAGAAGGGATTTTAGAGAAAGGATAGAGAAGAGGCAGATGAAGAAATGATCAAGAGCTCTCTAACGGAGATGTTAAAGTTTCACCAGTGATATGGATATGTGTATCTTTCCATCTTCAGTCAGATACACATTATTTGCCAATTTGTTATGGAGTTGAATTTGTTTTGGAGGACAGTGGTCTAGCAAACTGTTGAGTTTGGCCACATGGTTGGGTATGGGGCAAGAGCCAAAGCTGTCCAAACTCAGCTACATTTGAATGCATTTGGAAAGAGACTCATTTTATAGACATCCTAGAGCTAGAATGGGCCTTAGTGGGTCTACATGATTCATCCTTTTGCTGTGGCAAGGAGGGCTTCTAACCCGTTAGATGAATATAACTCCTTTTGTGGCTGACAGAAAGTTCTTACCTTATCTTCGGCAATCATCTCAAGGTCTAAAATCTCAACATAAAAAATTCCTTTTGGTAGGTTACCAGAACACCTTCATACTTGATTAATCTCTGTATACTGAGCACCCAACAAGTGTTTTGTATTTTACAAACCATTTTTAAATAATTGATTAATGCCACAATTTGAACCCTTGTCATTGTGGTATAGCTGTCATAGGGAATGGGTAGAAGGTGACATCTACCCTCCAGATCACCATTTTAGCCAGTCCTGAGCCCTATGGCCTTGCAGGCATGTCAGGGATGGTGCTCTTTTTCTAACCAGAACAGTTCCATGCTCAGATTTCTTATAGGACATTATCTGAAAAAGAGATCTTGCTGCTAAAAAGTAAAGAAGAAAAGTGTTGGAAATCACTGCTTTATGAGGCAGGAGTTTGATGTCCTTGAAGAACATTATTAAATTCCTATTCTACTTTTGTCTTTTTTGAGTTGAATAATCTCAACTTTTTTCTGTGTAGAAATACATTTTTCAATCGATGAAATATCTTTGTAGCAGTTATCCTGTGAACTATTACTTATCCTTTTAAAATTGTTGTCACCAAGCTAGATATAATACAGTGTTTTCTTGATTCTATGATGCACATTTTTTTTTTTTCAGATTTTAACATTTCTGAAACTGAGATATACTTTCCAAATCAATGGTGTTTTACCATTGCTTTCAGCCAGTTGACCTGGTTGTCATTGCCTTAACCAATTTATTTCAGTTTTATTTTTCTTTTTACAAATGCCTAAAAGTGATATATTATAAAAATCTATGTCTGAATAAGTCTAAAAGAGCTCTTTCAATAAAAAGAAGATAAAAATTCTAAGTAATAAGAAACCGTGTCATAGTTTAATTGGCAGCATTTTTCTTTCTTAGTGCTTGATAAAATAATGGTGCATCTTAGAGCTGATAGATTTCAGGTTTCAAGGAAGCAGTATATATTTCAATTTGGTTTGGTTTCTAAGTTTGAGGGCCTTGGTGGTGTCTAGCATATATATGGCAGCTTCTTTGCAGTGATTTGATCAGAACAAGGCATAATGAGAAGATTGTGTGGGGCCCTGCATGCTCGGCTGCTACTTATGCCTTCTGGCTACCCATTAAGAAAATAGCGAAACATCATTTGATTCATTTAGCTGGTAGTCTACTGTGACCTCCTGATGACTTTTTTCTTTACTTTTAGCCCATCCCTGTTTTCCAGCTTCTGTCTGATGTACTTAAAACCTGCTTATGAGCTTTGTAACTTCCTTCTTCCTTTCTAGAGTTTCTTCTATGATGTGCTCCTCTCCTAGATGTCTTCCATTAAGAAAGTGAGCCTGTCTTTTCTGATGGGCAGGAATTGCAGGCAGCTTCTCTGTTTTTTTCCTGTAGTTATGCAGGCAAATGAAGTGGAGGGACTACAATTCTGAATTTGAGATCTTATCTATATAAAATAGTGAAGTGGAAATCTTAGGAAGAACAGACATTTCTGGAGTTGTATGGCAAACCACGAGCCCCAAGTATGGATTCAAACTGGTTAAATAAAAAACCAATTGAAATTAATTTGTATTATTTTGGAGAAAAAATAAAAATTATCTCCAGTTGTCACTACCTACTGAGGAGGCACAGTGCTACTTCCTGTCTGGAGGACTAATGGGTAGGCCCTCTAAGTTCACGTTGCAGGGAGAGAGTGATGTGTACACACATGATCAGGTAGGAGCATTATAGGAGCTGTTACGAAGGTAGGTCTGGAAAGCTGTGGACCCCGGGGAAGGGAGTGACCAACTCTGGGAAAAGTGGGAGAATCTCACAGAAGGAGTAACCTTTGAACAGGGCTTTGGGGGAAGAGGAGGAGGTATTTTGAGGGAAGGAGGAGGGAGTTCAGCTTGGGGAAGGGGAAGGCTAGGTCAGTGTACTCAATGCTAAGTATACTTGGCTCTAGTATCCTCGTGGGATTGATTCTAGAAACCACCCTCATACTAAAATCTACAGATCCTCAAGTCCTTTGCACATCCTTCTGTATACTTTAAATCATCTCTGGATTTCCTATAATACCTAATGCAATGTAAATGCTGTGGAAATAGTTGTTACACTGTATTTTAAAATGTGTGTTACTTTTTCTTGTATTGTTATTTTTATTTTTTTTTCTGAATATTTTTGATCTTTGGTTGGTCAGATGCACAGATGTGGAACCCATGGATAGGCAGGGCTGACTGTCCTTAGATGTGCCCAAGTACAGGGAGCCTGGACCATGGAGAAATGGTAGGAAATGAGGGTAAAGGGTAGTTTGGGATGAAATCCTATAGGGCTTTATACTGTGGTTATTTCTTATTTGTTTGGCTTTGCAAATAATTTATGCTCTTTAAAATCAGACAGTATCCTCTACTTGAAACAAAAAAAGTCTAGAACGCCTGTGCTTTAGGAGGCATGTGCAATGAGGAGGCAGGCTGATTGGCTACAGGTTTGGGACTCAGCAAGAGTCAGGCTTGGGTCATGGGCATGTACTGGAAACTTGAGTGTCCATGCTCCTTCAGTCACTAGAAGATTGAAAGGGTGGAAACTCGATTCTGGGAGTTTCTGCAAGTTTTCACCAATGAGGTTTTTGAGATCAGTCAAAGGGACTGTGGGGCTGGCAACATAAGATACAGAACACGTCTCAGATGTTCGATCCGATGTCCCAGGAGTTCTAACATCACATTCAGGGCAGAGAGTGGGCAGAATGTTTTTAATCCTGAGCTCTAGCTTCAAGTTTCCTGGTGTTTGGCAGGCCAAACAGTGGAGAAAGCCAGGCAGCTGATGGCTTACAAAAAATTGCTGTTGTGGGAGCTGGGTGCTGTTCCCCAAGCAGAGCCCCCTGGGTGAGACCTCTGCATTTTCATTGGCAGCACAAGGCAGCTGTGATGGACAGGGAGTGGAGCTCAGGCAGCATACGCTGGATTAAGCTGAATGCATTTGTATTATAGTACGTACAGTCTTCACGGTGTACCGCACTAAGGCAGTCTGCGCTTGTTTAATAAATGCGGGTTCCTGAAAAATGTGAGCCATCAGAAGAGTCCATTGTCTTGGCTTTTGAGTGCAGAATTGCTGGATGCACAGGATGGAGGACTTATTTTTTCTCTCTACTTTTTCAAAAGAGTATAAGTTGCTTTGAAATGTGCCTTAAGTGTGAATTTGGATGTATCAGCCTTTGGAGTTTGCTATAACTCTAATCTTTCTTCATTTTATTTCCGTGGTTTATGTTTTGGCCTACTTCAGTAAATCATTTTAATGCCAAGTAATATAGGTAACCTCTGTTTTATTGGAAAAAAATATTCATGGCAGATTTTCCAATATGTGCCAAAATATTGCTGTCATGATATTTTATGTGTCTATTCCAAAATAAACAATTAAAGAGCAATTTCAGTGGCAAATGTTAACAATAAAAATTGGATTAGCAATACACTAGTTTGACAATTATATTGTTTTAACAGTTCTCAAGGATAGCAGTTGAAGCAAGCTTCAGTAAATCTTTCAAGTCAACTGTATTTTTAGAAAAGAGTCTCTTTATGGACCCTTGAGGCCTAAAGTATTTAATCACTGAGACACCAATGTCATATAGACAGACAGTCACATTACATTTAAGGAATGTTTTCAATCCTATGCATCCATCAGGCTTATAAAATTTGCTCCACTCTACTTGTAACTCAACAAATATGTATTGGTTCTTAGAGTACGTTAAAAAGAGAAGTTCCTTATTTTAAGAATCTACATGCTTATGTTAAATATACCATGAACAAAATTTTGCTATGCACATGGGTGAAAATTTCTATAATAAAATATAAAATAAGATTTAAAAAATGTATATATTGGCTGGGCAAAGTGTAATTCCAGCACTTTGGGAGGCTGAGGCAGGTGGGTCACTTGAGGTCAAGAGTTCAAGACCAGTCTGGCCGACAGGCAAAACCCCATCTCTACAAAAAATAAAAAGAAATTAGCCAGGCGTGGTGGTGTGTGCCTGTAATCCCAACTACTGGGGAGGCTGAGGCAGACAATTGCTTGAACCCAGGGGGCAGAGGTTGCAGTGAGCTGAGATCACGCCACTGCATTCCAGCCTGGGTGACAGAGCAAGACTCTGTTTCCAAAAAAAAAAAAATAAAATTATTTGAATTGTATTGTCTTTACTTTTTTTTTTTTCTTTTTGAGATGAGGTCTCACTCTGTCACCCAGGCTGGAATGCAGTGGCACGATGATAGCTTATTGCAGCCTCAAACTCCTGGGCTCAAGTGATCCTCCTGCCTCAGCTTCCCAAGTAGCTGTGTCTGCAGGGGTGTGCCACTGTGCCTGGCTAATTTTTTCGTAGTGTTTGTAGTGATGGGGTCTTGCTATGTTCACCAGGCTGGTCTAAAATTCCTGACCTCAAGCTGACTTCCCACCTTGGCCTTCCAAAGTGTTGGGATTACAGATGTAAGCCACTGCACCTGGACAGAGAACAAGATATGATTAAAATTTCAAAATGCTTGACTTAGGAAGATACTTTTAAATTTATACAGTTAACACCTGTTGAATGCAGGCGATAAATCTACATCTATACCCATTCAGGGCTTTTACCGATTGAAGAATGGAGCCATATAACAATTTTTTGTTGTATACAAAGATGACTTTATACGCTGCTAACATATACCACCATTAAAGTACATGTGAGGTGTTTCTTTTGGGAATGAAAATGGATTTGTATAAATCCCTTCTTGGTGGCTTCTGTCATAAATACATGTTTGCAAAATAACTTTCTTGGGCTCGGGTACAATCTATTGATACTGGATTGAATGAAGTGAAGTTGCTCATGTGACAACTGAACAATAACTTTATTCTGATCAGCTCCACGTTACCTGAATAAATGGGCTGAACTAAGTATAATAAACATATTAGTAAATGTGGGTTAAATAAAGCATAACTAATTTCTGCATAATCAGCCAAATAAAGAGAAATTTTATTGAGTTAAAAACCATATATTGTACCCAATGAAAAAAAAAGCTAAAATAGAGCTTAGTATATCTGTGGCCAGGTACAGGTTACATATTAAGAATGTGTTACATGTAACTTCTCCCAAGCCAGTAGCATCTTGAGTTTTATCATCATTCTTGTTACTAGTTCTGCTCTATGTTCTGCTCACTTTGAGGAAATAGTACATACACATTCTTCCTTCTCTCTAAAGGACAGTCTAGTTAAAAAACACAGGAGAGAAGTAGCTAAGTGATAAGATGTTGAACAGTGTACTTCCCAAGATTAGAAGCTTTTATAGTTTTTGTTTTTACTTCTAATTGATTCAGGAACTGGAAAATGAAATAGTAGGAAGGGCCAGTGTTCTTCAGTGTGATGAATTCACAAAAGGCAGTGGATGTGGCTCCCCTGAATTCTGGCCATGGCAAGTGATACCACTGAACTTCTTCCCTAACTCTGGATAACCTAACTGTCAGTTACATTGGCCAACTTTGGTTTCAGGCTTGTGTTGAAAAATAAAAGGCTTACTGTGATCAGGCATTGCTCCATCACACTACTCCCAAAACATTTGTATTTGGAGTTCTTTGATAGATGGAACAAAGTAAAATGACTGATTGTAAATGCAAAGAATTACTGGAAAAGCCTACTGTGAAATCAGTGATTACTCATTCTCAATATGAAACCAATGAATGTTACTTTTTCTCGAAATTACTCAGTAACACAGGACCCTATAAAGTTTATTCATGAACAGAAACAACTGAGATTACCCACTTTTTGAGAAAGTAGAAATGTCAGCAAAGAGTTACTAGTTTTGATTAAATAAAGCAGCAAACATTTATTAGCATTTGCTTTTGATGCTCTTTGCATTTGTTTTTTTGGATGAGCAAGAAAAAGAAGAATTTATGTGCTTACCCAGAGCTGCAAAGGATTTTCAGACTGAGCCAGGAAATCTGATGTACTAAATCAGTTTACAGATTTATGGGAAAAATAGAGCTTGTAAAATAGTTCTACCGGGTGAAATTGCATTTTGGATTTATTAGAGATACCAAATTGGAAAAAAGACTGATACAAAGTCAATAGGGGCAAGTTATTACATAGAAATTTTAGGTTTATCTTTGTTTTGTAGCAAAAACAATACACACTTGTAAAGGGTTTAAACAACACAGAAATGTCTAACATAGCATGTGGTGGTCTCTCATAATTTCATGACTTATAGCTAGCGGATGTTCTCCTCATTATTTTTCATGCATGTGTTGTATGTCTTTTGTCAAAAATGGGACCGTATTGAATATTAGTTTGTATCTGTCTTTATAATGTCCATAGCAGCAGTGGTAGAGTGTGCATGTTCCTAAGTGTGCATGCAGGCATGCCTATGCCCATGTGTATGCCCATGGGTATTTTTTATTCTATTTAATGACCATGTAATATTTATTGTATTTAGTAGAATTTGTTTAGCCAGTCTCCACTGATGGATGCTCAAATTTCTCCCCAACTTTATAATATGTGGAAAAAATGAACAGGATATCTTTGTCATACCTTTGTCTACCTATGTGAGTTTCTATAGGATAAATTCTTGCAAGTTGAATTGTTACACTGAAGTATATATGTCCTTTATATTTTAATGTTACACTTCAAAGGGTGATACCTTTATAGCAGTGGTATACAGTAACACCTGCTTTGCCACACCCTTAGCACAATTGAATATTGTCAGTCCTTTAAATTGTCAATTGTTTGTATTTTGACTTGTTTACTTTTCATTATGAGAGTCAAATTTATCATTGTTTTTGCTCAAAGCTTATGTGTTTCCTAGCATGCTTAGGAAGGACTTCTCCTTCAAAAGGTTATAAAATATTCTTTTATACATTTGTGGCTTCATAATTAAGTTGCAAATCTTTGCTCCAAAATAATTTTGTTGTAAGGAATGAATACAAATACACCTTATCCCTTCCCCTACATCTCCTTTTCACTATCATCAAGCTAATGTTGCAACAGTGTTTATTGATTTAATCCATCACTATGGTGGCTTGAGACCCCTCTCTCTCACCATATCCAAAAATTAACTCAAAATGGATTAAAGACTTAAATGTAAGACCTCAAAATGTAAAACTACCAGAAGAAAACCTAAGAGAAATGCTTCAGGACATTGATCTAGGCAAAGATTTTATGAGTACAACTACAAAAGCAAAAGTAGACAAATGGGACTATATGTATCAAATTAAAAAAGCTTCTGCACAGCAAAAGAAACAATAAACAGGACGAAGAGACAACCTGTAAAATGGGAGAAAATATTTGCAAACTATTCATCCAACAAGGGACTAATGTCCAGAATGTACGAGGAACTCAATTTAACAGCAAGAAAACAAATAATCCAGTTAAAAAATGGGCAAAGGCTCTGAATAGACATTTCTCAAAAGAAGATATACAGATGGCCAAGTTTATGAAAAGTGCTCCACATCACTAATCACTGGGGAAATGCAAATCAAAATCGTGATGAGAATCTTACTTCTATTAGAATGGCTATTATCAAAATGACAAAAAATAACAAGTGCTGACAAGGATACAGAGAAAAGGGAATTCTTATACACTGTTAATGGGGGTACAAATTAGTACAGCCATTATAGAAAATGGTATGAAGATTTCTTTAAGAACTAAAAATAGAACTACTATATGATCCAGGAATCCCACTTCTGGGATTTATCCAAAGGAAAAGAAATCAGTATATTGAAGGGATACCTGCATTCCTTTGTTTATTGCAACCCCGTTCACAATAACCAAGATATGCAGTCAACCTAAATAGATAAATGGATAAAGCAAATGTGGCATGTATATGCAGTGGATTACTATTCAGCTATAAAAAGAATGAAATCTTGTCATTTGCCTTTGGTTTTATTGCTTTCTTTTTTTTAATTTTCGATTTCATTAATTTTAACTCTTCGTTTTGTCCTTTTGTTTCCTTTGGGTTTCATTTTTTGCTCTTATTCTGACTTTTCCTTTTAATGTAGAAGCTTAGTTGATTGGCTTGAGACTTCTCTGTTTTTTCAAATATAAACATTTAGTGCTAAAATGTCCCCCTAAGCACTGCCTTAGTTTCGTCTCACAAATTTTGATGTGTTGTCTCTTCAGTTTCACTTAGTTCAACATAATTTCAAATTTTCCTTGTGATTTTATCTTTGGTTCATGGATTATTTAGAAGTGTTACTTAGTTTCCCAGTATTTGGGGGACTGTCAGATATATTTTTTATTGATTTTAATTACACTGTAGTTAGAGAACATAGTTTGCATTATTTGCATCTTATACAATTTCTTCAGACTTGTTTTATGGTTGAGTATATGGTCTATTTTCATAAATATTCCTTTTATATATGTAAAGAATGTGTATTTTGCTGCCGTTGGAATGTTCTATGAATGTCAATTAGATAAATAGGTTGTCATTGTTGTTCAAGTCATCTTTATCTTTACCTGGTTTTCTGTCTACTTTTCTGTCACTCATTGAGAGAGGGGTGACAGGGTCTACAGACTCTCGTATTGTAAGTGTGGTTTTGACTATTTCCCCTTTTGGATCAGTTTTGTTTTCTGTTTTGAAGCTCTGTTATTCCATGTAAAAATTAAATTTAGGATTTTATGTCATCTTGATGAATCGACCTCTTTATCATTATGAGATGACCCTTTTTATCCCTGGGTAGTACTCCTTGTCCTGAAATTTATTTTATGTGATATTAATATCACCACTGCAGCTTTTTTTGGTTAGTGTGAGACATATTCTTTTCCATTCCTTAACTCTTAACCTATTTATGCCTTTATATTCAAAATTGTTTTCTTGAAGATAGATGTAGTTGGGCCTTGCCTTTTTTTCAATCTAATAATATTAGTCTTTTAAAGGGGTTTAGAACATTATTATTTAATACAATTTTTGATATTATTATATTTAAATCTTACTACTAGTTTTCTATTGTACCTTCTGTTGTTTTTCTTTATGTCTTTTTCTGCTTTCTTTTGGCTCAGTTAAGTATTTTTTTTAATGGTTGGTATAGTTTATGATATATGTGCACCTTTAATGTATCAAGTCTACTTAGTGTCATATAAGTAATTATGTTGATGTAATAGTCACCTCCAAATAGACTACTGGACAAAGTAGCTGAGAGATCATTGAACATAAAGGATCACAGATCAAATTTTAACAGCTCACATCACATGATTTATTAAATCAATTAAGTATGCACAGTGAGAAGCAAGTGAGCACATTTTATGTATGGTGCAAACAGGGTGAAGTACATGTTGGATACATCCTGGGGAATAATGTGTTTATATTTATCCCCTCTCTGCTGCATCAGCCTTCTTCAGAGCTGAAATTTGAGAAAGAAAGTCCACGGGTAGAAGGTATCCTGGGTCCAAAACACATATTTACTGTATAAGACAGGCACAGAAACATGTAGAGTTGGCCCTGGCTGTAGCTTGACAGTGAACTTGCTGAACATCCATGAATTTTATTGGTGTTTCTTAGGCAAAGAACACACAGGGCCTGAATAGATGTCATCAATAAGCATCTTCATTAAAACTTCATATATGCTGCCTGTTAGGTGCTTCCTGTATGTTTGGTGTATTATGAATATGTAGGGCCCAGATATTTCATGTATGTTTAATGACTCATGAATGTTATGTATCTTTTGGTCCTTTCATTCATTTCTAATTCTGTTTAACACACATGTGCTCTATATGTGTCACATAAGCTTCCTACATTCTGTTTTTTCATCTATATCAGAACTACATATTCTCAAATAATACAGGAATGTACTTTATACCACTTCATGTCTTACATAAGAAACTCACATCAGTATACTTTTATTTTTAGTGACTTCCAATTACATGTATCATAAAGTCCCACTCTTGCAACACCCTCCATGATCTGGCCATGGTTGCCTCTCTCGCCTCGTGTCATCTCTCTCTTTCCCTTCCTGATTATGCTTTTACCACATTGACCTCTTAGTTTACTAAATAGGCTATGCAGAGGCCTACTTTTTTCCTACCTGAGGACCTTTGCTTTTACTATTACCTCTCCTCAGCATGTTTTTCTCCTGTCTCTTTACATAGCTGTTTCTGAACCTTCCATTTTCATAGAGGCCTTTCTTCTCTATTTCATCTAAAGTAGTCCCATGGGAATAAATGGCTGTTGCTGTCTCTTTAGCCTCATCTATCATCTGGCACACAGTAGTCTTAGGTGGCCACTCAATATGCATCTATTGAATAGTTATGGTATAGGGAAGTATTATTTTTAATGTAGTGCTGGATTTAACAGGCACATATTAAAGGATTTTAAAAATATATTTGTAAATGAAATTGGTCTGTAGTTGTATTATCTGTTAACGCTTTCTTAAATTTTTTATTTTGAAATACTTATACTTTCACAAGAAGTTGCAGAGATAGGACAGAGAAGTCCCCTGTACTTCACCCAGCCTCTTCCAGTGGTTATATTTTATAAACTATAGTACAATATCTATACCAGAAAATCTGCACTGGTACAATGTGTATGCATATCTCAATTTGTATGATTTGTTTTATCTTTATGTTCTATGGATGCCTGAAAAAAAAAGTGTATTCTATTTCAGGCATCTATGTTTATGGATGCCTGAAAAAAAATGTGTATTCTATTATTCATTGGGGTATAGTATAAAAGTTGGTTAGATCCTGTTGCTTGATGATGCTGTTGAGTTCTTCTGTATCTTTGCCGATTTTCTTTCAGGTTATCCTGTCAACTGAGGAGAGAGGAGTGTTGGAGTCTTCAACTATAATTGTGGAGTTATTTGTTTCTCCTGTCTTGTCTCTCTCCCAGTTTGTACTTCAGTGTTTTACACCTTTGTTGCTTGTTTCATACATATTTAGAATTGTTATGTCTTCTTGGTGAATGGAATCAAAATGATAATTTTATTATTTTATCATTATGTAGTGTTTCTTTATGTTCCTGTTAATTTCCTCCCTCTGAAGTTTATTTTTTCTGATATCAGTATAGCCAGACCTGCTTTCTTTTAATTAATGTTTGCATGGTATCTCCTGTTGCATGTTCACTCTACCTTTATTATATTTTAAGTGAGTTTCTTGTATACAACATGTAGTTGGGTCATTTATTTTCTTAATCTATTCCACAAACCTGTCTTTTCAGTGTATATTTAGACCTTTTATATTTAATCTGATTTTTAATGTTTTACATATTAAGCCTGCCATTTTATTTTATTTTGTTTTTCTCTTTTGCATTTTGTTTCCTGTTTTCCTTTAGATTACATGAACGTTTTTTAGAATTTCATTTTTATTTGTCTGTAGCGTTTTTGAGGATTTCTCTTTGTTTAGATTTGTTAGTGGTTACTGTCCTCTCTGTATCATATTAGAAATATGTAAGTTACAGTCTACTAGTTTCATCATTTTACCAGTTTAAATAAAGTATAGAAATCTTACCTGCCTTCACAGAAATTTCTTTTAAAAATTCAGCTCTGAAACTATATGATTATGGCTCATTTTTAGGAGATTATAGTCCTTGGACTGCTATTAAAAATTTTTATATAACTTTATTTTAGTATAGTTCTAGATTTACAGAAAGGTTGCAGAGGTAGTACAGTGAGTTCCTGTGTGCTCTTACCTAGTTTCTCCATTGTTAAGTTCTTACATAGCTGTGGTATATTTGCCATGAATAAGGATTCAATACTTTATTCAGTTTTCTCTAGTTTTCTGTCTTTCTTCCTCTTTCTCTTTTCTCTTTTTTCTTTCTCCTTCCTTTCCCCTTCCCTTCCCCCTTCCAATTCTCCTTCCCTTCCTTTTTCCCTTCCTCCTTTCCTTTCCTTTCCCTTCCTCCTTTCCTTTCCCTTCCTCCTTTCCTTTCCTTTCCTTTCCTTTCCTTTCCTTTCCTTTCCTTTCCTTTCCTTTCCTTTCCTTTCCTTTTTCTCTTCCTTCCCTTTCCTTTCCTTTCTTCTCTTCCTTCCCTTCCCTTTCTTTCTTACAGACAGAGTCTTGCTCTGTTATCCAGGCTTTAGGTGCAGCATGATCATAACTCACTGTAATCCCAAATTCCTGAGCTCAAGTGATCCTATTACCTCAGCCTCTTTAGTGGCTGGGATTATAGGCACACACCACCATGCCTGGCTAATTTTATTTTACTTTTTGTAGAGACAGGGTCTCACTATGTTGCCCAGCCTGGTATTGAACTCCTGGCCTCAAGAGATCCTCCTGCCTTGGCCTCCCAAAGTGCTAGGATTGTAGATATAAGCCACCATGTCCAGCCCAGATTTCACTAATTTTCTATAGTATTTTGTTTTGTATTCCAAGACCCATCCAGAACACCACATTATACTTAGTCATCATATTGCCTTAATCTCTTCTGATATGTGGTAGTTCCTCAGACTTTCCTTCTTTTGGATGACCTTAGTGGGTTTGAGTTGCACTGGTGTTATGAAGAATGTCTCTTAATTCAAGTGTGTTCTTTTTTATTATTTTTTTGTCATGATAAGATAAGCATTATGGGTTTGGGGGAGGAAAACCACAGAGACGAGGTATCATTCTTACCACATCATATCAAGGATATATACAGTTAGCATGGCCTGTCATTGTTAACCTTGATTCTGTGGCTGAGGTTTTTCAGATTTCTCTACTGTAAAATTAGTCCCCTGTTTCCCTCTCACCCTCCAACCCACAATTTTTCTACTTTACTCTTTGAAAGCAAGTTTCTAAGTACTTCTGACACTCAAAGAATAGGAAATGAAGCTCTATCTCCTTGGGGGCAAAGTACCTACATAAATTATTTCGAATTTTTCCATAAAGGAGATGTGTCTTCCCTCTCCCATTTATTCTCTGACAGTTTTTAAAATTTCTTCCCTATTGTCGTGTCTTAAAGTGATTTTTCTTATTTTGGAAATTTGTGTTTTTTTCTAGAATACTATCACTTTGTTATGTATTAGAGTAGGATTATATAAAAATATTTTTAATGTCGTTATTTACCCTGTCTTCTTCCTAATTTGATAATTTGTGACTTCACCCACTTTGTTTATGTTAAGATAGCTTGGTGTTTTATTTAACTTAATGGATTTTTTCTCCTAAAGAACTAGCTCTTGAATATTTATCAGTTCTACTGATTTTACTCTATTATATTGTTTTATAAAACATCTTATTCGTTTTTTAAATAAGGGTCTTGTTCTTTTCCTGATCTCTTGATTCAAGTGCTTATCCCTTTATCAATTTTTCTTGTGTAAAATAGGCATCTGTTTTTGTCTTCTCAACTAGAGCTACCTCTGTTTCCTTGGGAGTGTGCTAGGGAGAGAAGCAAGTGGGAAGTGTTAATGGAAGTTTTCTGTGTGACTTGTGGCAATCATTGCTAAATTCAGTCAGCTGGTTCATTGCCAGTTCTGGGGTTAGAGAAAAGAATGAGCACAGGACTTGGCTTTGGTGAGCTCACGGTTTACTGTGGAGGCAGATGTAAATCCACAGTTATAATCCAGTATAGTGTAAGTTATTGGAGAGACACGGTGGTGCCACCTCTCTGATGTGGAGTGATTAGAACCCCCATTCAGGAGAGAGGGGACACTCTGTTGAGCATGAAGTGTTGCAATTTGCAGAATGGACAGTGTTGTTCACAAGCTGCAGTGCATACTTGCCATGTTGCTTTCCCCCAAGTATGTATGCATCTGTCCTTTCTTTGCTTGGAAAACTCTTTTTCTGCCCTCCTGTCAGAGTGAACTCCCATTGGTTCCTCTTCTCCAAGACTCTCCTGACCTGGTCAGATTTCTTTGCCACAGGTGCAACCCATACTTCTTTAGAGCAGTTGTCACAGTTTGCAGTTGTACATTTGTTTTGTGTCATTAGTTGATTAAAGCCCACCAGTAGATTACTGACTTCATACAGCAGGAACTATGTCATGTTTAGTCACCACCTGCGCACAGATCACTGACTGTCAATATTAGACACTCAGTAAGTACCTGCATGAGGGAGTGAGTAGGTAAGGAGGAGTGGTGGTGGATAGGTGGATGGAATGTAGACTGGGTCCAGACTGTGACAAGCTTTTAGTCTGTGCTAAGGAGTTAGGACTTTATCTCATGTCCTCTGATGAGCCTTGGAAAGCTATTAAAGAAGGATTTGGTCATTAGATTTGCATTTAGAAAGATCCACCTAAGAGTCATATGTGTGAGGTACACATTTTGGAACATAAAAGTAAAGCAATGTTAGTGGATAATGCTTGTTTTTGTAGATATTAAGCAATATTCAGTAACTAATATTTTTTAGTTTTGTAGATATTAAGCTATTATTCAGTAACTTTCTCATTTTGAAAATGCCTTTTCTGCCAGGCACGGTGGCTCACGCCTGTAATCCCAGCACTTTGGGAGGCCAAGGCAGGCAGATAACTTGAGGCCGGGAGTTCGAGACCAGCCTGGCCAGCATGGTGAAACCCTGTCTCTACTAAAAATACAAAAATTAGCTGGGCATGGTGGTATGTGCCTGTAACCCCAGCTATTCAGGAGGCTGGGGTGGGAGAATTGTTTGAACCCAGGAGGTGAAGGTTGCAGTGAGCCGAGATCGCGCCACTGAACTCTAGCCTGGGTGACAGGGCAAGACTCCGTCTCAAAAAAAAAAAAAAAAAGAAAAAGAAAATGCCTTTTCTGAGCAGTTTTCTGTGTTTAAGTACATTCTCTCCTGTGATGTGATTTTCAAAGTTTGTACCTTTGGCAGGCAGAATACTGCTCCCACCTTCCAAGATGTCCATGCCCTAATCCCTGAAACCTGTGAGTATCTTAGGTTACATGGCAAGGGGGAATTAATGTTCCAGATAGAATTAAGGTTGATCAGGTTACCTAAACATTAGATTAGCCTCATCTTAATCAGCTGATGTAGATATAAGATTATCCTCATCCTAATCAGCTGACCTAAGCATTAATTATCCTCATCCTAATCAGCTGACCTAAACATTAGCTCATCCTCATCCTAAACAGCTGACCTAAATATTAATTATCCTCATCCTAATCAGCTGACCTAAACATTAGATTATCCTCATCCCACGGCCCAATGCAGTCACAAGGCTTCTTCAGATGTGGAAGAAGGAGGTAGAAAAAGGAAGTGTCAGAGTGACATGATGCACTGTGAGAAAGACTCAAGTGGCCATTGGCTAGCTTTGATGTTGGAAGGGTGCCACAGGCAAAGGAATGCAGGCTGCCTCTAGAAACTAGAAAAGGCAAGAAAACAGATTTTCCCCTGGAGCCTCCAGAAAGGAGTGCAGCCCAGTGGACACCTTGATTTCTGTTCCAGTGAACTGTCTCAGACCTCTGACGTCTAGAACTGTAAGATAGTCAATTTATGTTGTTTTAAGCCACAACGTCTGTGATAATTTGTTACAGCAATAATACACTTACATAATACCACTTACTATTCTTTTTATAGTAAGCCTACCATGTAAGTAATCATGAAAAACAATATACAGCAGTCTTTGTAGAAGCAGCGACTGAGATTAAATGTGAACTCGTGTGTGTGTGTGGGGGTGTATATGTAGGGGGTGGATGTGTATTCTCTGGGCCGTAAAAATAGCCACATATATTTGATGATGTTTCTTAGATTAGAATTTATGATATTTTTTTCTAATGCTGTTCCCACATGATTTACGTGTGAAGAATTCCTGCTGTGCCATATAACTGTGGCAATTTCTAGGTTTCGTTGTAAAAATGATTGATTTTGCTCTCCATGACAGCTCCCTTTGAAATATATTACTCGCATGCTCTGGAAGATTGCTTACATATGTTTCTCTATCTGTCTGGTCTCCTGAGATGCTCTGTATCTGTTGAAACACTGGATTTTTATTTTATTTCACCAAACAATGTTTGATAGCTTTTCTTATAGCTCCAGTTGAGCTACTTTTAGACATTATTTTAGAGGGTTTAGTTTGCAAGTAAGCAGTGCTGTAAAGGTGTTTTAGGTAGATGACTGGGCATGGCAGGCTGAAGCAAGGGTAGGTGTTTCCAACTCCGTCTGGTGGCTGATTGGGAGGGAGTGAGGAACTGGTCATGTGGGACCAGGACATCTCTGCTTTGATCAGTTTTGCATGTTGGGGATTCTTTTAATGTTCACTAGGTCCACTCACCCCCAAGGGGCCTTAGAACTCTTGAGGCTTATTAGCTTGAGCCCTTTGGGAACGCAGGATCTGCCAGTACTGAAAGATGTGCTTAGAAATGAGTTTTTTCAGAAAGTTATTTTTGGTTTTACTTTAGGGAAATGCGTGTTAAGAGGATTCAGTGCACCTGCTATGCTTAGGAGTTTGGTTTCGTTTTTTTGCTTTTCTCCACGTGTTGCATTGCAAATTGCAAATTGAAGTAGACTTCGCCTCCACTATGAAGGGCTGCTCCCCTCCCAAAAAATCTCTAAGTTTGTGTTTTGAGAAGCATATCTCTTTTTTGTCTTCCTTAAGAATTATCCAGTGGTAAATCAGCATTCTTGGGGCAGTAATCAAAGAGAAGCGATTACCTGTGGGCAGTGCTGTCTCATTGTGCCCAGAAACCCCTTCTTCCCTGATGGGTTTTCTTATGTGGCCAGTCAGTACTCACACTCACTCTCTGTGGCCTACGCAGTGAATCCAGAGGACAGCACAAGGTGGTCCTCTGTGGAACTCACTGTTTGTTTCACCAGGGACTTGATTCTATAGGTGCCTGGACTATCTGCCTAAAAGACCCAACCTGGGATGGGCTATGCGGAGGTGGAGAGAGAGGAATTATGTTACAGAGCAAACTTTCACTTAAGAGATAAAAGATAGCTGTAAAATTTGCCGTGTCTTGATCTGTGCAAGGCCCTGCAGGTTTTGAGCCTAAAGGGAAAAAAGCCACCAATGTATCTCCCTTGGTCCACACAGAGAAAGGAAGCTCCCTGAGCCATGTTGTTTCCTGGAGAATCCTTTGGTAGGGTCCAGCTTCGAGAGAGCAAGTAAGAGTTAGCTTTGGATGGTCTATGGTTGACACACAAGGACTTACTTTGAGATTTTTCCATTATGCTCCACCACAGAGTGGGGAGACTACCCCTCCCAGTCACCTCCGTGCTGTGTGAAAACAGGGGTCCTCACAGGACTTTACTTATGACTCCTGAGAGGGGAGCGTGCAGGAGGGGTGGCCTGTTCTCTGTCCTGACCACCAACCCCAACCCAAGGGAGCTGCAACAGAGAGACTGGGGTGGGATGGCACCTATATCTAGAGCGTAGAAGTCAGGGATGCTACTAAATAGTGTACGGTGCACAGAGCAACCCCCAAAACAGTTATCTGGCCCATGATGTCAATAGTGCTGACATTGAGAAACCTTACACTAGAATCAGGCCCAATTTCTTCCCTTCTGTAATGATGTCTGCCATCTTTCTTGGTGACTTTCATTTTCATATGAATGGTCCATCCTGCACTTTGGCCACTCAGTACCTCAGCTGTCTTCTAATGTTCTATTCCATCCCCCTACGCACACCTCATGCACACATTCCATGGACCACATCTCTGACCTTGTGATCTATCATAATTGAACTACCTTTATGACCTTGATTTCACATATCTCACTCCGAATGCCACCTTCTGTCCTTCCAGCTCACCCATGACAGTTCTCTCAGGAATTCTTTACCCTCACAGAAATGTCCAGACCATTGACCCAGCCATTATCATTATCTTCCCAGCTCTTTATGTCTTCTCTTCCCTTTCTTAGCTTGGATTCCATGATTTTGCCCATCTCAAGCCCTTGAAAACACCCGAATTCCCTTGACCCCTTCCCTGTATCTTACTCATCTGCCAGAGCAACAGCTTTTATTAAGTCCAACTCCTAACTCTCCTATTCTTCACCAGCACCTGAAAAATTAAAATCTCCTGGAGAAAAATACACAATTATACCAACTGGTTTCTCTTTAAATGACCTGACTATATCTCAGCTGGAAATTCATGCTGCTTTATGTGTATGATTCCTGCCCTCTAAAACAAATGCCCCCAATGTGCAGCTGCCTTAAGCTTTATTGAGACATGAAGTGTTCCATTCCAACACCAAACCTGTCAACATGCAGGCAAGTATACTCATACTCCCGTCTTTCTTTCTTGTCATCCCCCCGATGTAATGACTAGAGTATCCCTGCTTCTATCAAAGCCAAACCAAGTCATCTACTTGTTCCTGGGCCCATTTGTTCTTGCCTTTGTAAGGTCTTCTGCTGTTGTTAATTTCTCTGACTCTCTTTTTAGATCTCGTTAGGAAATACTAGGGATACTCTTTACCCCACATCCCTCTGCAGCTATTCCTTCATTTCTCTGATCAGTGTCACAGCTACATTTCTTGAAAGAATTGTCTTTGGCACTGTCTTTTCTTTGTCTTGTTATTCCCTCAGCTACTTAGTAGGTTTTTTGGTTTCTCTTCTTTACTGAGATTGCACTTTTTAATGTCACCAATGACTATCACATTGGCAAATCCCTTAATCACTCTCTGTTATTACTTCCTTGGCCTGAAAACAGTTCTTAATAAAATGACCACCCTCACTTGTTGAGACATTCTTCTGTGTTGGCTTCTGTGGCACTACACCCTCCAGTTTCCCTCCCACCTCCCTAGTACAACTTCTTGGTCTCCTTTGCTGACTCCTCAAGCTGCATCTGACCACGAAGGTTCAGAGGACCCCAAAGCTCTGTCTTGGAACACCTTTTCTTTTTTAACTACACACTTTGCATAAGTAAATCCATCTATGCTGATAGCTTCAAATATTCTTTTATTAGTAATTCTTCATTAGCCTTCTTTTCTAGGATTACTAGGTGCCTTTTACCCTGCTCAGTGCCCCGAGAGGCTGGCCAGCCAGCTATCTTACCTGGTCTCTGTAGCTTACTGGCTTCTAGTTGGGTTCTGCCAGAAGTTGACCGCGGCAGGATCAGTGGGCAGGAAGAGGAAGAGGTCAAGTCACTTCAGGCCCAAGGGGGTTACTGCCTGGTCTCTGGGTGCTTTACCACGCCTTGCAGGTCCTCTGAAGCTGGCCTGCACATCTGTAGAGCCCCTTGTTTAAATTATTTTCAGTTAAACCCTTTTGAGTGTGTCATCTGTTCTGATCAGTGTGCCATCTCTAATCTGAAAAAACTATCCTAAGTATTTTAAAAATATCTTAGACTTTATAGAGCCAAATCGATCTTTTGATCCTGCACTCATTGCCCTTCCTCTCACACACCAAAACTGCTTCTTCCACAGGTTTTTCCTGTCTCAGTGACATATATCTCTCCCTAGCCATATAATACAGTCTGGGATCGGCCTTTCTTCTCCTAAACATAGCTCGATTTGTCTCCTTTTCTCCATCTCCATTACTCTCACCGTAGTCCAAGCCACCATCCTGTTTCAGCTGCGCTGCTCTGGTGCCTGACTCATCTCCCTGCTTCTCCTTTCATCTCCCCTGCTGTTTGCGTTCCATTTAGCTAGATTTGCTAGATTTGATTTTCTTACAAATGGAAATTATATATTCCTCTTCAGCTTAAAACCTGCAGTGGCTTAACATCCAATTGAAAATCCAAATCTCTAACTGGGGCTATAAAGCACCACTTCTGTCCCTCGCATCTCTCTTCCACCCCATCTCATACCATTCACCCCTTCACCTGTATTCTTCAGCCACAGTGGCCTTCTTTTATTTTATTTTATTTTATTTTTAGAGATAGAGTCTCATTCTGTCATCCAGGCTGGACTTCAGTGGTGTGATCATAGCTCACTGCTGCCTTGAACTCCTGGGCTTGAGATCCTCCCACCTCAGCCTCCTAAGTAGCTGGAACTGTAGGCACGTGCCACCATGCCCAGCTAATTAAAAAAATGTTTTCATAGAGATGGAAGTCTCACTGTGTTGCTCAGGCTGGCCTCAAACTCCTGGCCTCAAGTAATCGTCCCATCTTGGCCTCCCAAAGTGCTGAGATTATAGACATGAGCTGCCGTGCCCAGCCCATAGTGCCCTTCCTGTTTCTTGTGTGTATAAGTAAGCAACTATGCATATTTTGATTTTCTGATGGTTTGCATGAATTTAAAATTATATGTTCTATGCCAGGAAATAACATCTAAGAAATAACTTATAAAATTTACTGCCTTTAAAAATAACTCTGCTTGCCCACCTGCCTTCCTTTCCCTTTCCCTCCCCTCTCTCTCTTTTCTCTCTTTCGACACAGTCTGGCTCTGTCACCCAGGCTGGAGTGCAGTGGTGCTCCCTCAGCTCACTGCAACCTCCGCCTCCCAGGCTCAATCCATCTTCCCACCTCAGCCCCCCTTCCCCCAACCCCGGTAGCTGGGACTACAGATACATGCCGTGATACCTGGCTAAGTTTTTTATATTTTTTGTAGAGACAGGGTTTCACCGTGTTGCCCAGGCTGGTCTGAGCTTCTGAGCTCAAGTGATCTGCCCACCTCAGCCCCCTCAAAGTTCTGGGATTACAGAAGTGAGCCACTGTGCCCAGCCAGGCTATTTTTCTTTTTACACGAGTGGTACATTTAGATCATCATTGTATAAAAACTAAAATATAAAGAAAAGCCTGAAGAAGAAAATGGAAATTAGCTATGACTCTGTGCCCAGAGATATGCATAGTTAGCATTTATTTTAATGTATATATTTCTGTGTATCTCTCTCTCTGTAGTTACTGATGTAAATATAACTATCAACTATAGACCGGTCATCTCTTTGTGTGGTTCCAGCATCCGTGAATTTCAGTTACCATGGTTTGGTTAAATAACTCCAGTTCCCCTGCAACATGGTTCAGATTTCAGTTACAGATTTCATTGTGTTTATATGTGTGTGTGTGTGTGCATGCATGTGTGTAGGGTATATGGTGAGTAACTGTACAATGTAGAAACTTGCCTGGTAGATCTTCAATCAACAAATCACTAAAGAGATGCGCATCATGATCAGTGACCTATCACATCACTTCTTTGAAAGTCTTTCAGTGATTTGTCACTTTGCATCAGCTCTTGTTTAGACAGCAAAGTGGGTAGTTGTGTTTTCTTGTCTCTCAGTGATAAACTCACATGACCTTTTACAAAAATGGATAGTTGAGAGACTGGCCAACAAAAATAAAAGTTCAGCAAAGAAACAAAATATGATAATACTGGAAATGAAATCTGAATTAAATATAAGGGGAGTTAGGGAAGAAATAGCTGATTGTGGTAATGGTGACCTGCTGCTTTCTAGAATTCCTAGCTATGCAGCCAGAGGAACTTGGTGAAGGTGAGCTTGTTGACATTAGTGAGGAAAGTGGTTGTGACAGAAAGCATGAGGATGTCCCAGAGGAAGTGACATCAGTTTAAAAAAAAATCGACATTAAGAGAACACACACAGATATTTCACAACATTGAAAGCACAAAGGATAAAATTTTAGGAGTATGGCAGTTCCCCAAGGCATAGATAAGATACTCACTTTGTATCATAAGTGATATGATAAAGAGAAGGTTAACACCATTTTAACTACTCTTCATAAGTGTTTTACAGATAAATAAAACACATTAATTCTCAATGTTTCTGTTTTAAATTACAGTGTACTAAAGTGTTAGGTTTGCTATTTTTTACTTCTCTATACATTTATAACTGATAAGAGTTTTTAATGTTTTGACAACAAATTTTATTTTTATTGTTATTTAAAAAAATTTTTTTATTTCCATAGGTTATTGAGGAACGGGTGGTGTTTGGTTACATGAGTAAGTTCTCAGGTGATCTGTGAGATTTTGGTGCACCCATCACCTGAGCAGTATACGCTGCACCCAATTTGTAGTCTTGTATCCCTCACCCCTTTCCCACCCTTTCTCCCTGTGGCCTTTTCCCAGTACCTTAGGCAGCCCGCCCGAGGACCCCTGTGAGGCAAGGCAGAAATGGTTTACCCAGGGGACCCAGAGAGCCCACAGGGCTTTTCCCGCTGCTTCCTCTACACCTGTATTTCACTCGGCTCTCTAAATTGACTCAGCTCTCTAAATTGACTCAGCTCCAGGTAAAAGTCAGAATCTTCTGTGATTTAGACCTTCAGGTTCCCCAGTGAGGGTGTGTGTTCAAGGGTGGATGATCCCCGTTTCCCACTTCTACAGTTTGGGCACTCATAGTATTTGGGGTGTCTCCCGGTTCCTGCAGGAGCAGTCCGCTTCCTTCAGTGGGTCTGTGGGTTCTCTCGGCTTTTCTGATATATTCCTGCAGTAGTTCTGGAACAAAAGTTCCGGATGCAAGACTCCACATGCTGTTCTGTCCATCCAACTGGGAGCTGCAGTCTATCCTGCCTGCCATCCGTCATGATCCTCCAGCATCCCTTGACAACAAATTTTAAAGATTATGGAGCAATTGTAATTTTTTATCTATTATTAGTGAGATGGCTTTGTACAGTTCAGCTGGTATGACCATTTTAATAGCTCACATGAACTGTGCAACGTGGGGGCTGCCTAAATAGAACAATTATCTTTATTCTTATGGCCAAATATTTACCACATAACACGTTTTACTTATACATATGTTGTGAATCTGATCATACGTTATTTTAACCTTATCCAGTTAAAGAAATTTAAATATAAAAATAAGTTAAAATATTTACTCATATTAACTGCCTTAGGAGACCTTCATTCCTTTGTCTAAATCCAGCTTGTCTAACCTGCGGCCCAGGACAGCTTTGAATGTGGCCCAACACAAATTCGTTAACTTTCTTAAAACATTATGAGATTTATGCATGGGCTTTTTTTTTTTTAAGCTCATCAGTTATCGGTAGTGTATTTTATTTGTGGCCCCAGACAATTCTTCTTCCAGTGTGGCCCAGGGAAGCCAAAAGATTGGACATCCCGTTTAGACTCTATTCAACTTTCATCTTTTAAAAAAAATTTGTCTGAAAAACTTTCCCTACCCTCCACTTCTTTTTTTTCCATGCAGAGATACTGGTAAAGAATTCTTTCCACTTTTGTTTGCTGAAAAAGTTTTTATTTCACCTTCATCTTTGAAAGATATATTCACTGATTACAATTTTTAGTTTGTTAATTTTTCTTTTAATACTTCAAAGTTGCTTTTCATTGTCTTCTGGCTTGCACAGTTACTAATAAGTCTGCTGTCATTTTTATACTTGTTCTTTTCTATGTAATATCTTTTTTTTCCCCTTTTAAGATTTTCCTCTCTTTTCTGATTGTCAGCAATCTGATTATGATTAGTCTTGGTGTGTGGAGGGTGTGTGTGTACATATGTGTGTTTGTGAATGTTTATCCATCTGTGGTTTATTAAGCTCTTGAATCTGTGGAATTATGATTTTCTTCAAATAAAAAATTCTTCAACCATCGTTTCTTCAAAAAGCTTTTTTTCCCCTTTCCTCTTAGCCTATTTTATCCTCAATTACATGTATGTTAGGCTGCTTGATATGATCCCATAAGACACTGAGCCTCTGTTTATTTCATTTTTCAGAGTTTTTTTTTTTTTCTTTCTGTACCTAGTTTTGGATATACTGTATTGCGAGGTCTTCAAGTTCACTGGCCTTTTTGTCTGTTGTGTCTAATTTGTTGGTAATCCAATCTAGTGAAATTGTTATTTAAGATGTATTTGTTTTTTTGTTTGTTTGTTTGTTTGAGACAGAGTCCCTCTCTGTTGCCCAGGCTGGAGTGCAGTGGCGTGATCTTGGCTCACTGCAGCCTCTGCCTCCCAGGTTCGAACAATTCTCCTGTCTCAGCCACCCAAGTTGCTGGAACTACAGGCGTACACCACCATGCCCGGCTAATTTTTTTTTTTTTTTTTTTTTTTTTGTATTTTTAGTAGAGACGGGGTTTTACCATATTGGTCAGGCTACTCTTGAACTCCTGGCCTCAGGTGATCCACCCGCCTCAGCCTCCCTAAGTGCTGGGATTACAGGTGTGAGCCACTGCACCAGGCCCTTCTTTTTTATTTTTAAAACTTGCATTTGGGGGCCGGGCGCGGTGGCTCATGCCTGTAATCCCAGCACTTTGGGAGGCCAAGGCAGGCGGATCATGAGGTCAGGAGAGCGAGACCATCCTGGCTAACAGGGTAAAACCCTGTCTCTACTAAAAATACAAAAAATTAGCTGGGCGTGGTGGCAGGCGCCTGTAGTCCCAGCTACTTGGGTGGCTGAGGCAGGAGAATGGCGTGAATCCGGGAGGCGGAGGTTACAGTGAGCCGAGATCGCGCCACTGTACTCCAGCCTGGGTGACAGAGAGAAACTCTGTCTTAAAAAAAAAACAAAAAAAACCTTGCATTTGGTTCTTTAAAACATCTCTTTATCTCATTCTATTCATTTTCCTCTGCACTCTTGAGCTTATTGTGTGTCTTTATAATAGAAATTTTAGCTTTTTTGTTTGAACTTGGACTATTTGTCATTTCTGGTCTTTATTTTTTTGACTGATTTTTCTTTTTATGAGTCCCATTCTTGCATTTCTTCTTTTGTGTAGCAATATTTCATTTCTGACATTGTATATTTTGCATTAAGTCTGTCATATCGATTTTTCTAAAGAGTGTTGGATTTTTTTCTGGTAGGCAATAAAGTTACTTTTAGATTATTTTAACTTTTTAGGGGTTTGCTTTAAAGCTTTTTTAAGGCATATTTAGAAGTGCCTTTATTTTAGGAGTAAGGCTGTTCTGTTTCTAAGGCATTGCCATTCTGAATTATTTTTACAAAAGGCACTATATATTCAACATGACCTCTGTGGTCTGGCTGGTGAGAACTCCAGTGATTCCCTGGCCTTCTGTGAGCTCTGGGAATTGTTTCTCTTACTCCTACCTAGTAACTCATTTCTTAGGATTTTTTTTTTTTTTTTTTTTTGGCCTGGCCTTTGTGGTGTTTTTTCCTGTGCATATGCAGATTGATTTCAAAAATCCACTGGAACCTTTGTACAGATTTCCCATGTTATTTTTCTCTGTGTAACTCTCTTCTCTCTGGAATTCTACCACCTCAAACTCTGTTTGCCTTCTCCTTAACTAATCTAGATTGCTGGACTCTGTATAGGTTCCCGCTCACTGTGTCTCTGTCTGAAAACTGCCTCATAGTAGAACACCTGGTCAGTGGTAGGTTCACCTCACTTATTTTTTTCTCTTTTAGAGATCATAGTCCTGTGCTAAGTTATTTTTTTTTTTAATATTTGTCTAATTTTCTAGTGTTTGACAGAGGTAGGGTAATTGCATATCCTCTTAATCCCTCATGGCTGGAAGGTGAAGTCCAAGAATATCCATTTTATGACATGTCTCATTCTCCTTCCAGAATGTTAATAACAAAAGGCAGGGACCATGTGGCTGAACATCAACAACACTAGCTGGCACTGGACACATACTGCTCAATGAGAACTTGCTAAATGGAAATAGCGATTGAGTCTTAGGACCATCTTAAAAAATATTGACCTCAGTACTTCATTGATTTTGTTTTCTTTATTACCATGGCTTAAAATATATGACTGTCATACCTAAATTTATTTAAATGACTGGATGCCCAATTTGTCAACTGTAACCTTAAGTTTTTGTGTTTTTAAAGTTCATATATCAACATAAATTATTATTATTTGTGTCTATTGGTATAAATCACATTATAAAATAAGCTTTATGCATTAGGGAATAAGGTCTTGTTATTAAAATGGGTCTGTGCACTTGTCCTGCTATTTGGTAGATGCAGAGGTTGTGTGATGTACAGCCAGGCTAGAATGGCTAGCAGACAGGAGACCTGGGCCTCTCTTGCCACTCTTTGGTTGCCTGTTCTTCTCAGATCCTCAGTTTGCCCATAGATAAAAGTTCAGAGTGGTAAACTCAGTCCCATAGTTTCTTTTAGCTTCAAACACCATGATTTTGTCATAATTTTTCTGTGAAAATTTGAAAATTCAAAGCATAATCGTTTTATCTTTGAATTGAATGTAATTTTGAAAAATCAAGTTATATAGGCAAGTTTGTATGCAAGTACATATTTTTAGGTTCCAAAAAGTATATATTAATTGCATTCTACAGAGGATCATGTATTAAATGAAATGTACTGTCAGTCAGATAATCTATGTATCTATGTTTCTCCTGCTTTTTGCTCCTTTCATTGTGGTGTTTTGTTTTGTTTTGTTTTCCCTCACCACCTGCTTCTTTTGTTTGCAGTTCTATTGTGGCACCTTTCACTGGCATCCTGAAGCCTGTCTGCTCAGATGTCCTTAAATCTGGCCAAAGCCTGATTTCAACAGCAATCTTGTGGATAAAAGAACTTCTAGTGTCTTTGTATAATTAGTGCTCCTGACTTAAGCTGTATTTAAACTAATTATTATTTTAATCTTTTGTTCATCATATATTGTCATCTGTTATAAAGAAAATAACAGAAGATCACTTTTCAATTGTCTTCAACTTAAAAACTGGAGGAAATTCTATTAAATGCTAAAAAATTATAAGTGCTAATTAACCGATATTTAAAAAAGATTTAATTTTAAAGCTTTTATCTGTGACATGAACAACACTTACAAGAGCATCGTGCTGTTTTCAGTTTTCAATTCATATAGTAATATTATTAAGCACTGGTATTGTGCTAGGTCATAGGTGCTAGGACTACCAAGATAAATAGTATTTAGCCTTTGCCTTCATGTGACTTTATCTAGTTACAATCAAGTAGATAAAGGCTACTGGGAATTGAGGGAACTAAGGTACCAAATGAATATTTCATAGCTTTTTTCTGATTACCTATAAGGTAATAGTTCTTTCTCAGTATTTCAAAGCTATATATCTACATGGAGTCAAATTCAACCTCAATGCATTTTATCAGTCTGGCAGTCAGAATTCTAATATGTCACCCAGGAGCTCTATCCCCACTACATGCCAAAAGGGAGTTTGCAGACTTAATTAAATTACTAATTAGTTGACCTTAAGATAGGGAGATTATGCAGGTGGGCCTAACCTCATGACATGAGCTTTTAAAAGAAAAGTAGTTTCTTCAGTTGGTTGCAGAATAGGAAATCAGAGATACTCAAAATATGAGAAGGAATGAATGCCAGAGAATTCTGTTTGGAATGGAAGGGTCCAGGGAGCAAGGACCTGAGAGTGGCTTTTAGGAGTTGATAGTGGTTTTCATCCAGCAGCCAGTAAGAGAACAGACACTTCAGTCTTACAACCACAATCAACTGAATTCTGTTAGCAATCTGGATGAGCTTAGAAGAGGATTCTTCCATGGAGCCTCTAAATAAGAGTGCTGCCTAGCTGACACTTTGATTTTAGTATTGTGAGACCCTACGTAGAGAACCCGTTGAGCCTGCCTTGAATTCTGACCTACAGAAACTAAGATAATAAATGGCTGGTGGTGGTGTGTTTTTTGCCCCTAAGTATTAATAATTTATTAATACTATCAAATATCCAGTCAATGTTCAAATTTTCAATGTCTTTTAAATGATTTTTTACAGTTAATTTGAATAAATTCACATTGATAGTACATCTTTTAAGTTCTTTTCATCTTTTCCTTCTTTTTCTTTCTTTCTGATATTGAAGAAACAAAAATAGTTTTTCCTGCAGTTCTTCCCACAGACTACATTCTCATATGTCATTTAACATATTCTGTGACCAATTTTTTTCTTAGTATCTTTCTATTGTGGCAAAAACCACATAACATTAAATTTACCATTTTAACAATTTTTAAATGTGAAGTTTATTAACATTAAGTATATTCACATTGTTATACAATGAATCTCTAGAACTTGTTTCATCTTGTAAAACTGAAACTATGTTTCCGTTAAACATTGTTTTCAACCCTCTTCCCTCCCTTAATCTCTTTGCAGTCACCTGTCTACTTTCTGTTTCTAGGATTTTGACTACTTTACACACTTTATGAAATGGAATCATACAGCATTTTTCCTTTTGTGACTGGCTTATTTCACTTAGCATAATGTCCTTGAGATTCATCCATGTTGTTGCAAATAACAACACTTCCTTCTTTTTTAAAGAGAATATTATTCCAATGTGCATATAGAACATATTTTCCCTAGCCATTCATTGATGGACACTCAAGTTGATTCCATATCTTAGCTACTGTGAGTAATGCAGCAGTGAACATGAATGGGCAATTCTCTCTTTGAGATCCTATTTTGAATTCTTTTGGATATATACCCAGAAGTGTGATTGCTAGATCAAATGAAAACTTTACTTTAAATGTTTTGAGTAACCTCCATACTGTTTTCCATAATGGTTACACCATTTTACATTCCCACTAACAGTGTACAGGGGTTCCAGTTTCTGCCCGTCCTCACCATTTGTGTTTTTTTTATAGTGGCCATCCTAATAGGTGTGAGCTGATATATCATTGCGGTTTTGATTTGCATTTCTCTTATAATTAGTGATGCTGAGCATCTTTTCATCTGCTTGTTGGCAATTTGTATTTCATCTTTAGAGAATTGTCTATTCAAGTCCTTGTCTATTTTTAATTTTGTTGTTGTTATTGAAATATAGGAGTTTTTTATACAATGTAGATAGTAACCCCTCATCAGAAGTACGATTTGCACAAATTTTCTCTCATTTCATAGGTTGTCTTTTCTCTCTGTTGATTGTTTGGTTTGATGAATGAAAGTTTTAAAATTTGATGTGGTCTCATTTATCTGCTTTTTATTTTGTTGCTTGTGCTTTTGGTGTCATATAACAGAAATCATTGCCAAATTCAATGTCCCAAAGCTTTCCTCTATGTTTTCTTCTAGAAGTTTTATCGTTTTAGAGCTTACATTTATGTCTTTAATCCATTTTGAGTTTATTTTTGTATATGGTATAAGGTAAAAGTTCAACTTCATTTGTTTGCATGTGGACATCCAGTTTCCCCCAGTGCCATTTGTTGAAAAGAGTATCTCATTTTCCCATTGTGTGAGCTTGGCAACTTGTCAAAGATTGGCCATATATGCGCAGGTTTATTTCTGGGCTCTCTGTTTCGTTCCATTGGTTTATATGTCTGTGTTTATGCCAGTACAGTACTGTCTTGATTACTGTTGTTTTGTAGTATGTTTTGAAATCAGTGAGTGTGAGAAAACTTGGAGAAGTTTGTACATCTTTTTCAAGATTTTTTGGCTTTTTTAGGTCTTTTGAGAATTCATATGAATTTTAGGATTTTTTTTTCTATTTCTACAAAAACATGCCATTGGAATTTTTATAGAGATTGCATTGAATCTGGTAGATCACTTTGAGTAGTGTGGACATTTGAGCAATATTACATCTTTTGATCTATGAACACAGGATATCTTCCCATTTCTTTGTATCTTTGATTTCTTGTATCTTTGATTTTGGCAGTGTTTTATAGTTTTTTGTGTACAAGTCTTTTGCCTCCTTGGTTAGGGTTATTTCTAAATATTTTATTCTTTTTGATGCTATTGTAAATGGAAATGTTTTCTTTACTTCTTCTTCAGATTGGTTGTTAGCTATTGTTACTTTTAATAAGTTCCCTGTGTGTACTTGAAGATTGTTCTTGGTTATTCTGTTTATATGAGTTAGAATTTGACATTATGTATATCTTGAGTATGTTGTTCAAATCTTATCTTTACTAATTTTTCTGCGTCATCTGTCTTAGATTGAGGGAAGTGAATAAAGTACCCTATTTTTAGTGTGTTTTTGCAAATTTCTTCCCACATCTCTTGTTTATGAAAGTTGTTGCTGTGTTATTTGGTATGTACATATTAATAGTTATTTCTTGGCCAGGCATGGTAGCTCATGTCTCTAATCCCAGCACTTTGGGAGATCAAGGAAGGAGGATCACTTCAGCCCAGGGGTTGAAGATCACTGGGCAATATAGTGAGACCTCATCTCTACTAATTAATTAATTAGCTGAGCATAGTGGCATGCACCTATGGTACCAGCTACTTGGGAGGCTGAGGCAGGGGGGTCACTTGAGCTTGGGAGGTGGAGGTTGCAGAGAGCTGAGCGCACACCACCGCACTCCAGCTTGGGTGACAGAGTGAGACTCTTTCTCAAAAGAAAAAAGTTATTATATCTTCACTAAATGTTATGATCCATAGTTCAGAATTGCTTCATTAATTTATCCTTTATATTATTTTTCTCTCTTTAGATCTTAATACAAAGTTAGAAGACAGGGATTGATTCATGTCTGGTCTTTGTATAATCTTCTCCCAATCTCTTCTCCCACTGATACCATTCTTTATAAATCAGAGGTTTTTCTCATTAAGTCCTCCAGTTTCTAATAGACTCAATCAAGATTTGGCCCAGAGAACCACTTAATTAGTGAATTGTGATTTCAGTTAGACTTCTAGCCTTCTCATCATGACACTTTTTGGAAGCAAATAGGTTTTGGAAAGAATCTTTAAAACACTGTCTGCATATATGACAGGTGCTTCTGTTCTCTGCAGAGACCAGAGCTGTAGCCATTTCTGTCTTCCTCTGCTCCATCCCACATTTGTGTACCTTTTGACAGATTGCATGATTGTTTACAATTCACCATGCCATACCCTAGGATCCACATCTAGATGGCTTTGCAAGAGCATCCTGTTAGAAGCAAATAGTCAAGCAGTTCTGGTCAATTATAACAAAGCACTCCAAACATGGTAAAAGTCCATCGAAGAGTGGGAGTGGAGGATGAGCATGAGGAGGCCATGGCCTGAGGAGGTGAGGTGACTGGGAGCATAGGACAGATCCATACCTGAGGTGTGCATGATTCTGGCTGCCCTTTTGAGAGGCTGGTATAGAAGGAGCTTCCTGGCCTAACATCATCTCCCTGGCAGGTAATATGTTACTGTTGAGTGAGACTATAATTATAGTATAATGCTTTCCTTACAAATATAAATATAAAACGAAGTATTCATCCCTCTGAATGGTTACTTCCTGATAGCAGAATGGGTAAAATTTTAGATGATCCATCTCTTATTAATCCCACAGAGATTCATAGTGGAAAATAAATGAGACTTATTTATGCTTGCAAATCAAATTGCCGTAAAAGGTTATTTCAATAGAGAGAGGCAAACTCATAATAAAATAATTTAGTAAAAATGGGAGCTAAGAGCATGTTTAATGGAACATGATTAGATTTAATTTTCTTACTATTTCCATCATTAAAGCTCCATTATCTTTTCTGAGACCTCATTTAGGCTTCCTGCCACACCGCAGCTCTGAGGCATTTCTGGGGAGCATATAGAAGCCTGTGAGTTCCATTAAAAAACAAAAATAGCTAATAGTACTCTGTTCTTTCATTTCTGCTGTTTGATATCAGTGTCTCACATTCAGAATTTCATATATTCCCTCTCCCACCCCATCTCTTGAAAGCCATAAATATCATTACCTAAGAGCTTTCACAAAAAAGAAGTTTGATTCTAAAGTTGAAAACAAAAGTAAGACTTATTGATGAATGTTTCTAAAGTGCAGAGGCTCAGAGGGTTCTTAAGAATGCATCTAGTTATCCCTTTGCCTTCAGGCATATCTACAACTAAATCATATTTGTAGACAATAATAGAATCAGTAATAGTACTAACCTTTTATGTTTTGTAGCACTTGAGAAATAGGAGTAGTTAAGAATCCACACACTTTAAAAACTTCCAGAAAATATTTCCCCTGGTTTATTGTAACTAGGGAGAGGGTGCTGGCCTTTCCAACCAGAGAGGTAGAGCCTAGTTATTTTGGTTCAGTTTGAAATCAATGCCCAGAAGCCAACAGGGCCGTGTGAAAGCAGAAAGCAAGGTGATGAAGGCCTCCTCAGAGATGAGTTGAAGAGCTCCAGGAAGCTGGCAGCATAGGCTCTATGGGGCTGACCATGAGGCTGACGTACCTCTGCTTCTGCTTGCTCTATGCAGACATAATATAGGTGATATCTCTGATTTATAATGACAGTGTATTTCTAGTTTGTTTTTAATCCCCCGAATTCAAAAGAAATTAATATCCTAGGTACTTATTAACCGAGTGTATTAGTCTGTTTTCACGTTGCTGATAAACACATACCCAAGACTGGGTAATTTATAAAGAAAAAGAGGTTTAATGGACTCACAGTTCCACATGGCTGGGGAAGTCTTACAATCATGGCAGAAGGCGAAAGACACATCTTACATAACAGCAGAGAAGGGAGAATCAGAGGACCAAACGAAAGCGGTTTCTCCTTACAAAACCTTCAGATCTTATGAGACATATTCACTACTATGAGAACAGTATGGGGAAATTACCCCCATGATTCAATTATCTCCCACTGGGTCCCTCCCAAAACACGTGGGAATTATGGGCACTACAATTCAAGATGAGATTTGGGTGGGGACACAGCTAAATCCTATCACCAAGATTAAGTGTTCATTGCAGAAGTTCTAGCCAGGTGCTCACAGTAATAAGCCTCAGTGTGCCTTTGTCACTTCCCATTTCACTCAACCGCAAGACCTTTGTCTCATCTCATCTGTGCAGCCACAGTCTTTGCTCCTCTCCAAGTTCATGACCTCTCCGAGTCTGCTGGTTCTTCTGGCCCAGATCATTTGCATCTCCTTCCTAATACCTCTCAGCTCACTCTAGCCTCTCTCCTGGTATGCCTTGATTAGCACATGGCACTGCTCCTTAGCCTGTTGCGTTTGTCTGACCTACCATGCCCTGGATGGGAAACTCCCAAATGGCTCATGTCTGGGTGTAGGTTTGGGACCAGTGTAAGGACCTGGGGTGGGCCTGGCCTAGCCTGCTGTTCATATAGATTGTCAAAGAAATGACATTCAATTGTGTGCAGTGGAGATTATTTTTTTTAACTTTTTTCAAAATAGTCTATTTTCTGTGATACAAGGATGTTAGCAGGGAAGACTATTCAAAATGATGAAAAACCAACAAATTGTTCACATATTATTTTGTAAAGGGTTTATTGGAGATCTATGTGTATATATGTTTGTGTTTTAAATGTATACAAGTTCTCATTAAAACCTCTTGTTATTTTTATGTTGGAGCTTAGCTATAATCCATTCATTGTGTCCAAATGGGTCCTCTGTTTTTTCCATTCTATATGGCAAAACCCTATGATTGAGAAGGTAAACGTACTCTCTGCCTGCCTCCCCACCCACCTACCCTGGCCAATATTTGTGTGATGAAGTTGGACTTTATGGTAACTTAGCTAGATTCTGGTATATAGGATTCCTTGGGGGAGTGAAGAAAGATAGGCTTCTGAGGATTTTTTTTTCTTGCTATATGTTACAATTTTATATTGTTCTTGGGTTGATTAGTGTATATTCTGGGAAAGGGTGAATGGGGGATGCCAGTCTTGTGCTAAAACTTGTATTTGAATGATCTTTGCCTTAATCCACAAATAAAACTGACATTGTGCAGAACTGTTTTGTTTGAATGTAGTCATAAAGCTTAGGAATTGTTAAAATTTGACATTATTTAACCTCTGATTCAAATATTCTCCCTGTGTGGTCTTTCCTGGGAGTAATTTGGAAAAATACAGCATTGGGTTTAGCATCAAAGAATGTTAGGGCAGAAAAGGGCCTTGGAGGTTAGCTTGAGTCTTCAGAAGATCACTTCTCTCCCGGCATCCTTGTGTGCATCTGGAGGCTGCAGTGCCCTTCCCTGCTGCTTGCTTCTGGGTCGGGCTCCCAGCTGTGCACCCGGATGAGGCAGCTGATGCACAGTGATGCAACTGGCTGCTCTAGTTGCTATAAGGACAGGGCTTGTCACTCGTATGGTTTTACACAACATGTTTCCATCTGCCTAAAGTTTTACCTCTTTTTCTGTCCTTAATGGATCTGGTGACAGTGATTTGGATGCCGTGGTTCAGAGTCGTTGCTGTTGGCATTTTTCTCTCTGGGGGTGTCCCTAGCCCTGATGTAGTAGAGCCTACATTGTGTTGAACCACAGAGTATGGGGAAATGAAACTATCCAAATTTCAATATATAGATGATTTCTTATGCCTCCCAAACAGGTTTTTTTAAAAAAAAAAAAATAAATAATTGGTTTAACTTGTTATTTGTGCCCTGAGAGATAAGATTCTAAGATTATCTAATAAGATTGGCTAATAATGATATCAGAATGGTGCAGAATGATGTATGGATGTTCCTGAAGCTCAGGGACGTCTCCTAAAGACCAGCACCCCCTCTGTGCTCAACCCCTATAAATACAAGCTCATGACAGCCGCTTGTCTGTTGTCATGCACAGCGGCAGAAGGATTCTGTACCAGCCAGTCAGCCTGAGGGGATGGCACATCTAGTCATTAGCAGCTAATCGAAATTCACATGCAAAAGAGGCTGTGACACCGTTACTCTGTGTACTTTGAGTGGGTGGCCAGGTGGGAGTATGGCAGCAAGAAAGCAGTCCTCACACGTGTGCTCCATGAGTCAAGAAATGCCTTGAAGTGCCTGGAGTTAGAGTGAAAGGGAAAGATTGCACTTGCTTTTCTGCTCCCTGTCTTTGGGTAATGGCATGCCAGGAAAACACAAGGGCAGCAACAGAGCTGCTGTCTGTGCACGTCTCTCCAACATGCGGGTCAGCAGGTCTTTTGACTCACTCTTAGCAAAAAATATTAGTTCCAGGCCGGGCGCGGTGGCTCACGCCTGTAATCCCAGCACTTTGGGAGGCCGAGACGGGCGGATCACGAGGTCAGGAGATCGAGACCATCCTGGCTAACACGGTGAAACCCCGTCTCTACTAAAAATACAAAAATTAGCCGGGCATGGAGGCGCGCGCCTGTAGTCCCAGCTACACGGGAGGCTGAGGCAGGAGAATGGCGTGAACCCGGGAGGCGGAGCTTGCAGTGAGTCGAGATCGCGCCACTGCACTCCAGCCTGGGCGACAGAGCGAAACTCCGTCTCAAAAAAAAAAAAAAAAAAAAAAAAAATATTAGTTCCAGATTGAAGTGAATAGCTGCCTTGTGATGGGGAGGCCTTTGGAGCTAGCATCTGTGGAACTGGCGTTGTATTCTGAGCTTAGCCTCATTGGACTCAGTTTTCTTCATGGGTAAAGCCATCTGTTCCTCCTTCCTTCCTTATCCCTATCCTTTCTCACTTTAACCTTTCCTCTGTCCCTTCATTCTTAGCACTCATTTTGATTTCTGGTTTTCTCTTTCATTTTCATGAGGAAAATTTAATCAAGCCATTTCGACATATAAACCCTTAAAGCTGAAGCTCATTTATTGGAATACAGTGGTTAAAAATATGAAAACGCCAAGCCTTCCCTTTCCCTCTTTCCCATTTCCTCATTCCATTGTTCAAAGGGCTTCTTGTGGACTTGTACGGCTGGTGCTTCGATGCAGAAACAGTGGACATGACAAATAGTGCTTCTCAGATGAGTCTTACACACTCAGCGTATAGCCAAGAACCCCATAAGTATTTGTCCCAGAATAGATACTGAAGAGGAGGGTTGGGTTGCGCCTGATTTCTCAAGGCCCTTAGGGAAACTCTCAACCTAGCTTGACTGAAGAAATTAAGCTCTGAAGAGTTCTCTTCTGGACTTTGGAAATTGAGACTGGCCAATATATGGTCACTTTCTCCCTTGATCAAGTTGGCCAGTCTCTTGACTTCTAGAATTTCCTTATTATTCCCACTTGTCCAGCACATACCATACTTATGTGTAGGGTCTGTGGGTTTATTAGTCCCTTCTTCCAAACCTTTTCCCACCACAAGACTCCTTGATTGACACTTCCTGTGATTCTTTAGCACAACATTTTGGACCCACATTTATTAATTTATTCACCTACATTAATACTGCTCACTTTATGCTTATATCTAGAGTTTCTTCTAATTTCAGTTAATAAAAATATGCCAGTAAAGACACAAAAGATTATCTGAGAGATGAAAAATTCCTGGAATCATTTTATACTGTCGCAACCATTAATTCTTCAAGATGGTATAGCGTGTGTCATTATGTGGCCAAAAATGAGCTTATTGAGTGTTCCAAAGTGACTAAACAAATATAATGGTTCTTATCTAAGTAGAGTCTAAGAAAAGGTAAGCTGATTGCCTTCGGTTATGGAAATTGGGAACAGAAATATGATCATGCTTAAAATACCAAGTGCAGCAAATTCCAGGGTGAGTGACAAAGACCCAGGTTGCCTTTTGCTGCTGATTTTTAAACATATCATAAACATACATGCTTGCAGTTCTAAGTTACTTCCTTAGAATATTCTATTGGAGAAAGGTGCTCTTGGGTTAAAATTTCAACCCTGACTGTAAGATGACTATCACCTCTTTAGAGATAGCCTTCTGCTGCAAAAACTGAAAAATTCTATTAGATCCAAAAAGTATTTCTGGCCTGAGGGTTAGCATGCATTATGTTGGGGTATTCCCATTTGCTCCAGAATAGCCTATTCATCACTTGCTGTTCAGGAGTAAGAGCTGACCTGCCAAAGAAGGTGTTAAGGGCAACCAAATGTGCAGCTCCAGGGAGCAGTGTTTACAGTGTTACTCCAGTGTGGGCAAAAAATTTATCTGTTTTAAAGTTACATCCTTGAATCTCTTCTTGGCCTTTTGGCTGAGATCAAGTATAAAAGTACACCTTTGACTCTATAAGCCCTGATGTGATTTTTAGGTAAATAATTATGAGATAATGGGAAAGGAAGATGCAATTTTAAGCCCTGACCCTCCTCTTTATATTCCTTTCTCAGAGATTCAATTTCTTTGTCTTTAAAATTAAATGATTGAAAAACAATTGAACTCATGGAGCTAGAGAATAGAAGGGTGGTTGGTTACCAGAGGTTGGGAAGGGTAGTGGGAGGTTGGAGGGGGAGGTGGGGATGGTTAATGGGGGCGCGGAAGAATGGATAAGACCTAGTATTTGATAACACAACAGGGTGAGTATAGTCAATAATAATTGTACATTTTAAAATAAAAGTATAATTGGATTATTTGTGACACAAAGGATACATGCTTGAGGTGATGGATACCCCCATTTCCCCTGACGTGATTATTATGCATTACATGCCTGTATCAAAACATCTCATATGTTCCATAAATATATACACCTCTTATGTATTCACAAAAATTAAAAATTAAAAAATTAAAGGATTGAACTAGAAAAGTCTCTAAGATTCTTCCAAGGTCTAGTAGCTTATTTTCTTGCTTTGCTTTAGGCTTTCCAGCTGGTTTGGGGCAGGCCAAGGCTTAGAACTGGGCTTGGCCCGGTTTTTTTTCTGCTCTACCACATTGTGCTTTTACATTCTTTAAAATTTTAGCTTTAAATAATCTTCCAGTCAATTCCCACTGAAATATTTTTCCTGCAGGATTTACTAGTACCTCTTAGAAACTGAAACTGTGAGTACCAACACTTGGTAAACTCCCATTAGGAAAAATTTGCACACTCCCACAGTAAAAGACGACTCTAATTGAAAACTGCCTTGTGATAATTGTGTGTAATTAATCTTTCCATTTATTTTCACTGTGATATTTTCTTTCTTTCGTGTGGGACACTTTATGTTTGTGAGCAGTTATCTTTTACAGAAAATCCCATTAAAGTTGTGTTTCATTAAAATTTGTTTCAGAATTTTAGGAGTATATGTTTTCCATGCCAGTGCAAATGCTTCATGAGTGCTTGACCAGTGTTTAGCATGTGAGAGATTTTGTGTATTTTACTTAAAATAAAAAATCTGAATTTATCAGTTTTTGCAAACATTATTCAAAAGTGAATATAAACTGAAAGCATTTTGGGAAAGGCCTTTTTTATCCTTTTGTAGTTCTTCACACCATTACATAGCAAATTTTAGGTGCTCAATAAATGTTTATCAATTGCTTAACTGAAGGCAGTTTCTAGTCACTGACTAGTTGATTTCTAGAAGGAGGCTCTCACACCGTCTATGCCTTCTGCAGCTGTATTTACCCAAGCAACTTAGAGCAGGATTGTTTTTTCATTAATTTTTCAGAGACCACTGTGTACCAGGGACTGCACATAGGCACAGGGGACACTATTAAAAGTCTCAGTCGTGCCCTCAAGGCACTCAGCATTGGGTGAGGGATGGGATTAACCAATAGTTTCTCTACACTTGGTGGCCACAGTGATGCAGGCAGGCACAGGAAAGTGAGGAAAATACTATTCAACCCAAGGCAACCTTCCCCACAGACACCAGCTTCAGGAAACAACATCTGGCCTGAATTTTTAAGAGTGACATTAGTTTGCTAGGACTTTGTTATTGCTATTTTTATTGCTATTTTTACTTTTCGACAGTGGCAGGGATGTGAGGAGAAGGCTGAAGGAGTTGTGTGTCTGGATGTGTTCTATTTTTTCATTTGTCCTCCCTACTTTGGGCTGGTCATTAGCTCAGATAGTGTGTTGTGTGGCAGATTGGCCTCTCTTTCAACACTACAGGCAGATACATAAAAGGGGCACAGTCCATCCCCAGGGAGCTGCTCCTGGCAGCTTCCCTTTGGCTCCACTGCCAGGGTCCTCCTGTCTGAGCAGCTTTGGCTCTGGCCCACTGCTTCTGCCTCGAGGCATAGGGCCACATTGAGAGCCAAGAGGATGGATGGAAGCTTCCTGCTAAAGCCTAAATAACATGAAAGGGCAGGGCTAGGAAAGCCAAGTGACACAATTAACCTGCCAGAAGGGCATTCGCAGCGCATTGCCATTGGTGTTGAATGAGGGCTGGAATTCTAAAGACAAGCTCAGCATACTGATTGGCAAATGGTACCATATGATCCAAATACTCCCTTCTGTGCCAGCTGGAATGTATCACTAATCATAACTTGTATTTGCTACTGCTAGAGGGCCTCTACTGTATCTGTCAGTCAAATTTAAAAATAATTTTAAGTTGCCTTCTCTCATGTCTTTGATCAGAAAGGTGGAGGAAGCCTTCAAATGATGATGCCCCATATAAAAGAAGGGGCTTAAATCTATACCTCCAGACTCCTGGGGTGAGAGCACCATACATTTTTGGCTACCGAGGGGAGAAAAACATGCTTCAATGTTCTCCCTCTGCCTCCTCAGCCCCTGTCAGAGCCTGCTCAACCCCTAGAAGCCCCGACCACGTTGGCAGAGGGGCTGTTTACCTGCTGCACAACTAACAGAGCAAATGCCCAGGGGCAGTTACCCCAGCACCTTCATCCTACTCCAAACATTCCCCCTGTGGACCCCTAAATCCTGGTCTTTCTTCCTAGGAAATCCATATACATATTTATGAGGTAAATGATTGAATTAATTTTAAATTAGCCTGTGCCCTTTCAGTTTAATTCAACTTGTTCCCTTCCCTGTTTCTCACCCTTAGGGGTCAGTATTTGGTACAAAAAGCCATGAGAATGTTTCCCACATCATAATGCCGGATTGAAAGCACTGGAGTAACAACACCCCTGCATCTGCTGTCTGATGATTTTTGTGGCTTCCCCTCCTTTCAGGGGTTTAAATCCAACCAGGGCTGTGGACAGAAACTGGGCTGTGGTAGCCATGACCTTGGGCCTACGTGAACCAGTGTTTCCTGTGTTGGCCTACAGCCTTCCAGATTTAAGCCCCACAGCTGGAGACAGAGTCTCTACCACTTTAGAAAGAGGAGTCTGGGGCCTGGCGCAGTGGCTCACGCCTGTAATCCCAGCACTTTGGGAGGCCAAGGCAGGTGGATTACGAGATCAGGAGATTGAGACCATCCTGGCTAACACGGTGAAACCCCATCTCTACTAGAAAATAATACAAAAAATTAGCCAGGCATGGTGGGCAGGCAACTGTAGTCCCAGCTACTTGGGAGGCTGAGGCAGGAGAATGGCATGAACCCGGGAGGCGGAGCTTGCATTGAGCTGAGATCTTGCCACTGCACTGCAGCCTGGGTGGCAGAGCAAGACTCTGTCTCAAAAAAAAAAAAAAAAAAAAAAAAAAAAGAGGACTCTGGTAGCAGTAGTGGAGGTGAAGCTGGAAGTAGAGACACCCATTAGGAGACTGTGGTCCCTGCTAAGGATGCCAATTGCCTGATGTTAGGTAAGTGGGAATGGAGAGCAGAGGATAGATGCAAGAGGGGCTCAAGGGAGATTCGAGGGTACTTTGTGGCTGACTAGATGAGGGAACAATAGGGAGGCAGTAGTCCCGATGATTCTAAGGTTTGTGGCTGGTGGCTGGGCAAGCTGTGGGACCTCCAATTGAAAGAGGAAACAGAAAGGAAAGTGTGAAGGCAAAGGGAGATGAACTCAATTTAGATTCCATTGAGTTTTTGTTTGTTTGTTTGTTTGTTTTTTTGAGACGGAGTTTCGCTCTTGTTGCCCAGGCTGCAGTGCAATGGCTCAATCTCGGCTCACGGCAACCTCTGCCTTTTGAGGTCAAGCAATTCTGCCTCAGCCTCCCAAGTAGCTGGGATTATAGGCATGCGCCACCGCTCCTGGCTAATTTTGTGTTATTAGTAGAGATGGGATTTCACCATGTTGGTCAGGCTGGGTTAAGCTGCCTGTGACACAGCCTTGTGAAAAATCATCAGTAATATGGAAATGTGTCCTCTTCCCCTCAAACATATTTATTTCACTTGAATACTCTGAAGACTTTTCTGAGCTTGGGTCTCAGAGCTCTAGGAATCTAGCCAGGTAGGAGAATGTTTGTGACAGAAAGTGACTGGATGCACCACTACATCCTGGAGCAGCACTTTGGCGCCATTGTACATGGAGTGCATGGTAGACTACCATTCTCTAGAGCAACAGTAAATTTGTTTTCTGAAATGTAGTTTAAGCGTGTGTTGAATAGGATGTGCTATGTATTTTTAAGAAATTGTAGATGCTGCGTGCCCAACACGTGTGTGTGCTTTGCTCTTTATTCTCTCTGTGGTTTCTCATCCCTATGATTAGTTGTGGTCTTTTAATTAGCTGTTAATTCATTGTTAAATTCTGGCCTGAACCAAAGGCAAAAGAGAGTGACCATGGTTCACTGTTACTTTTAGTTGTTAAAGGTATTTTCTACCTTGACTATTTAGATCCTTACCAAACTTTTAATCCAGACATCTGAAGTCTTTCAGTGGCATTTACCTTGTCAAATATCACAGTAAAATAGAATGCCCTGTCTACGGTGAAACTGCTTTGGAAAGGCTGGTCATTTTTCACGAGTGTTTCCTTGCTGTGCCCTTGGTATTTCAAAGCTGTCCTCTTTAAGCACTGAAGCAATTAGTTTTGAGAAGGCTGATTCTTCAGGGTCCAGTGCTCTCCTGCCTTTCATTTGCTGAAACTGTACATTTTAATGAAGTTGTTTCATCTATGTTGTCAAACACTAGAATTTTGCTGCTTTAATTCTAATGATCTCTACTGGCAAGTGCTGTGTTTTATTAGAGCCATCAAGTGTTTATTAAATGTCCATGCACTGTGGTGTTAGGCACATAAATTAGGTCAGCTGGGCTTATGGGTTATGGATGAAGGAGTTAAATATTTTCGTCATAATCTTAAAGTGTAGTGGGATTGCCTTTTGTGGGCTCTCAATGATGCCATCTTCTGTGAGTCGTTTCCTCTTTTCCCCATCAGCCAGTGCGAACACAAGTGTCTGAATAATGTGGCTATTAATAGTGGCCCTAGTACGTATTTTTATTTTGGGCAATATGCTCATTCTTTCGTTTCCTGTAATTGTCTAATACCCATATCATGCTTCTTGGGTTATATATCTTTTTTTTTTTTTTTTTGAGATGGAATCTTGCTCTGTCGCCCAGGCTGGAGTGCAGTGGCGCGATCTCGGCCCATTGCAAGCTCCGCCTCCTGGGTTCATGCCATTCTTCTGCCTCAGCCTCCTCAGTAGCTGGGACTACAGGCACCCGCCACCATGACGGGCCAATTTTTTTTTTTTGTATTTTTAGTAGAGACAGGGTTTCACCATGTTAGCCAGGATGGTCTCAATCTCCTGACCTTGTGATCCACCTGCCTCGGCCTCCCAAAGTGCTGGGATTACAGGCGTGTGGGTTATTTATCTTACAGTGTAATGAAAAACATTGAGGGCTCTTTTGAAGCTAGAAGATCCCAGTGGTGGGGGGAGGGGACAGGGAACATTGTGGAATGAAAGAGAGGATAAGCATCACCATTAGAGCCCTAGATTAGTGTTTCTCAGATTTTCACCCCCGCCTACTCTGGGCTTCTTTCAGTTCCTCCCAGGTAACACTGTGGGTCCACAGGTGGTGTTGGTTAACCTGGAGTGTGCTCACTGGCCTGGGTGACCCTGGCACTCTGCCCTCCTCTGATCACTAGGCAATGCTTCATGGTGATTAGGGGCAAGGTTTCTGCCATCCCATAGACCAAATCCCAGCTTCACCAATGAAGAGTTTGGCAAGTTACACTTGACTTCACTAACCTCAATTCTTACTGATAAAAATAGTAGAATGATAGCCCCTTCCATGTTTTTGTAAGGGTTGAATGAGATGATGTAGGTGAAGTGGAGTACAGGACATGGCACATAGTAAGTTCTCAATACGTTATCAGTGCTGTCTTGCCCCAGCTCGGGCCCGTGTGGCAGCTCTGCTTATAACTGGGCCCCTGACCCTGTCCCAAAGGCCTTGTTGCAGGTCTTCACCTGCTTTCATCTCTCCTTGCATGTATCAGGGCACCAAAAGTGTAGACTCCTTGCTTTATCAATGAGCTCTGAGGATTGGAAAAATATATGTTTCAAGATTTTACCTAATCCCCTGTATTGCCCTTTCACCCTGGGATTCAGTCTTAAATTTGGAGAAGTTGGAGGGGCTCTCCCAGAGGAGCATCTAATGATGAAATAGTCTTTAGTCAGAATCATCCCTCCCCTCCAACTCTGACCTGTGGTCTTTGAACGAAACATGCGTGCCCTTGTCTCTTTCCACCAGTCTTCCAGTTATGTCCAAGAAGAAATCGAGCCCCACATGTTTACTCTCATGTTTTCTCTTTTCATATATTCCTCTCCTCTGACTTAAAGAGGCAAATGTAATGTTTTTCAATGCACAGTTTACCCCCGTAAGCTAATAAGATTGTGAACCAGAAAAAAACCTTATTAAAGCTGCTAAGATAAATGAAATAGCACAGTTTGATACAAGTTAATAGAAGTATGCTTAATTCACATTTACACCTGCTCAACTGTCCTTTGCATGGATTTAGCATTCTTTTTGGGGAAATGATGCTCTAGGCCAGAGCAGTAGCTCTCTTATTTCACCTAGAGAACCATGTCATCATCTTGAGCAGAAGCAATTACTGTGCTCCAAGGTCTCCCTCCGCTGCACTATGCAAGAAGGCATATATACCTGTAAGAGGGAAGAGCAAGTAAAGATAATTCTGTAACATAATTTTTATAAAGCCCTCACTTTATTCTGAGCAAAGTTCATGATCTATGGATAGTTTATAAACCAACAAAGACAATAAAGAAAACAGTGTTTTTAATAACGTCTAGAATAGAAGTGGAACAGTTTCCTCCAGACTGATTATGGGATTATTCATCTCTTTTTTTATTCTGTGCATCAAATATTTTTCTCTAAGTACTCCTAGTAATAATGTTAGTGGGGAAGTTTGATAATCAGAGTGTACCTTAGTTTTATACCCCTCTGCAGATTGAGTAGTGGGGCAGGCAGGGGCCTTTATTCTTCAGTGACTCTGGGATCTCCAGGCAGGGGGTCCCGGGACCTGATTGGCTGGGATCTGATTCTGTGTTCTTAGCGTCCAGGGTGAGTTAGCTTTTGTATTGAAGGAAGTACCTATATCAACAAGTGGCACTCACTCATGAGTACAGGAAAAGCTGGAGTATTGGCTTCAGAATGAGCAAAGTAGTTGCCAAGGGTATTATAGAAAATGTGCATTTAGTTACAAAAATGTGTATCTCAAAGAAACAATAGATTTATTTCTAGTAAGACTGACCTATATTTGCTGACAGATGGGTCTTTGAACAAGGAGCAGTATGTGTCATTTTACCAAATGGGACCAAAATAAAAGATTTATTAGCTCCACTTTCTTCACAAGAAAAGGTTTTTTATGTATCGTTGGTTACTTTATCACGAGTAACATGTAGTGTCATCTTGGTGCTTATTAATCACCCTTTCCTTCCAACCAACTGTAAGAATAATTAGATGAAATTGGTGGCAGACCATTGCTTCCACATTAATCTTCTTAAGCTGGTGTCAGTGAAACATTAAAACATTAACGTTCACTGCAAAAGTGCTCTTAAGCGTGTGTTTCTGAAGTTCAAAATTTTTAGACATCAGTATTTGGAAAGCAAACACTTTGTCTTGTGTTAAACAACGGCATACATGGCAAAACCCATATGAAATCAAGTGGCTCTCATCAGTGGGAGGTACAAATCTGCTGAGAAAGCAGTTTCAGAGTCAGATGCAGTGTGGGTATTTTTGTAAGCCTTGGAAACCACGTGTCCAATCAAGAGGTTCCTGGATTCTCTGCTTCATGTTCTCACTCTGATACGCAGGCCATTAGAAGCCTCACCATCTAGAAGGTCATGGGGCAGAGGAGAAGGTAGGATGATGAAGCTGTCACTGGCGCTTAATGCTTCTGCCCATGTAAGTTTAATTGGCCAAAGCAAGTGTCATTTTCATCACTAGTGTCATTTTCCAAGCAGGCGGGGAAATGCCATTCTACTGTATACCTAGGAGAGAGAAGTGGGAAATTCGTTAGTCATTCATAATGACTAACTCAAAAAAAAAATGTAGGGTAGTCATTCAAATGGAAAGGTGGTTCCTTGAAAAGTCTGATAGCATAGATCAAGCTTTGGTGAGTCTGATCAACAAGAGAGAGGACACGGTGTAAAAGGCAATATAAATAGGGGCCAGGGAAATTTTGTGAAGGTGTAATAGAATGCTTTGTAGGATTTTATTACAATATGTGTGAAAATTTGGATGTTGTAGATGGTTTTCTAGGAAAATAGACATAACCAAATTGGGTCAAGATGTTGTAGATGCCTGAGTAGAAGTGTTTTGTTTTTCAGTTTTTTTTAAGGTCCACTGGTATGATACTGTGAAGTATGTATTTGATCTTCACCCCTGTTTCCTAGCATGCAACTCCTAAAATCCTCAGAAACTCTGTCTTCAGGTGCTGTCTTTTTGTATGCTAATGAGTTGATGGCTGGCATCCCCTAGGGTAGCTTCAGGATGGTGGCTTGTCACCTGAAAGACCAAGGCAACATTAGAGGGCTGAAAACTTTGAGTCCCAATCTCCACCCTCTGGGGAGGGGAGAGGGGCTGAGGTTAAGTTGATCACTCATGGCCAGTGATATAATCAGTCTTGCCTACATAACAAAACTTCCATAAAAACCCCAAAGGACCTATAACAGAACCCCGAAGTTCAGAGAACTTCCAGATAGCTGAATATGTACAGGTTGCTGGAGGGTGGTGTGCCCGGGGAAGACACAGAAGCTCCACAGTTCTTCCCCCATACCTTGCACTATGCATCTCTCCATCCATGTCTTTTGTAATGTCCTTTATAGTAAAATGGTAAACGTGTTTTCCTGAGTTCTGTAAGCCACTCTAGTAAATTAATTGAAGCCAAAGAGGCAGTCATGGGAAACCCAGCTTGACTCTGGCGGGTCAGAAGTTCCAGAGGTCCAGACTTGTGATGAGTGTTTGAAGTGGGAAGGAGGGTGTAGCCTTGTGGGACTGAGCCCTCGCCCTATGGGGTCTGATACTGTTTCCCGGTAGATTTTGTGGAGTTGAAGTAGAGAACGCTCAGCTTGTGTCAGCTGCAGAATCGATTGCTTGCTTCGTGTGTGGGGAAAATCCCACACATTTGGTCACAGAAGTCTCCTGTGTTGATTATTACTGAGTGAGAGAAGAGAAAAACCACTTAAGAGTTTATGTGTGTTTTTCCACACAACTGGTAGAAATGTATGGAGGCTAGCTAGTTGCTTGTATGAGTGAGTTCTGCCAGATCTCCTAGAAACACATATTAGATGCACAATAAATATATTTGGAATAAAATGGGTAGACAAGGTTAGCATGAGATCGATAGTAAAATCAGAAGAGGGTGTCACTTATAAGTCAGTATCACTTATGAACATAGATGCAACAATCCTAAAGAAACTTAGCTGACAGAGTCTAGAAGTATATTAGGAGAATAAACATATGTCTACTTCTTTAAATCTTTGCTCAGATGTCATTTTCTGAAGGAGCTATGCTTTGCTTGCTCTAGCATTGCAGCTTCCCCTGCAGCACTCCCAAGCCACCTTATCCTGTTCCCTATTTTGTCTCATAGTGTATATCACCTTCTAACATGTCTTATAATTATTTGTTATTTATTGTCTTCTCCTCCTGGTACAAGGTAAACACCATAAGGGCAGGGCTTTTTTTCTGTTTTGTTCACTGATGTAAGCCAACTACCTGGAATAGTTGGCACTTAGTATTTGTTGCAAAAATGAATAATCCTGAGTGTAAAATAGGATCCTTGATTGAATTCTGGAACAGAAAAGGCCATCGGTGGAAAACTGGTGCCACTTGAATAGTCTGTAGCTGAGTTGTTAGTATCAGTGTAAATGTCTTAGTTTTGATAGATACAACACGGTTAGGGTAAGATGTTAACATGAGGGAAAACTGGGTGATGGGTATATGGAAACTCTCTGTACTATCTTTGAAACTCTTCTATAAAGCTAAAGTTATTTCAAAAGAAAAGCTTATTAAAATCAATTAAGAGATACCAAGAGGCTTCAGCATTTAAAAAGTAAAATAAAATTTATGTTAAATGCCAGGCGTGGTGGCTCACGCCTGTAATCCCAGCACTTTGGGAGGCTGAGGCAGATGGATCACGAGGTCAAGAGATCGAGACCATCCTGGCCAACACAGTCAAACCCTGTCTCTACTAAAAATACAAAAAACAAAACAAAACAAAAAATTAGCCGGGTATGACGGTGCATGCCTGTAGTCCCACCTACTCAGGAGGCTGAGGCAGGAGAATCACTTGAACCCAGGAGGTGGAGGTTCAGTGAGCCGAGATCGCACCACTGCACTCCAGCCTGGCGACAGAGCGAGACTCCATCTCAAAAAAAAAAAAAAAAAAAAAAATCTGTTAAGTGACACCTTCTCAATGAGTCTTATCCTGAGCACCCTATTTCAAATCATATGCAGTCCCACTGCTGCCCTCTGAACCTTGCTTCCCTGCTCTGCTTTTTTCTTTTTTGCCAGAGTACTTGCTATCTTCTAATACATTATATGGTTCACTTTTTTATTATGCTTTTTGTTGTCTATTTATGTGAGGATAGGGGACTTTGTTCACTGGCATACCTCAAGTGCCTACTACAGTGCCTGGCACAAAATAGCTATACGTTAAAAAACAACCCAACAGCAAACCATATGTTTCTCTGTGGGTGAGAGGTGGAGAAAATGAATATAAAAAGGTCTAGATCAAGCCTACTAATTAATATGCTTGTTGCTTTTCGGGGTTGGACTAGTTATTAGCAGAATAGTCATGGTGAATGGGCGCAGGACGTAGAGCAGGGCAAGCTAGACTCCTAGGAGTCCTCACTGTCAGTGGGTACTTACAGGAACCTGAGAGTGAGGAGTACTACCTTACATTTTGCACCTCGTGTGTCTCTCTTGCCTCATCCTAGTTCCAGACTGCAAAGACTGCCTCTTTATTTTTGAATTTTATGAAATTTAATAATTTCAATTATAATCTGTGTTAATTGCTTAATTTTAAAAAATATTCACAGCAATGAAAAAGGGAACAAAAGAAAAGCAAGTTGTTTGTAAGACCCTTTAAAAATTACAAAGAAATGATTCTGCCTTTAAAATGAGAAATTGCAACTGAAGAATAACTCATTTTCCATTCTCTTTAGGACCTAAGTTACTGCCTACTATATGATGCTAAGTGTTGAGGAAAGCAAAATTCACAATCCACTCTTTTAGGTCCAAATGTAGTTTATTGCACTAAAGCAGTAATAAATCAGATCAAATGTACTAAAGTGGGAAAAATATCAGTACCAGCATAATATTGAAACTGCATAAATATTTGCTTGAAGTAGTTTTCTTTTGTGATATCAAACTCATCTTCAAGCATGATCTTCTGAGTTCTACATACTTGAATTCCTTTGTCACCCACCTAAAGCATGGAGGACCATGTGTTATCTCTCAGCTCATGGGCAGGGAAGTCTGTGCTGCAGCACTGGTGTCTGGGTGATTTACCCTCCCTCCCAGCTCACTTAACTCACTGATGGGATTTGTCTTAACATAGAAGGATGTGCTTCATTAAAGTGCAAAAAGGTAATCATTTAACCTTGTGCAAAGAATGAAGCAGTGGACATCATTTGCTTATTTGTCTTTACGATGATGTAATTGTATTTCTGTATGGTTATGATGGAAATTATGATCTATTGCAGGAACATCAGGAGAGCATTCTGGGTAATACCATGCAAAGTGTGATTGCATTACTCAGCAATCTAGTTGCCTGCAAAGATTCGAATATGGAACTACTTTATGAACAAGGTAAATGCCTCATAGAATTACTCTCTGATCAAGTTTTGCCTATTCATTTCTTCATCTTATATAGCGTGGAGTCTAGAAGTACCACTTAAAGTTGATGAGTCAAAATAGATAAGAATTTTCAAGTAATATTACTAGCAAAATTTGGAATTGTGGGATGGTTTCTCTAAGTTAATTCATTCTCTTAATGGCATAAAGTCAATAGTCACTGCTTAAAGATGACAAACCAAGAAATAGAGGTGTAATCATAGTATTTAGACTGATTGCTATCTGTCTTCATCTGTTTTCTGTTGCTATAACGGATTACCTGAGACTGAGTAATTTAAAACAAAAAGAAATCTATTTTGTACAGTTCTAGATGCTGAGAAGTCCAAGATTGAGGGGCTGCATGTGGTGAGGTCCATCATGCTGTTGGAGACTCTTTGCAGAGTCCAAAGGCAGTGTAGGGCATCACATGGTGAGGGGGCTGAGCTTGCTAGCTTAGGTTTCTTTTCCTCCTCTTATGAAGTGACTAATATCCCATCCTAATGACCTCATCTAATCTTAACTACTTCTCAGAGTTCTCACCTCTCAAATACCATAATTGGATTTCCCATCCTCTTAATGCCATTATAATGGGAATTAAGGGGCAGCATGAGTTTTGGAGGGGAAAACATTTGAACCATAAGACTGCCAATCAAAATAAAAACAGATATGACCAAAAGCGCCTTGGAAAATGAGACTGGATGAGTTGACAGTGGTTTACTTTATATCTTATGCATTTCTGTACTGTTAAAATTCTAAAAATCATGTACAGTCATGCATTACGTAACTACGGCAATCTGTTCTGAGATACACATCATTAGGCAGTTTTATCATTGTGTGAATACCACAGCTTGTACTTACACAAATCTAGATGGCGTAGCCTACTATACACCTAGGCTGTATGGTATTTATTGCCTATTGCCCGTAGACTACAAACCTGTGCTGAATACTGTAGTCACTTTTAACACAGAGGTGTAAGTATTTGTATATTTAAACTTAGAAGTATTGTGAATTTAAACATAGAAGAGGTGTGGCAAACATATGATATAAAAGATAAAACATGATACACCTGTATAGGGCACTTAATATGGATGGAGCTTGAAGGACTGAAAGTTGCCCTGAGGGAGTCAGTGACTGGGTGGGGAGTGAATGTGAAGGCCTAGGATGTTCCTGTACACTACTGTAGACTTTATAAACCCTGTACACTTAGGTTACACTCGATTTATAAAAAACAAATACTTTTATGGCCGGGTGCAGTGGCTCACGCTTGTAATCCCAGCACTTTGGGAGGCCGAGGCTTGTGGATCACTTGAGGTCAGGAGTTTGAGGCCAGCCTGGCCAACGTGGTAAAACCCCATCTCTACTAAAAATAGAAAAATTAGCCAGGTGTGGTGGCGGGTGACTGTAGTCCCAGCTACTCGGGAGGCTGAGGCAGGAGAATCGCTTGAAGTGGGGAGGTGGAGGTTGCAGTGAGCCGAGATTGCACCACTGCACTCCAGCCTAGGGTACAAGAGTGAGACACTGTCTCAAAAAAAAAAAAAAAAAAAAAAAAAAGAAGAAGAAGAAGAAACGTCCCTGTCTGACAGCTGTGAAGAGAGCAGTGGTTCTCCCAGCATGGCGTTTGAGCTCTCAGAACGGACGGACTACCTCCTCAAGTGGGTCCCTGACCCCCTTGTAGCCTAACTGGCAGACACCTCCCAGAAGGGGCCGACAGACACCTCATACAAGCAGGTACCCCTCTGGGATGAAGCTTCCAGATGAAGGATCTGCCAAAAATATTTGCTGTTCTGCATTATTTGCTGTTCTGCAGCCTCCGCTGGTGATACCCAGGCAAACAGGGTCTGGAGTGGACCTCCAGCAAACTCCAACAGACCTGCAGCTGAGGGACCTGACTGTAAGAAGGAAAATTAACAAACAGAAAGGAATAGCATCAACATCAACAAGAAGGACATCTACACCAAAACCCTATCTATAGGTCACCAATATCAAAGAACAAAGGTAGATAAAACCACAAAGATGGGGAGAAACCAGAGCAGAAAAGCTGAAAATTCTAAAAACCATAGCACCTTTTCTCCTCCAAAGGATCGCAACTCCTCTCCAGCAACGGAACAAAGCTGGACAGAGAATGACTTTGATAAGTTGACAGAAGTAGACTTCAAAAGGTCGGTAATAACAAACTTCTCCAAGCTACAGGAGCATGTTCTAACCCATCTCCAGGAAGCTAAAAACCTTGAAAAAAGTTTAGACGAATGGCTAACTAGAATAAACAGTGTAGAGAAGACCTTAAATGACCTGAAGGAGGTGAAAACCATGGCACGAGAACTTCGTGACGCATGCACAAGCTTCAGTAGCCAATTCAATCAAGTGGAAGAAAGGGTATCCGTGATTGAAGGTCAAATTAATGAAATAAAGCGAGAAGACAAGTTTAGAGAAAAAAGAGTAAAAAGAAACGAACAAAGCCTCCAAGAAATATGGGACTATCTGAAAAGACCAAATCTACTTTTGATTGGTGTACCTGAACGTGACGGGGAGAATGGAACCAAGGTGGAAAACACTCTTCAGGATATTATCCAGGAGAACTTCCCCAACCTAGTAAGGCAGGCCAGCATTCAAATTCAGGAAATACAGAGAACACCACAAAGATACTCCTTGAGAAGAGCAACCCCAAGACACATAATTGTCAGATTCACCAAGGTTGAAATGAAGGAAAAAATGTTAAGGGCAGCCAGAGAGAAAGGTCGGGTTACCCACAAAGGTAAGCCCAAAGACTAACAGCAGATCTTTTGGCAGAAACCCTACAAGCCAGAAGAGAGTGGGGGCCAATATTCAACATTCTTAAAGAAAAGAATTTTCAATCCAGAATTTCCTATCTGGCCAAACTAAGCTTCCTAAGTGAAGGAGAAATAAAATCCTTTACAGACAAGCAAATGCTGAGAGACTGTCACCACCAGGCTTGCCTTACAAGAGCTCCTAAAGGAAGCACTAAACATGGAAAGGAACAACCTGTAGCAGCCACTGCAAAAACATGCCAAATTGCAAACACCATCGATGCTATGAAGAAATTACATCAATTAACGAGCAAAATAACCAGCTAACATCCTAATGACAGGATCAAATTCACACATAACAGTATTAACCTTAAATGTAAATGGGCTAAATGCCCCAATTGAAAGACACAGACTGGCAAATTGGATAAAGAATCAAGACCCATCAGTGTGCTGTGTTCAGGAGACTCATCTCACATGCAGAGACACACATAGGCTCAAAATAAAGGGATGGAGGAAGATCTACCAAGCAAATGGAAAGCAAAAAAAAAGCAGGGGTTACAATCCCAGTCTCTGATAAAACAGACTTTAAACCAACAAAGATGAAAAGAGACAGAGAAGGCCATTACATAATGGTAAAGGGTGATTCAACAAGAAGACCTAACTATCCTAAATATATATGCACCTAATACAGTATCACTCAGATTCATAAAGCAAGTCCTTAGAGATCTACAAACAGACTTAGACTCCCACACAATAATAATGGGAGACTTTAACACTCTACCGTCAATACTAGACAGATCAACAAAGCAGAAGGTTAACAAGGATATCCAGGACTTGAACTCAGCTCTGCACCAAGTGGACCTAATAGACATCTACAGAACTCTCCACCCCAAATAAACAGAAAATACATTCTCCTCAGCCCCACCTCACACTTATTCTAAAATTGACCACATAATTGGAAGTAAAGCACTCCTCAGCAAATGTAGAAGAACAGAAATCACAGTAAACTGTCTCTCAGACCACAGTACAATCAAATTAGAACTCAGGATTAGGAAACTCACTCAAAACTGCACGACTACATGGAAACAGAACAAGCTGCTCCTGAGTGACTACTCGGTAAATAAGGAAATGAAGGCAGAAATAAAGATGTTCTTTGAAACCAATGAGAACAAAGACACAACGTACCAGAATCTCTGGGACACATTAAAAGCAGTGTTTAGAGGGAAATTTATGGCACTAAATGCCCACAAGAGAAAGCAGAAAAGATCTAAAATCTGCACCCTAACATCACAATTAAAAGAACTAGAGAAGCAAGAGCAAACACCTTCAAAAGCTAGCAGAAGGCAAGAAATAACTAAGATCAGAGCAGAACTGAAGGAGACAGAGACGCAAAAAACCCTTCAAAAAATCAGTGAATCCAGGAGCTGGTTTTTTCAAAAGATCAACGACTTAATAGACCACTAGCAAGAGTAATATAGAAGAAAAGAGAGAAGAATCAAATAGACACAATAAAAAATGATAAAGAGGATATCACCACCAATCCCACAGAAGTACAAACTACCATCAGAGAATACTATAAACACCTCTATACAAATAAACTAGAAAATCTAGAAGAAATGGATAAATTCCTGGACATCTACACCCTTCCAAGACTAAACCAGGCGGAAGTTGAGTCTCTGAATAGAACAACACCAGGCTCTGAAATTGAGGCAATAATTAATAGCCTGCCAACCAAAAGTCCAGGACAAGATGAATTCACAGCTGAATTCTACCAGAGGTACAAAGAGGAGCTGTTACCATTCCTTCAGAAACTATTCCAATAAATAGAAAGAGAAGGAATCCTCCCTAACTCATTGTATGATGCTAGCATCATCCTGATACCAAAGCCTGGCAGAGACACAACCAAAAAAGAGAATTTTAGACCAATATCCTTGATGAACATTGATGCAAAAATCCTCAATAAAATACTGGCAGACCGAATCCAGTAGCACATCAGAAAGCTTACCCAACACGATCAAGTTGGCTTCGTCCCTGGGATGCAAGGCTGGTTCAACATATGCAAATCAATAAACATAATCCATCACGTAAACAGAATCAATGACAAAAACCACATGATTATCTCAATAGATGCAGAAAAGGCCTTCAAGAAGATTCAACAGTCCTTCATGCTAAAAACTCTCAATAAACTAGGTATTGAAGGAACGTATCTCAAAATAAGAAGAGCTATTTATGACATACCCACAGCCAATATCATACTGAGTGGGCAAAAACTGGAAGCATTCCCTTTGAAAACTGGCACAAGACAAGGATGCCTTCTCTCACCATTCCTGTTCAACATAGTGTTTGAAGTTCCTGCCAGGGCAGTCAGGCAAGAAAAAGAAATAAAGGGTATTTAATTAGGAAAGGAGGAAGTCAAATTGTCCCTGTTTGCGGATGACATGATTGTATATTTAGAAAACCCCATAGTCTCAGCCCAAAATCTCCTTAAGCTGATAAGCAACTTCAGCAAAGTCTCAGGATACAAAATCAATGTGCAAAAATCACAAGCATTCCTATACACCAATAACAGACAAACAGAGAACCAAATCATAAGTGAACTCCCATTCACAATTGCTACAAAGAGAATAAAATACCTAGGAATCCAACTTAAAAGGGATGTGAAGAACCTCTTCAAGGAGAACTACAAACCACTGCTCAATGAAGTAAAAGAGGACACAAACAAATGGGAAAACATTCCATGTTCATGGATAGGAAGAATCAATATTGTGAAAATGGCCATACTGCCCAAGGTAATTTATAGATTCAATGTCATCCGCATCAAACTACCAATGTCTTTCTTCACAGAGTTGGAGAAAACTACTTTAAAGTTCATATGGAACCAAAAAAGAGCCCGCATTGCCAAGATAATCCTAAGCCAAAAGAACAAAGCTGGAGGCATCACATTACTTGAGTTCAAACTGGACTACAAGGCTACAGTAACCAACACAGCATGATATTGGTACCAAATCAGATATATAGACCAATGGAACAGAACAGAGGCCTCAGAAATAACACCACTCATCTACAACCATCTGATCTTTGACAAACTTGACAAAAGCAATGGGGAAAGGATTTCCTATTTAATAAATGGTGCTGGGAAAACTGGCTAGCCATATGTAGAAAGCTGAAACTGGATCCCTCTTTACAGCTTATACAAAAATTAATTCAAGATGGATTAAAGACTTAAATGTTAGACTTAAAACCATAAAAACCCTAGAAGAAAACCTAGGCAATACCATTTAGGACATAGGCATGGGCAAGGGCTTCATGACTAAAACACCAAAAGCAATGGCAACAAAAGCCAGAATAGACAGATGTGATCTAATTAAACTAAAGAGCTTCTGCAAAAGAAACTACCATCAGTGTGAATAGGCAACTACAGAATGGGAAAAAATCTTTGCAGTCTACCCATCTGACAAAGGGCTAATATCCAGAATCTGCAAAGAACTTAAACAAATTTACAAGAAAATAAACAACTCCATCAAAAACTGGTCAAAGGATATGAACAGACACTTCTCAAAAGAAGACATTTATGCAGCCAAAACACACATGACAAAATGCTCATCATCACTGGCCATCAGAGAAATGCAAATCAAAACCACAATGAGATACCATCTCACACCAGTTAGAATGGCAATCATTAAAAAGTCAGGAAACAAGAGGTGCTGGAGAGGATGTGGAGAAATAGGAACACCTTTACACTGTTGGTGGGACTGTAAACTAGTTCAACCATTGTGGAAGACAGTGTGGCAGTTCCTCAAGGATCTAGAACTAGAAATACCATTTGACCCAGCCATCCCATTACTGGGTATATACCCAAAGGATTATAAACCATGCTGCTATGAAGACACATGCACACGTATGTTTATTGCAGCACTATTCACAATAGCAAGACTTGGAACCAATCCAAATGTCCAACAATGATAGACTGGATTAAGAAAATGTGGCACATATACACCATGGAATACTATGCAGCCATAAAAAAGGATGAGTTCGTGTCCTTTGTAGGGACATGGATGAAGCTGGAAACCATCATTCTCAGTAAACTATCGCAAGGACAGAAAACCAAACACTGCATATTCTCACTCATAGGTGGGAATTGAACAATGAGAACATATGGACACAGGAAGGGGAACATGATACACCGGGGCCTGTTGTGGGGTGGGGGTAGGGGGGAGGGATAGCATTAGGAGATACACCTAATGTTAAATGATGAGTTAATGGGTGCAGCACACCAGCATGGCACATGTATACATATGTAACTAACCTGCACGTTGTGCACATGTACCCTAAAACTTAAAGTGTAATAAAATAAATAAATAAATAAAATAAAATAGAAGCTATCAAGTGGAGTTCTTCACAGAAATATGACTTGGGATAAAATCTGTCACTGAATAAAATTACCAAGTCACTGTTCTAATTTCCCCCCGCCCACCGAAGAATTTAGAGTTCTATTTCTTTTTCTTTCCTTTTTTTTCTTTTCTTTTTTTTTTGAGATGGAGTCTTGCTCTATTGCTCAGGCTGAAGTGCCATGGCGTGATCTTGGCCCACTGCAATCTCCACCTCCCAGGGTCCAGCAATTCTGCTGCCTCAGCCTCCCGAGTAGCTGGGATTACAGTCGCCCACCACCATGCCCGGCTAATTTTTGTATATTTAGTAGAGACAGTGTTTCATTATGTTGGCCAGGCTGGTCTTGAACTCCTGACCTCAGGTGATCTGCCACCTTGGCCTCTCAAAGTGCTGGGACTACAGGCATGAGCCACTGCTCCTGGCCTAGAGTTGTGTTTCTATGTGGTCATTATATTTCAATGCTGGTAATATTTTTTTCCTCCCCTAAGAAAAATATGCACTTACCCCCGTGATAAATATTGCCAACAGTTTTGGGGCTTTGGTACATAGAGATCTTTATTCTTTTACACAGCAACATCCTATTCTGTTTTATGGATGTAGCATAATTTATTTAACCACAGCCTCAGTGGTAGATATATGTTGTTTCCAATATTTTGCTGTTACAGACAGTTCTACAATGAATAGTTTTATACATGTATCCTTTCACACAGGAGCAGGAATATGTATAGGAGAAATTCCTGGAATTGGAATTGTTAGCTCAAAGGATATATGCATAAGTAAGTTTTGTAGATACTGAGAAGCTGCTCTAAGTAATGTGCCAATTTATATTTCCACAAGAGCATGTGAGATTGCTTGTCTTTGGATCTAAGAGCATGTTTTGCTTCCCCATTTGTTCAAGAAATTTTTATGTTCTTCAGAGATGTTTTGTAGTTTTCTTTATATAGGTCTTATGCATTTCTTGTTAAGTTTATGTCTTCCTAAGTGTTGTATCTTTTTTTGCATTCAATAGAAATGAGGACTTTTCCACCATTATATATTCCAATTTATTTTTAAATTATTTTATTTTATTTTACTTTATTTTAGAGACAGAGTCTCCTTGTGTTACCCAGGCTGGAGTGCAGTAACACAATCAGAGCTTATTGCAGTTTTGAATTCCTGGCTTTAAGTGATCTCCCACTTCAGCCTCCCAAGTAACTAGGACAACAGGCGCGTGCCACCATGCCTGGCTAATTTTTTTTTTTTTGGTGGAGACAGGGTCTTGCTATGTTAACCAGGGTGGTCTCAAACTCCTGGCCTCAAATGATCTTTCCACCTCGGACTTCCAAAGCACTGGTTGGTATTACAGGTGTGAGCCACCATGCCTGGCCGCAATCTGTTGTTTTAAATATGTTTGAAAGTTTTTGATTTCTGTATATGCAATTTTGTACATATATTAATTCTTTTTTTATATTAATAGTTTTTAGGTGATTTTCTTAGTTTCCCAGTCATATAATAATTGTAAATAATGATGGTTTTCTTTCCAATTTTTATGATGCTACTTTTCCCCTCTGGTCTATTTACAAGTTTCAAATAGAGTGGGGTAGATGTCTTGGATTTGTCTGAGGATCTTTTTTTCTGGGTAAGGAGGTACTCTTCTATTTTAATTTTATTTTTATTTCTTTTGTAATCAGGAATAATGACATTTGTCAAATGCTTTTTTGGCTTCTATGGAAATGATCAAATGATTTTTCCTTGAATCTATTTATATAATGAATTATATTTAATTGGTTACCTAATATTGAACCCATCCTAGTGTTTGAGTCAGTAACCACAGTTATGATACATAGTTCTTTAATTGTGCTACTTTAGTTCTTTGTTAATATTTTATTTAGGATTTTTCATTGCCATTCATTGGTGTAATTGGTCTGTGATTTTGTTTGTTCATTTTTGATGGGAGAAACACATTCTTTGCCCAGATTTTAATATTAATGCTATATTGCTTCATTAAAATTTTTTTTTCCTCTTTCTGTATTTCTCGAAAATTCATTTATCATTGGAATTATCTACTCCTTAAAAGTTTGGGCCGGGCACAGTGGGTCATGCCTGTAATCCCAGCACTTTTGGAGGCTGAGGTGGGCGGATTACGAGGTCAGCAGATGGAGACCATCCTGGCTAACACAGTGAAACCCTGCCTCTACTAAAAATACAAAAAGTTAGCCAGGCATGGTGGCACGTGCCTGTAGTCCCAGCTCCTTGGGAGGCTGAGGCAAGAGAATCGCTTGAACCCAGGAGGTGGAGGTTGCAGTGAGCCAATATTGTGCCACTGCACTCCAGCCTAGGCGACAGAGCGAGACTCTGTCAAAAAAAAAAAAAAAAAAAAGTTTGGTAGAGTTTCTTTGCGAAGTCATCTGGCTGGTGTTCTCTTTTTGTGGTATGATAGTAGTGATAGCTCTGTGATGATTTTCTCTATTTCTGTAGTAATAATGAAACTTTAAAAAAATTTTCCATGTCTTTTAGAGTCAGTTGTAAATTATATTTTCCTGGAACACTTATTTCCTACACACTTTCAATTCTGTTTTCACAGAGTTGAACAAAACTAATTCTTATAAATCTTTTATTTTCCTACATTTCAGAAGTTACTGCCCCATTACCATTTCTTATATAATGTATTTGTGCTTTTTAAAAACTTTTAAGTTCAGGGATACAAGTGCAGGTTTGTTATGTAGATAATAAACTTGTGTCATGGGGGTTTATTGTACAGATTATGTCATCAGCCAGGTATTAAGCCTAGTACTCATTAGTTATTTTTCCTGATCCTCTTTCTCTTCCCACCCTCCACCCTCTGAAAGGCCCAGTGTGTGTTGTTTTCTTCTATGTGTCCAAGTATTCTCATCATTTAGCTCCTACTTATAAGTGAGAATACACCATATTTGGTTTTCTGTTCCTGTGTTAGTTTGCTAAGGATAATAGCCTACAGCTCCATCCATGTCCCCCTGCAAAGGAAATGATCTTGTTTTGGTTTTGTTTTGTTTTGATGACTGCATAGCATTCCATGATGTACCACATTTTCTTTATCCAGGCTATCATTGATGGGCATTTAGATTGATTCCATGTCTTAGCTATTGTGAATAGTGCTGCAGTAAACATAGTGTGCATGTGTCTTTATAATAGAATGATTTATATTCCTTTGGTTGTCTACCCAGTAATGGGATTGCTGGGTCAAATGGCATGTGTATATTTGAGTCTTTGAGGAATCACCACAGTATTCCACAATGGCTGAATTCATTTACACTCCCACCAACAGTGTATAAGTGCTCCTTTTTCTCCACAACCTTGCTAGCATCTCTTATTTTTTGACTTTTTAATAATGGCCATTCTGACTGGTGTTAGATGGTATTTCATTGTGGTTTGATTTGCATTTCTCTGATGATCAGTGATGTTAAGCATTTTTCATGTTTGTTGGTTTCATGTATGTCTTCCTTTAAAAGTATCTGTTCATGTCCTTTGCCTGCTTTGCCTACTTTGTAATGGGATTGCTTTTTTTTTTTGTACATTTGTTTAAGTTCTTTATAGATGCTGGACATTAGGCCTTTGTCAGATGCATAGTTTGCAAAAATTTGTACTTTTGCATTTTTATTGAGTAGTTATGATCATAGTTTTACTAGAATGTGTGTGTTTGTATTTTTTTCAAATCAGTTTTGGGATTTACTTCTTAGTGTTAACTTTTTTCAAAAGTCAATTTATGTTTTTACCTATTAATTCTTTGTGCTTCATGAGTTTGTTTTGTCCTTCTTTTTCTTGGTCATTGAGTATGATGCTTAACTCTGATGCATGAATTTTCAAGTATTACCTTATGTATACCTTACTCGGAAATTCTAATCTGTCATGCTTTGATCATTTTTCTTTTCCATATATATTTCAGTTTTGGTGTATGTTCTCTCACTGAGTCTAGCGTTGCTTTGAAATGAAGGTATTTTTATGGTGAAAAGGGTTTTTTGTTTTATTATTTCTACTTTTAAAATGTATTTTTATTGATGCATAATATTTGTACACATTTATAGGGTACCTGTGATATTTTGATACATAGAATGTGTAATGATCAAATCAGGGTATTTAGGATATTTATCACCCCATTTCTTTGTGTTGGGAACATTTCAAATCTTCTATTTTACCTACTTTGAAATACACAATATATTGTTGTTAACTGTAGGCACCATATGGTGATATCAACCACCGAACTTATTCCTTCCATCTCGGTATATGTTTGTACCCATCAGTCTACCTCTCTGTATACTCCCGCCTACCAACACTTACCCTCCCAGCCTCTGGTAACTATCATCCTACTTTCTACCTACATGAGATCAACTTTTTTAGATTGCACATATGAATGAGAACATCTGATACTTGTCTTTCTGTGCCTGGCTGATTTCACTTAACATGGTGACTTCCACCTCCATCCATGTTGCTGCAAATGATATGATTTCATTCTCTTTTATGGCTGAATAGTATTCCATCATGTATAGATATTACGTTATCTTTATCCATTCATCTGTAGACTGAATATGATATCTATACATGGATAGAATACTATTCGGTTGATTCCACGTCTTGGCTATTGTGAATAGTGCTGCAGTAAACAAAGAGGTGCAGGTATCCTTTTGATATACTGATTTCTTTTCCTTTGGATAAATACCCAGTAGTGGGATTGCTGGATCAAACGGTACTTCCGTGGAACTGCAGGTTATTATGTTACGTGAAATAAGCTAGGAATGGGAAGACAAATTTCACATGTTCTCAGTTATTTGAGGGAGCAAAAAATTAAAACAATTGAACTTATGGAGATAGATAGAATAAAGGTTACGAGAGGCTGGGAATGGTAGTGGGTTTTGGTGGTGGGGGAAGTGGGGATGGCTAACGGTTACCAATAAAATAGTTAGAAAGAATGAATAAGACCTAGTATTTGCTAGCACAACAGGGTGGCTATAATAAAAAATAATTTAATTGTATGTTTAAAAATAACTAAAAGAGTATAATTCGATTTTTTATAACACAAAGGATAAATGCTTGATGGGATGGATGCCCCATTTACTCTGACGTGGTTATTATGCATTGCATGCCTATATCAAAATATCTTATGTACCCCATAAATAAATATACCTACTATGTATTCACACACAAAAAAGCAGTCTTCTTATTTTTCATAATGGCTGTACTAACTGACATTCCTAACAACAGTGTATAAGAGTTCCCTCTTTGCATCCTCTCCAGCATCTGTTATTTTTTGTCCTTTTGGTAATAGCCATTCTAACTGGAGTAAAAAGATAGCATCTCATTGTGGGTTTGATTTGCATTTTCCTAATCATTAGTGATGTTAAGCATTTTGTCATATACCTGTTGGCGGTTTTATGTCTTCTTTTGAGAAGTGTCTATTTTAATTCTTTGGCTACTTTTTAATGGAATTATTATTGTTTTGTTGAGTCCCTTTTATATTTTGGATATTAGTTCCTTGTCAGATGAATAGCTTGAAAATACTTTCTCCCATTCAAAAAGTGGTCTCTTCAGTCTGTAGATTGTTTTCTTTGCTATGCAGAAGCTTTTAAGTTTAATATAGTCCCATTTGTCTATTTTTGTTTTTGTTGCCTGTGCTTCTGATGTCTTAGCCATAAAATCTTTGCCTAGACCAATGTCCTGAAGAATTATCTCTATATTTTTTTCTAGTAATATTATGGTTTCTGGTCTTATGGTTAAGTCTTTGATCTATCCTGAGTTGATTTTTGTATGAGGTGAGAGGTAACAGTTGAGTTTTATTCTTCTGCATATAACTATCCAATTTTCCCAGCACCATTTATTGAAGAAGGAGCCCTATCTCCATTGTATGTTTTTGGCATCATTGTTGAAAATCAGTTGGCTGTGAATACATGAATTTATATCTGGGATCTCAGTTCTGCTCCATTGATCTATATGTCTGATTTTATACCAATACCATGTTGTTTTGGTTACATAGCCTTGTAATGTGTTTTGAAGTCAGGTAGTATGATGCCTCCAACCTTTTCTGTTGTTTTTATTTTTCTCCAGATTGCTTTGGCTATTTGGGCTCTTTTTGGGTTCCATATGAATTTAAGGATTTTTTTTTTCTATTTCTGTAAAAAATAGCATCAGTACTTTGATAGGAATTGCTATGACTCAATATAGCTTTTGGGCAGTATGATCATTTTAACAATATTAATTCTTCTAACCCATGAGCATAGGATATTTTTCTATTTATTTTTGTCCTCTTCAGTTTCTTATGTTTTGAAGTTTTCCTTTTAGAGGTATTTTACCTCCTTGGTTAAATTTATTCCTAGGTAGTTTTTTAAGCTGTTGAAAATGGGTTTGCCTTCTTGATTTTTTTCCTCAGCTAGTTTATTATTAGTGTATAAAAAGACTACTGATTTTTATGTGGTGATTTTTGCATTCTACTTTACTAAATTTATCAGATCCAAGAGGTTTTTGGTTGGAGTGTTTAGTTATTTTTAGATATAAGATTATATCATTAGCAAAGAGGGACAATTCGACTTCCTCTTTTCCTGTTTGGATGCTTTTTATTTCTTTCTCTTGCTTGATTGCTCTGGCTAGGATTTCCAATTTTATGTTGTATAGGAGTGGTGAAAGTGGGCATCCTTATCTTGTTCCAGTTCTTAGAGGAAAGGCTTTCAGTTTTCCACCATACAGCATGATGTTAGCTGTTTGTCATATTTGGCCTTTATTACTATATACTGAGGTATATTCCTTCAGTGCCTAGTTTGTTGAGAGTTTTTATCATGAAGAGATATTGAACCGTGTTAATACCTTTTCTGCATTCTTTGAGATGATCACGTTTTTTATCCTTCATTCTGTGAGATGATGTATCACATTTATTGATTTGCATATGTTGAACCATCCTTGTGTCCCTGGAATAAATCCCACCTGGTCACAGTGCATTATCTTTTTGATGTTCTGTTGGATTCTTTTTGCTAGTGTTTTGTTGAAGATTTTTGTGTCTCTGTTCATCAGGGCTCTTGGCCTGTAGGGTTTTTTTGTAGTTGTGTTCTTATCTGGATTTGGTAATGCTGGCCTTGTAGAATGAGTTGGGGGTAATTATCTTCTTTTTATTTCTTTGCAATATTTGGTGGAGAATTGGTATTAATTCTTCTTTGAAAGTTTGGTAGAATTGGGCAGTGAAGTGATCTGGTCCTGGACTTTTCTTTGCTGGAAGATTTATTATTATTATTGATTCAATCTCATTACTCATTATTGGTCTATTTAGGTTTTCTGTTTTTCCTGATTCAATCTTGGCAGTTGTATATGCCTAGGAATTTGTCTATTTTCTCTAGGTTTTCCAGGTTGTTAGTGTATAGCTGCTCATAATCGTCTCTGATGATCTTTTGTATTTCTATAGCAGCAGTAATGTTTCCTTTTTCATTTCTGATTTTATTTGGATCTTCTTCCTTTTTTTCTTGTTTAGTGTTGCTAGTGGTTTTTTATTTTATTTTTTCAAAAAAACCAAACTTTTCCTTTTGTTGATCCTTTATACTTTTTTGCCTCTCTCTTTTTCTTTTTAGTTCTAATCTGATCTTTATTATTTCCTGCTACTAATTTTGGTTTTGGTTTGTTCTTTTCTGGTTTCTTTAGGTATGTTTTTAGATTGTTTATGTGAAATCTTTCTACTTTTTAATGTAGATGTGTTATTGCTATAAACTTCCCTCTTAGCACTGCTTTTGTTGTATCCCATATGTTTTGGTGTGTTGTATTTCAATTATCATTTGTTTCAGTAACTTTTTTTTTGTTTTTTTGTTTCCTGATTTCTTCACTGAACCAGTGGTCATTCAGGAGCAAATTTGTTTCCATGTATTTGTATAGTTTCCAGCATTCTTTATGGTATTGATTTCTAGTTTTACTCCATTATGTTCTGAGAAAATAGTTGATATGATTTTGATTTTTAAAAATTTGTTGAGACTTGTTTTGTGGCCTAACATTGTCTATCCTGGAGAATGTTTAATGTGCTGATGAGAAGAACATATATTCTGCAGTTGTTGGATTAAATGTTCCGCAAATGTATGTTAGGTCCATATGATCTAAAATACAGTTTAAATACAGTGTTTTGTTGTTGATTTTTCTGTCTCGATTATCTGTCTAATAAGAGTGTTATGTCAAAATCCCCAACTATTGTATTAACATCTATTAAAATCTCTCCCCTTAGATCTAATACTTTATATACCTGGGTTCTGTGGCATTGGGTACATAAACATTTAGAATTGTTATATCCTCTTGCTGAATTGATTCCTTTATTGTTATGTAATGATCTTGTTTCTTTTTCGTGTTTTGACTGTAATGTTTTTGAGTGTATTTTATCTTATATAAATGTAGCTACTTTTGCTTGCTTTTGGTTTTTGTTCACGTGAGATATATTTTTCCATACCTTTAAGTTTATGTGTATGTTTAGAGGTGAAATATATTTCTTGTAGGCAGCAAGATGCTTCATGGTTTTTAAAATTCACTCAGCTAGTCTATACCTTTTAAGTGGGGAGTTTAATCCATTTATATTCAAGGTTATTATTGATAGGTAAGGACTTATTTCAGTCATTTTTTAATTTATCTTCTGGTTGTTTTGCATATCTTTTGTTTCTTTCTTTCTCTTTTATTGTTTACCGTAGTTAATAACTACTTAGGCTTTATGTTATGCTTGCATTTGAATTTTTTCTGCTTCTCATTTTTGTTTGCTCTACCAGTAGGTTTTATACTTTTGTGATGGTAAATATTGTCCTTTCCCTCTCATATGTAGGATTCCTTTAAGCATTTTTTGTGTGACTGGCCTAGTGGTGATGAGCTCTCTTAGTTTGTGTTTGTCTGCTAAAGATTTTATTTGTCTTACATTTTGAAGGATAGGTTTGCTAGACATAGTGTTCTTAGCTCACAGGGTTTTTGTTGTTGTTTTCTTTTTTTTTCTTAGCACTTCAAATATATCATCCAATTGTCTCCTGACCTCTAGACTTTCTGCTGAGAGATCCAGTTAGCCTGATGGTCATTTCCTTATATGTGACTTGACACTTTTTTTTCTTACTGTTTTTAGAATTCTTTCTTTTTCTTTGACTTTTGACGGTTTGACTATAATGTGCCTTAGAGAAGACCTTTTTGGGTTGTATCTGATTGGCAATATTTGAGCTTCCTATTTCTGGAGTCTAAAGATCTTGCAAGACTTAGGAATTTTTCAGCTATTATTTTATTACATAGATTTTTCTATGCTGTTGCCTATCTCTTCTACTTCTAGAACACCCAAAATTTGAATATTTGCTCTCTTTATGGTGTCTGATATATCAGAGAAGCTTTTTTGATTTTTTAAATTTTTATTATTTTTTATCTGACTGGGTTATTTCAAGACCTTTCTTCAATTTCTAAAATTCTGTCTTCTGCTTTATATGGTCTATTATTGAAGTTATTGATTGAATTTTTATTCCATTCATTTAATTCTTCAGTTCCAGATTTTCTGTTTGGTCCTACTTAATGACAGCTGTCTCTTTGTTGAAATTCTCATTGATATCATGAGTTGTTTTTCTATTTGTTTTGTTCATTTGTATTGTCTTATATTTCACTGAGCCTCTTTAATATCATTAGTTTCAATTCTTTTTCACAAATACCTTTGATTTCTGTTTTGTTGGGATCTGTTACTAGACAATTATTGTGTTCCTTTGGTGGTGTCATGTTTCTTTGCCTTTTCATTTCTCTTATGTCCTTATGTTGATATCGATGCATCTTGTGTAACAGGCACTTCTTCCTATTTTTCAGATTGGGTTTCTTAGGGGAAGACTTTTTTCCTGTAGATGTATCTGTAGTGTTGGTTGAGTAGGGCACTTCAGCTTTGATTCAGGGTTCATGCAGCAGTGTAGTATCTTTATGATTTCTTTGGCTGCAGTCAGCATCAGTGGTATCTGTGATTTCCTCTGTGGCTTAGGATATGGTTGTTAATGGAGGCAATGGTGATATTTTGCTGGGGGATGGAGATGCCACCCAGGCTGTTCCTCAGGCCAGACTGGTGGTGGTGGCGGCGGCAGTGACCTGAGGGTGCCTGTCTTTGGGTCCCTGGATGGTATAGGTGGGCACCAGTATTAGTGACTGTAGGTGGGTTAATTTATGGCCCTAAAGATGGCTTGCTCAGGTCCTGGAGGTGGCAGTAGTGGGCAGGGAGGGTGGGTGGGTCATTTTGCCTCTGGGTAGTGTACATGGCATCTGCAATGGCATTGTGGTGGCGAGCCAACTGTTGGGCTCCCATGTGGCGTATGCTGATGCTAGCAGTGGTAATGATGTTCTGCGCATGCCAGTCTCCATGCCCCCATGTGGCATGTGTGGGTGGATAGGGCAGGATAATCACCAGGTCCTGACACAGTGTGCTTGGGTGCTGGTGGCAGGTAGGCTATGTCTTTTGTCAGGGTTTCTGATGGTGTATGTGCTTGCTCAGGGTGATAGGTGGAGTGGGCCAGTCACCAGGCCCCCAAGCAGAATGTACGGGCACTGGGGATTGGGGTAGGCTGGGTCCTGTGTCAGGCCTCCTGATGTGTATGTGTGTCTGGGGCAACAGACATATTGAAATGACCCCCAGGCCCTTGGGAGATGTGTGTGGACACCTAGAGAGGTGACACCAGGTGAAGCAGGGCCTTCCTCAGACTTTCTAATGGTGCACATGGGCACAGGCTATGGTGGGTGGAGCAAGGCATTCCCCAGGTTCCTGTATGGTGTGCTCAGGTGGCAGCAGCAGCGGGCAAGATGAGCCCATCCTCAAGTCCTGGGTTGGTATCCTAAAGGGCTGGTCCCTAGGCCCACTGAACACACTTGCAAGTATGCAATAGCCCTGTTACTGTGGGGGTAGGGGTGAGTACAGGGTTGCTGTTGGTGGCAGCATCCCCAGGCAGCAGGCAGGCCACTCTCAGTCTCTGAGGAGTGCATGTTTTGGCTCCGTTTGTCCCAAGAGCAGCCTCCCTGGCTCACTGCAATGCTTGTTTTCATGGTGTAGGACACCGCATGGGCTAGATTGCTGGAAACTGGCCACATTATGGTTCCAGCTGGCATTGCATTGCTGCAACCCTCTGGATGGATACTGAGGGATGTCAGCAGGACTCCAGGGACATAGAGATTTAGGGGCTATTGGGCCTCAGGGCAGAATGCAGTATGGTGGGAGCTGGGTGCTCAGAATGCCATTCTGCAGCTACTTGGGTCTTGGGAGAATGCGTGGGACCCTGTGTGAAATCCCTGTCTGGAGCGGTGCCATTGCCTGGACTCCAGGCAGCTCACTCTACTAGTCTCAGGGCCTGTAAGAGTGAAGGAGCTCTCCCATGGCTAGGGTTTGCAAGGGTCCACAGTGGGAATGTGGACCACTGGGATCTCTTATCCTTTCCCTATACTGGAGAGCCTCTCTGGGCTCCAAGTTGATCCTGGCTGGGTGGCAGTGGCTGCCTCACTTCTCTTTCTGTGCCTCAGATGTTCCCTGTCCCTTCCCTGCTGAATTCTAGTGCTCTCTCTTAGATGCTGTAATCAACACATGATTATCTCCTTACTGTTTTGGTCCTTCCTTTTGGACGACATGTGTGCCTTTAGTCAGCCATCTTGAAATCCTCCCAGATATTTCTAGTTTTACTGCACTATGGTCAGCAAATGTTGGGAGTACCATTTCTACTTTTTAAAATTTATTGATGTTACCTTGAACCTACTCTGTGTTCAATTTTCATGATTTATAATGTGCTCCTGAGAAGGTATGCATATTGGCTTTCTCTTATGACAGTGACTGGTAGTAACATGCCCTCCCACTATCAGTGACAGTAAAACTCAACAAAGTATGTGAAGCAACTGTTTTCAAGCAACCTGAAAACTGGAAATAATGTTTTGAACGTATTCATAGAAAAACTACTAATTACATCAAGGAGGGCAAGCAATACAAATGATAGCTGACCTCTTGTCAAAATCAGCAGAGGCCAGAAGAGCAGGAAAACATCTTTTAACATAGACAGAATAAGGCTGTGGTCCTTGAGTGGAGTGAAACACGTGAGGTGAAACTTGTGTTCACTCTGGCTTTTTTTTTTTTTTTTTTTTTTTTAAGGGCCTAGGGAGGAAAGTAGAATCTAAGTAGAAATAGAGGTCTTGTTGAGCTTGGGAAGGAAGAGACCAGTGTTTAGGGATGTGAGCTAGTGAGGATTAACAGGGCAGAGTATAAGAGAGGAGTGAGTTTCATAGAGGAATAGGGCCCAGAAACCTACATCGGAGTTTTCCACAGGTTTTTGGTGAAGGCTGGGCTATACTTTCACAGAGCAAGATTACGTTAGGCCTCACAGATGTGGGGTACATGTTGCAAGGCTGAGAGCTGAACTGACATGATGATGAATGGTAATGAAAGATGTTGGAACCCCAGCCTCACCACAGTGGCAGTCCTTGCTATGCACCTGAGTAAAGCTAAACTAGCCTGAAATTAAGGGCTACTACAGACCTGCTTTAGAATATGGGTCATGTCCTAAAGTAAGGGCTAAGTCCTTGGTCTACGGATTAAATCAATATAGATCTGTCCTAACAGAATAAAACTAAGCATTTTGGGGTCAAAAGAGCCACCAAGAATTTAACTGCCGCCCAGAACAAAAATCAGTAGCACTAAAAAGAAGGTGGCATAATCCAGATTCCCCACAACATATTATTCACAGTGACTAGCATAAACCAAAACTTAGGGGGTACAGAAAGAATTTGAAGAATGTGACCCATAATAATAATAAAATGTCAGCTGAAACAAAACCCAATATTACCCAGATGTTGGAATTAACAGGTCAGAATTTTGAAAAAACTATTACAAATATATTCAAAGCCAAAAAGTAAAGATTATAAGTGAAGAGATGAGGTAGAAAATCTCATCAGAGTAATGAATCTATAAAGAAGAACCATATAAAAGTCTTAAACTGCAAAGTTCAGTACTTAAAACAAAAAAATTACCTGGCTGGGCTTTTCAGCAGATTAAAAACCATAGAAGATTAATAGAAATTTTCCCATGTGAGAGACAGAGAAAGAAAAGATTTAAAAAAATGAAAAAGCCTATGGGACAATTTCCAGGATTCTGATATACTTGTACTTGGAATCCCAGAAACAGAAGAGAGAGAATGGGGCAGAAAAAGAATTTAAAGAAGTAATGGCCAAGATCTTCACAAATTTGGTAAAGCATATTTATCTACATATTTAGAAAGGTCAGAAAACCCTTGGAAGATTAAAAAGCAAGCAAAATTCACCTAAGCACACGATAGTCAAACTCCTAAAAATTGGAGGTAAAATCTTAAAAATATTCACAGAAAAATTATATATTACATAAAGGGTAATGAATAATACAAATGGTGGCTGACCTCTTGTCAGAAATAATGGAGGCCAGAGAAGCAGAAAAGCATCTTTAAAGTGCCGAAAGAATATAAAGTTGCCAATCTATATTTTTATATCTCCAGAAAGTGTCTTTTAAAATGAAGTTGAAATAAGGACACTTGAGATAAATTACAGCTAGGAAAATTTGTCACTGCAGGGAAATGCTAAATTAAGTTTTTCAGGCTAAAAGGAAGAGATACCAGATGAAAACTCAAACTCGAATTTGCCGTAAGAAATGAAGTGCACAAGAGAGAACGCGAATGTGGTTAAATATGAAAGAATACCTTTTTTTTGTTACTCTGTAATTACCTAAAATAAAACGGACTAGGTAGGTTTCCAGAAAGGTGAATTGAGGACCTCCACAAATCTGCCGCACAATAAAACCAACAAAAACAATGAGTAAATTGTGAAAGTTAACATTGAGAATTCCGTAAATTACCAAGTTACCACAGGCTTGCAACAATACAAGGAGTGTTTATTCAAGAAAAACTGATGAATCTCAGTAAGAACAGTGAGTTGGTGGCAGTGTAACTTAGTCTGACCCCGTCCTCTCTTTCATACCTGCATGGTAGCCTTGAAAATTAGCAGCTTCAAAAACACTGTAGAGGTCAAGTAGACTTGAAGCATCTGAAATGGGCCAGTTGTATTTGGAACCCCCGACTAAAAATTTCACTCCCAGAGCATTGCCACAATTTGACCTGTCTCATACCTCCCTGGAAAAACCCTACTCATAGGTCATTGTCACTGTTTGACCTGAAATGGAGCTCATCTGAGGGGGAAAGTCAATAGTACTGGCATTTATAGCAAACAATCATTGTCAAGTTTTAAACATCATAGCTGCTTGAAGTTGAGAGACCATCTGGAGCAAAGAAGAGTTTGTGAAGAAACTTAAAAGAAGTTTTAGGGAAGGAAATATCCACTGGAGACTTTGCAAAACTCCTAATTTATTCCTGGGGAATACAGAAGGCTGTGTGCATGCATAGGGCTATACATATGATGAAGAAAGACCTGAAGGGGACCCAGTCTCTCTTCTGGCTGATGTTGAGGCCCTGTGCAGAATTGTAAATTGCCTAAATTTTGGAGGCATGCTCCAACACATATAAACAGCCCCTTGGCAAAGGGTGGAAGACTTACTGATTTAAGGCATTTAAGGAAATGTCTGGCCAGTTGTTAGCTGGCCACTGAGCTAAATGAATGGACCATTCTGTGGCCAGACTCTACAGGGAATATAGACTTTATAATATTAGCACAAAAGTGTCACTGAACAAACAACAATAAAATAGCAATAACAAAATATCCTCAGTGGGAGGGTCTGATTTCCAGTGTTGACACATTATATCATCCAAGATGTTCAGTTTTCAACAAAAAATCACAAAGCATGTCAAAAAGCCAAACTAGGAAAATACGGCCTATACACAGGAAAAAAGCAAGGCAAACTATTTCTGAAAGGACCAATATGTTGGATTTACTAGGCAGATTTTAAATCAATTATTATAAGTATGTGCAAAGAACTGCAGGAAACCATGTCTAAAGAATTAAAGGAAAGTGTGGAAATGATGTCACATCAAGTAGATAATATAAAGAGACAGAAATTATCAAAATGAACCAAATGGAAATTCAGAAGTTGAACAGTAGAATAACTGAAATGAACAATTCACTAAAGGGGGTCAATGATGGATTTGAACTGGCAGAAAAAAGAGTCAGCTAATTTGAAAATAAGTCATCACTTTTGACCTCATAAAGATAAAAAGGATTATAAGGGCATACTATGAAAAAATGTATGCCAATAAATTAGATAACTTAGATGAAATTTCTAGAAAGACAAACTGTTAAAACTGACTGAATAAGAAATAGAAAAAATGAAGAGACTTATAACAGAGATTGGATTAGTAATTAAAAACATCCCACAAAGGATGTGACTACAAGCAGGCATAGTTCATTAAATACAAGAAGATAACCCAGAGGACTGTATTTGGAGATCAGGTACTACAGTGTGTTCTCTAGCCCCTAATGATTCTGTCTCTTCCACACACAATACAACATTGTTCTAATATCCTCCCAGATCTCATCTTCTTACAGGATTAGTTTCAGGCTTCCTAATCAAGGATCTTGTCATCTAAATTAAATATATATATACATGAGGCTCCTTGGGTACATATCCTCAGGTGCACCTCCTTGAATATTGTTCCTTTCAATCTTGATGACATGTGAACTGAGGACACAAATCATCTGCTCCCTCACATTCCCGTACTATAATGATGAGACACAGAAAGAAGCACCACTATAGACACTTTCATTTAAAAAGTAGAAAAACAGAAGGCACCTAGCAGTCACTGATCCATGGCAGCACTGAAAACTTGATGGGCAAGTTCTCTTTGTTCTAGGGGAAAAATATTACTTGCTTTGGGCAAAATTCTGCTCCTTGGGAATGCTTCTCTGTGGCTGTTCTTTATGCTCTCTGAACCTTCTTCCTTTTACATAAGAATGGCTCATAATTGTAGTTGAGTAGATTTCTCAGCCTGATTCCTGTCCATAGAAGATTGGGGAACCTTGAGACCTCTTTGCATGCTGAAAAGAATTGTCCCTATCAAGCTGGAGTTGCATCTAATGATACAATTCAGTTAAAAACTTTGTTTTCATACTATCAGAGAATACTAGAAATACCTCTATGCAAATAAACTAGAAAATCTAGAAGTAATGGATAAATTCCAGGAAACATACAACCTCCCAAGTCGAAACCAGGAAGAAGTCAAATCCCTGAATGGACCAATAATAAGTTCTGAAATTGAGGCAATAATTAATAGCCTCCCAACCAAAAAAAGTCCAGGACCAGATGGATTCACAGCCGAATTCCACCAGAGGTACAAAGAGGAGCTTGTACCATTCCTTCTGAAATTGTTCCAAACAATAGAAAAAGAGAGAATCCTCCCTAACTCATTTTATGAGGCCAGCATCATCCTGATACCAAAACCTGGCAAAGACAAAACAAAAAAAGAAAATTTCAGGCCAAAGATGAACATCGATGCAAAAATCCTCAATAAAATACTGGCAAACCAAATCCAGCAGCACATCAAAAAGCTTATCGAACACGATTAAGTTGGCTTCATCCCTGGGATGCAAGGCTGGTTCAACATACACAAATCAATAAATGTAATAAATGTAATACATCACATAAACAGAACCAATGACAAAAACCACATGATTATCTCAATAGATGCAGAAAAGGCCTTCAAGAAGATTCAACAGCCCTTCATGCTAAAAACTGTCAATAAATGAGGTATCGAAGGAACGTATCTCAAAATAATAACAGCTGTTTATGACAAACCCACAGCCAATATCATACTGAATGGGCAAAAACTGGAAGCATTCCCTTTGAAAACCAGCACAAGACAAGGATGCCCTCTCTCACCACTCCTATTCAACATAATATTGGAAGTTCTGGCCAGGACAATCAGGCAAGAGAAAGAAATAAAGGGTATTCAAATAGGAAAAGAGAAAGTCAAACTGTCTCTGTTTGCAGATGACATGATAGTATATTTAGAAAACCTATAATCTCAGCCCAAAGTCTAGTTAAGCTGATAAGCAACTTCAGCAAAGTCTCAGGATACAAAATCAATGTGCAAAAATTACAAGTGTTCCTGTACACCAATAACAGCCAAAATCATGAGCGAACTCCCATTCACAATTGCTACAAAGAGAATAAAATACCTAGGAATCCAGCTTGCAAGGGATGTGAAGGTCCTCTTCAAGGAGAACTACAAACCACTGCTCAAGGTGGTGAGAGAGGGCACGAACAAATGGAAAAACATTCCATGCTCATGGATAGGAAGAATCAATATCATGAAAATGGCCATACTTCCCAAAGTAATTTGTAAATTCAATGCTATCCCCATCAAGCTACCATTGACTTTTTTCACAAAATTGGAACAAACTACTTTAAATTTCATACGGGACCAGAAAAGAGCCCACATAGCCAAGACAATCCTAAGCAAAAAGAACAAAGCTGGAGGCATTATGCTACCTGACTTCAAACTATGCTACAAGGCTACAGTAACAAAAACAGCATGGTATTGGTACCAAAACAGGTATATAGACCAATGGAACAGAACGGACGCCTCAGAAATAACACCACACATCTACAACCATCTGATCTTTGACAAACCTGACAAAAACAAGCAATGGGGAAAGGATTCCCTACTTAATAAATGGTGTTGGGAAAACTGGCTGGCCATATGCAGAAAACTGAAACTGGACCCCTTCCTTACACCTTATACAAAAGTTGATTCAGGATGGATTAAAGACTTCAATGTAAGATAAAACCATAAAAACCCTAGAAGAAAACCTGAGCAATACCATTCAGGACATAGGCATGGGCAAAGACTTCATGACTAAAATACCAAAAGCAATGGCAACAAAAGCGAAAATTGACAAATGGGATGTAATTAAACTAAAGAGCTTCTGCACACACCAAAAGAGACCATCAGAGTGAACAGGCAACCTACAGAATGGGAGAAAATTTTTGCACTCTATCTGTCTGACAAAGGGATAATATCCAGAATCTACAAAGAACTTAGCAAATTTACAAGAAAAAAACAACCCCATCAAAATGTGGGCAAATGATAGGAACAGACACTTCTCAAAAGAAGACATTTATGCAGCCAACAAACATATGAAAAAAGCTTATCTTACTGGTCATAGAGAACTGCAAATCAAAACCACAATGAGATACCATCTTACACCAGTTAGAATGGTGATCATTAAAAAGTCAGGAAACAACAGATGCTAGAGAGGATGTGGAGAAATAGGAACACTTTTACACTGTTGGTGGGAGTGTAAATTAGTTCAACCATTGTGGAGGACAGTGTGGTGATTCCTTAAGGATCTAGAACTAGAAATACCATTTGACCCAGCGATCCCATTACTGGGTATATACCCAAAGGATTATAAATCATTCTTCTATAAAGACACATGCACACGTATGTTTATTGTGGCACTATCCACAATAGCAAAGACTTAGAATCAACCCAAATGCCCATCAGTGATGGAATGGATAAAGAAAATGTGGCACATATACACTATAGAATACTATGCAGCCATAAAAAAGAATGAGTTCATGTCCTTTGGAGGGACATGGACTAAGCTGGATGCCATCGTTCTCTGCAAACTATCACAAGAACAGAAACCAAACACCACATGTTCTCACTCATAAATGGGAGTTGAACAATGCGAACGCATCACACACTGGGGCCTATTGGGGGATGGGGAATAGGGGAGGGAGAGCATTAGGAGAAATACCTAATGTAGATGACGGGTTGATGGGTGCAGTGAACCACCATGGCAAATGTAACAAACCTGCACATTCTGCACTTGTACCCCAGAACTTAAAGTATAATAATAATAATAAATAAAAAACACTGTTTTCTGTAAATTACTTATTTTCATTCCATTAAACAAAAATCCTACCCTTAAATTTCTTCAAAATATTCTCCTCTAACTTTGGCTGACAATTGGGATACTGTGGAACAATGCCTTTAAGATTCTTAGTAGCCCTATTGACTGGCTGAGATAGTGGATGAGGAGTCAGATGCCTAAAAGTGAGATGACAGAGGTTTCCATCTCCTGGCTCATGAAAGCATGGGATTATGTGACTGAGGTGGGATGGAGGACAAAAGTCCCAGAGGACAGGAGCTTAAGCAGTTGAGAGGTGAGGCATGGAAGGATTTGTCTGTAATGTGATGTAAGTAGCTACTGAAGTTTTGTTTTCAGTGGTTAGAGTCAGAGTTCTGAAATACTATAGGTGGATTTACCATGAAGCCAATGAAGCTATAATTGTCAGGGTCCTTACTTACACAGGGGCAATTTAACATTCATAATTTAATTTTTTTCCTATAGTCTATCCCTGTTCCCCAACTGTATATGCTTCAGTTTTCACAAAACCTGGACACATTCTAGATTTTATAGAGTGAAGTAGAAACCACACAAATGATTATGGTAGTAGTGTTGGAGAGTAGTAGGGTAACAGTGAGCTTCAGAAAATAAGGTGGAGGGATTTCATAGTCTGAGGATGATGGCAAGTTGGGGAGAGCAAGTAGGTGGTACAGAGTAGTGATCGGAGATTCAGTAAATGTAGCCTGCTGTCGGCTGCTGCTTTTTACAAATACAGTTTTCTTGGAACATAGACATGTCCATTCATTTGTGTATTGATTATCGCTGGTTTTATGCTATAATGGCAATATTAAATAGTTGAAATGAAGGCTGCATGGCACACAAAGCTTAAAATACAGTTGACCCTTGAACAACATGGTTTGAACTGCATGATTCCACTTATATGTGGATTTGTTTCTATAAATATGTCAGATGAATTTTAGGAGATTTATGAGAATTTGTAAAAACTCACAGACAAACCATATAGCCTAGAAATACTAAAAAAAAAAAAAAAACTAAGAAAAAGATTGTTATGAAAGCATAAAATATATGTCCATACTAGTCTGTTTTTTCATTGACTACCATAAAATATGTACAAATCTAAAATTTGTATCTATCTTAAATAAAATATATAAAAAATAGATAAAAAGTTGAAATTTATCAAAACTCATGCATACACATGCTTATAGACCATACACAGCATCATTTTCTCCATAAATGCCACAAAGGACATTTATGGGGAGAAATATAAACAAATGTAAAAATGCAGTATTAAATCATAACTGCATAAAATTAACTGTGATACTTTACTACTATAATAATTTTGTAGCTACCTCCTGCTCCATTTGTGGTGGGCTGAAGTGTTGTGAGATCTATTTAAAATACCTTGTGATGTTAATCATCTCCCCATGAGCAGTTCTCTCTTAAGCTGCATATCATGGTAAAAAGTGATTTCTCAAGGTTCTTGTGTATTTTTCATTGTGTTCAGTGTAATACTGTAAACCTTAAATAGCACCCTGGGACCCATATGAAATGCCACTAGTGATGCTAAAAGTGCTTCTAAGAAGCAGAGAAAAGTCATGACGTAATAACAAAAAGTTGAATTGTTTGATAAGTATTGTAGATTGAAGTTTGCAGCTGTTGCCTGCCATTTCAAGATAAATGAATCCAATGTAAGGACCATTGTAGAAAAAAAACAAAAGGGAAATTCATGACACTGCTGCTGTGGCTACACCAGTAGGCATAAAAACTTTTTGTGATATAGTCCTTAATCTCACATTGAAGATGCATCTTTTATGTTGGTGCAAGATTACCATAAGAAAGCTATATCTCTAGACTCTAATATGATTATAGAAAAAGCAAAGTCATTATATGACTGATTAAAGCAAAAGAAAGATGAAGGATCTAAAGCTGGAGAATTTACTGCCAGCAAAGGATGATTTGATACTTTTAGAAAGAGGTTTGGCTTTGAAAATGTCAATGTAACAAACAGGAGAAGGAACTGCTGACCAAGAGGCGGCAGATGAGTTCCCAGGCACCATTAAGAAAATCATTGATGAGAAAGCATATCTGCCTGAACAGGTTTTTAATGCCGGTGAAAATGCCCTATTTTGGAAAAAAAAAAAAATGCCACAAAGGACATTCCTTATTAGTAAGGAAGAGAAGTGAGTGCTAGCATTTAAGGCAGGAAGGGATAGGCTAACTCTGTTTTGTGGAAATATTGTTACTTTTATGATCAGGACTTGCCTTATTTATAAAACTGCTAACCCCTAAGCCTTGAAAGGAAGAAACACTAGCTGCCAGTCTTTTGGTTATACAGCAAGAAAGCCTGGACAATGAGAACACTTTTTCTGGATTGATCCCAATGATATTTTATTTCTGGAATTAGTAAGTATCTTGCATTTAAGGGACTGCCTTTTAAAATTCTTTTGATATTGGACAATGGTTGTGGCTACCAGAACCCCATGAGTTAAACACTGAAGGTATCAGCATGGTCTACTTGCCACCAAACACAGTGCCTGTAATTCAGCCTCTAGATCATGGATCATAGGACTTTTTAGGACTCATTACAGGCTTTTTACTCAATAAAAGGCTTTGAAAATGTCAACATTTTTGAAGAAAGTGGAAAGAAAATGGTTTTTCTATGGAAGAACCCCTAATAGAGAGGATATCATGAAAGTCTGAGAGGATTACACCATTGAAGATGCCACTGTTGTAGAAAAAGCCATAAAAGCTATCAAGCCTGAAACAATAAATTCCTGCTGGAGAAAACTATGTCCAGAGTGCATAACTTCATGGGATTTACAGCAGAGCAATCAAGGAAATCATGAGACTGTGGATATGGCAACAAAAAAAAAATGGTTGGGGGTGAAGGGTTTCAAGATACGAATCGTGGACAGATTCAGGAGCTAATAGACACCACACCAGAGGAATTTAAAGAAGACACCTTGATGGAGATGAGTGCTTCTGAACCATTGGCAGATGATGAGGAAGAAGATGTAGAAGAAGCAGTGTCAGCAAACAAATTGACATTAAACAATCTGACAGTAGGGTTCCAGTTACTCAAGACTGCTTTTGACTGCTTTTACAACATGGATTTATTTTTATATGGGCACTGAAACTAAAGCAAATGGTGGAAGAAGGATTGGTACTGTTTAGAAACATTTTTAGAGAAATGAAAAAAACAAAAAGACAAATTATGATGTATTTCTGTAAAGTTACACTGAGTGTGCCTGCCTCTCCTGTTTGCCCTTCCACCTCTTCCACCTTGTCAGCCTCTGCCACCCTGAGACAGAAAGACCAACCCCTCCTCTTCCTCCTCAGCCTACTCAGAAGGCATGGAAGATGAAGACCTTTATGATGATCCACTTACACTTATTAGTAAATGTATTTTCTTTTCCTTGTGATATTCTTGATAACATTTTCTTTTCTCTAGCTTACTTTGTTATAAGAATACAGTTAATAATACATAATACGTGCAAAATCAACCCACAATGTGTTAACTATTTACGTTATCAGTAAGATTCCCAGTCAACAATAGGATATTAGTAGTTAAGTTTTGGGGGAGTCAAAAGTTGTAAGTGGATTTTTAACTGGGGGGTGTGGAGGGCAGTTGGCATCTTTAACGCCTGCATTTTTCATGGGTCAACTGTATTTACTGTATTGCGTTTTAAGAAAATGTTTGTCAGTTCCTAGTCTAGTAACAGAAATGTGAAACAAGGCAACATCACCAAGGCCCAGCAATGAAAGCAGAATGTGAGAAGAAATACTCATCATATCTCATTGAGAAATACTCATCACTCATCACTTTGTATCCTGCAGAGGATACAAAGCACTAAGAGAGGCAGTTTCAGATAGACTGGGAAGGTAAAAGGAACATATATAGAAAAGAGGTTGACAATCTGAGGGATTTTGCTGATAACTGACTGTGAGCTCCAAAAGTCACAGTAGAAGGGTTCTTCAGGAGCTGGAGTGGGTGGGATGTGGCATCTGAAAGAGATGTGCAAATCCTCTTGCTGTTTAGACTGCAGGGGAAGAGGGGGATGATCTGAGAATCCTGAGCTTCTTGCTGCAGCATGAGTAGAGACATATGATGAGTCCAGATGGTCTTAAGGCTAAGGAGGATGTTCAGACTGTGAATCTGGTGGGGCAAGGAAGGGTATGGGGCTTCCTAGGCAGGAGTACATTGAGGTCAGAAACTCTATCCTGGCCCCAGCTGGTGGATGTTAGAGCAGAGGGGATGCCCATGTGGCTTGAACTGTCTGAGTCCACTCTATAGAAATGAGCACCCAGGTATGGCTGCTAAGTGTGTGAGCTTACTTTTCCAAAATTGGTTAAAGATGTTATGTGCGTTTGCAAACCCATAGTGTGTGTAGATTCATGAAGCACGACCACATGAGGAGTCTCAGATCACCTGCCACTGTGTGGGCATTGAGTATATGTGGTCTGAATGAAGTCTACTGTAAATCTTTGCTTTTGATCAATTCTGCCTCAATCATTGGTTTATATATTTATTGCATTTCATACAGTATTAAATTCCCTATTTCAAACATACAGTACTATTTCTAATATGGATACTATAATAATGTACATAAAGGAGTAGAAATGATTGTTCTCTGCTTTAAGTGCTTCATCACTGCATTGTGTTAGCCACTGTCAAACTGACTTTCATCCTCAGCCCACACCAAGAGTTAGTGGTAGGTTGTCATAAGGCTGAATTCTGAGGTACACATTATTTTTCTTCATATTGTGGAATTTCTGAAATCAGTGCATCAGCCACTGCTCTCCGTGTAATAGCTGCGACATAATTATTGCTGCTAGAACATACATGTTGAATCATGCAGAATGGGTGTGAACACCCTGGAAGAAAACCCAGAGACCTCAGGAGACTGTGCTTTGGCAGTGCTCTTATGCACCAGTACTCCTCATGAAACAAAGGTTGTGGGAAAAGGCAAGCATTGATAAATCTTAGTTGAAAAATAAGATTCAGGCTCCAAATGGGAAGAGCTTTTTAGAATGACTTAACCAATTAACTTACGTTTTCCCCTTATGTGTGTGTATATGTATGTATATGTATATACACACATACACATACATATAGTTTGATATGGTTTTTCTCATATATTGCCATATGTATATCTGTCTCCAAGGATTTAATCTAAAAATTATAATAAACCTTACTGTGTCAATTAACTTTTCTCATATATAGGCAATATATGATAAAAACCATATCAGATTCTCAAAGAGCACTTGCATTGAGTGTAAGGTGTAGTTCTAAGTGATAAAATATGCAACATACTGTAATTAGCATGTTTTCTTTCTTAGTAGTATATAAAATAATTATGGTCCTTATGATCAGTGGCATCTTAGAGTCAATGAAGTATGGTAGGTAATATCAGTAAGGACCTCAGTTCAGTGTCTGTTGCCTCAGTTCATGGCTGTTGACATGCCACAAACTACAGAAATACTGTTAAGTGTAGTTACTGATGTTATCAGCATGTAAATGCATTATGTAGTTTAGTTTTTTTTTTTTTTGCTTAAACATTTTCTCTTTTAAATGAAACATTTAGAGAATTATAAAAAAAAGTAAGACCTTTTCTTTATATTTGAAAAATATCCATTATTAACATTTTAAGACTGGCTGCTGGCTAATCCCTGTGCAATGACCTTTCAATAATGGATATTAATTCCAGCTTCGGTTTTACCAGCAGCACTGTCAGAATAATGGATTTACATGACACACTGCAACAGTAAAAAACTGTGGCACCGCCAAAGAAGCATTTAAAGAAGTTATATTTGTCTCCATTGGTTTATGGAGTGTCAGAAATCAAACTACTCATTTCTTATTAGGTTTTTTATTAAACTGTTTGAGTTGGTATTTACTCAAGGACCAGAAAATCACTATAAGGATTGTTTGGGCTCTAAGAATAAAGAAAGTGTACTTTCGGCCGAGCAAGGTGGCTCACGCCTGTAATCCCAGCACTTTGGGAGGCCGAGGCGGTTGGATCATGAGTCAGGAGATCGAGACCATCTTGGCTAACACGGTGAAACCCCGTCTCTACTAAAAATACAAAAAATTAGCCGGGCGTGGTGGCGGGCGCCTGTAATCCCAGCTACTCAGGAGGCTGAGGCAGGAGAATGGCGTGAACCCAGGAGGCGGAGCTTGCAGTGAGCCAAGATCGCGCCACTGCAGTCCGGCCTGGGCGAAAGAGCGAGACTCCATCTCAAAAAACAAAAAGAAAGTGTACTTTCTAGCTCTCTTCTATTTCTTTACTTTTAAGAATAACATTCAAAATAATTTTGTACAGCAGGGGCTGACGAACTTTTCCTGCAGAACACCAGATAGTATATATATTTAAGACTTGTGGGCCATATTGCTTTTGTTGCTGCTACTTAATTCTGCCAACATAGCATGGTGATGAGCCATAGAGAATCTGTGAAAGAATGGCCATAACTGGTGTTGATAAAATTTTATTTACAGAATTAGGTGGGTAGCCCACAGGCCATGGCTTGCCAACCTCTGTCCAATAACTAATTCAAACGCTTCCCAAACTACTCTCAAATCTTCACGCGTCAACATATTTATAAAATTTAGTTATTAAATTGTGATTTAACTGAAGTAACAGGGACATTACATGTGAGTAAATAATTTGAGATTGAGGCTGCTGCTCCCACAGTAGTATGGAGATGTATGAAGGAAAAAGGGAAAATCTAAGGATTTAGTCTAAAAATAATAAATAAATTTTACTATGTCAAATAACTTCTCCTACATAATAAACCATCCAAAGCTAAGCGACTTAAAATAACACATATTTGCTCACTGTTGTGTGCTTTGGCAGCATGGTCTGGGCTCCGTGGTGTGTTGTGTGCTTTGGCAGCATGATCTGGGCTCCACAGTGTCAGCTGGGCTTGCTCACATACTGGGAGCCTCAGTATGGGGAGGGTGGACCTCTCTCTCTACATGATCTCTTATACTCAAGGAGGCTAGCTCAGGTTTTTAAACATGGTGGCAGTATTTGAAGACGGCCTGAGTGGAAGCTGCAAGGCCTCTTGCTGCCTAGGCTTGGAAATCTCATGTTAATTTCATCACATTTTATTGGTTGAGAGAATCACTAAGCCATATTGGTTCAAGGGGTGGAGAAAGAGACTCTAGCTCTTAATGACAGTAATTTGTGGCCATCTTTAATCTACCACAGTTACCTAGAAGTTTGGAATCGGAACTCTACATGACATTCTGATTGGTGCATCTAGTTCAGGGATTGGCAAATTTTATTCTGTAAAAGTCTCGACAAGAAATATTTTAAGCTTTATGGGCCATACAGTCTCTGGTACAACTATTTAAATCCACTCTTGTAGCACAAAAACAGCTGTAGACAATATATAAATGAATGTGTGACTGTGTTCCAGTAAAACTTTATCCCAGATCTAGAGTTTGCCACCCCAGATCTAGTTCATTAAGTCATTGAACAGATATTTGTAGGTATTGTTCCATGTGCAAAGAATACAGCAATGAATAAAACTGACCAAAATCCCTGCCTTCATGGAGCTTACATTTTTGTGGAAAAAATAAAAAACAAACAAAATTAAGATGATAAGTTTGTTAGATGATGCTAGATGTTAGTTAATAAATACTGAGAATAAATAAAATGAAGAAAGGGGATATGACGTATCTGGATGGGAGTAGAGGTTGAAGTCCTTCACTGGGTAGCCTCATGGTGAAGGTGATTGTTAAATAAAAGCTTGAGACAGTGAAGCAGCAAGCCATGCAGATACCCAGGGGAAGAGAACAGCAAGTGCAAAAGCTCAGAGTGGGCGCACACCTGGCATATCAGTGGAATAGCCTGTAGAATGTGTGGTTGCAGTAGATTAAATGCTGGGAAGAGCAGTAAGAAAAATCAGCAGAGCTTGTTGATGCGGTCGGAGTACACAGGTGCATTTTTGTCAAAACCTATTTGAAAGCATTAAAATCATTTGGGAACTTGTGACTGTCTACCTGTCTGTCTTGGTTGGCTAACTTGTATAGATTAGACCGGTGGTTTGGGAAGCAGATTCAGGGGAGTGCCTAGAAGCTTCCCAGGTGAAGCTATAATCATAATCTAGGTTAGAAAACCATTGTACTAGACTCAGCTCCCATTAGACTGGAATCTCTTGTATTCTATCATCTTGAGAGATTACTGTGAGAATCTATCTGGGGTTAGAAAATCCTTTTTCCTACAAGGCAGCATACTCCACCTTTGAAAAATTCTAATTGTTACAAAGTGTTTCTTTCTACTGAACTGAAATTTCTTCTCTGTAATTTCTACTCTATTTGACTCTGGTTTTCCTCTTTGAAACTACTTAAACAATATTTGTTGTTTTGGTTTACCTATAGGAGGAATAAAACACCTTACAGTATTATATGCAAGTAAAGTTTAAATTATAGTAATACCACACTTGGTCTTTTGTAATATCTTACATTTAAGATGCTAGAAATATTTTTTTTTGCAGCTAACTGTTGATGAGAAGGATGTTTATTTCTTTTTTTTTTCTTTTTCTTTTTCTTTTCTTTTTCTTCTTCTCTCCTCTCCTCTCCCCTCCTCTCCCCTCCCCTCCCCTCCCCTCCCCTCTTTTTGAGACGGAGTCTTGCTCTGTCACCTAGGCTGGAGTACAGTGGAGTGATCTCGGCTCACTGCAAGCTCTGCCTCCCAGGTTCACGCCATTCTCCTGCCTCAGCTTCCCGGGTAGCTGGGACTACTGGCGCCCACCACCATACCTGGCTAATTTTTTGTATTTTTAGTAGAGACAGGGTTTCACCATGTTAGCCAGGATAGTCTTGATCTCCTGACTTGTGATCTGCCTGCCTCGGCCTCCTAAAGTGCTGGGATTACAGGCCTGAGCCACCGCGCCCGGCCCAAAACATATTTATTTCTTTACTACTGTGTATCATAACTATCCCCTGTTACAGTATCTGCCAAAACACTGGGCATTCCTTGATATTAACATTCATTTTGGGCCGGGCGCGGTGGCTCATGCCTGTAATCCCAGCACTTTGGGAGGCCGAGGCGGGCAGATCACGAGGTCAAGAGATCGAGACCATCTTGGCCAACGTGGTGAAACCCCGTCTCTACTAAAAATACAAAAATTAGCTGGGCTTGGTGGCGTGCACCTGTAGTCCCAGCTCCTCGGGAGGCTGAGGCAGGCGAATCACTTGAACCCAGGAGGTGGAGGTTGCAGTGAGCCGAGATCATGCCACTGCACTCCAGCCTGGCAACAGAGCGAGACTCCGTCTCCAAAAATATAAATAAATAAAAATTCATTTTACTTCATTATTGAGGAGAATGTATTCAGTTATTCTAGTTGTTTTTCAAGTTGGTCAGCTGTTGTTGAATTACAAACCACCATAACTCAGTGAAATGAAGCAAAAATTATCTGTTATATTGACTCTTGTCTGTAGGTTGGCAGAGAACTCAGCTGTAGGCTGGGCTGTGACATTACATTAACAAATTGCCAGCGTTGGGTCAGTTTAGGCGGGGGTAGCTCCAATGGACCAATAAAGTTGGGTTCTAGTACAGTTCTGTTTGGTTCTAGATGAAGTCCTACTAATCCTTAAATGCACTCAATGTCCATAGTCAATACCACCAAAATAATCATTTTAGTCTTTCATGACATAAGGGCCCAGTGCAACTCCCTGACTGCCTTGACTTAATTTCCTTGATGGTCCCGGACATTTCGTCTCAGTTTTCTGAACCCTATCTTTTTGAATGTGTTCTAATAGCAGTTTCTGTGTCCCCCTTCCTTAGAGTTGTGGTGATTTTAAGGGTTCATAGTTTTAAGTTTTTTAAGGTAATCTAGAAAAAACATATTTCATTAGAAAATATTTTACACTTCTGTGTTTAGTGAAATTTCATTTGTTTAACGTATAGTTTCTTATTGAGATATACTTCACATATCGTAAAATCCATCATTTTGAAAGTACATAATTCAGTATATTTTTTAGTATATTCACGAGGTTGTGCAACTATTTTCACTATGTAATTCCAGAATATTTTCATCTCTGCAAAAAATCCCATGTACCCCCTTAGCAGGCACTCTTCATTCACTCCTTTCCCAGTTGCTGGCAACCACTAATCTCTATGGATTTGCCTATTCAGGATATTTTATATAGATGGAATCATACAATACCTGGTCTTTGTGTCTGGCTTCTTTCACTTCACATTTATGTATAAATTTTAATGTTAATAGAAAAGGCAAAAATAATCTAATTTAAAATATCAGTACCTGGCTGGGCGTGGTGGCTCATGCCTCTAGTCCCAGCACTTTGGGAGGCTGAGGCAGGTGGATTGCTTGAGGCCAGGAGTTCGAGACCAGCCTGACCAACATGGCGAAACCCTGCCTCTACTAAAAATATGGGGGAAAAAGAAAAAGCCGGGCAGGGTGTTGCACACCTGTAGTCCCAGCTACATGGGAGACTGAGGCACAAGAATTGCTTGGACCTGGGAGGCAGAGGTTGCAGTGAGCCGAGATTGTGCCACTGCACTCCAGCCTGGGTGACAGAATGACACCCTGCCTCAACAACAAATCAGTACTCAAGAAGCTCTTATATGTTCAGATAATGGGCTTATTTTCATCAGGTGTTTAAACTTGCCTTATTTCTTACTACCTTGATATTGCTAAAACTTTGCATTAACAAATCGCCCCTATTTGCTTCAAAGAGTATTTAAACATGTCTACATGAAGGTTTGACTGAAGCAAATTCTAATGATATTGAAGAGTAAGTTTAATTTAGGAGTTTTGCTCCAACTTTTAGAAATTTTTCTCGTTTTAATGAATCATGGAAATGTGTGAATATAAGGAAGAATGCTCCCTCCAAAAAATTGAACTTTAATTACACAAAATGGGCATTGCTTGAATTTGACATGAAGTTACTCATTAAGGTAATGTTACCAAACTTTAAGAATAGTATGAAGTGTATGCCAAGTTGGCTCTTCTTTCTCTCAAGATGCGCTTTGGGAACTCTTCTCTGCTAAGCTAATACTTAAAGATAAAGTTGAGTTAAAGCTTGGCAACAACAAGGAATCTTTTTGTTAACTTTTATTTTAGGTTTGGAGGTACATGTGAAGGCTCGCTACATAGGCAGACATGTGTCACGGGGGTTTGTTGTACATGTTATTTCATCACCCAGGTATTAAGCCCAGTACTTAATAGTTATGTAAGGATATGCCTTCTTTCTTGGACAACAACACACTGCAGTTTTATTTTTCAATGCTGTGGGTAAAAACAAGACAAAACTGGGTAACTGGAAAATCCTCTATTGAACTCGATATATACATGACAGTGTTATCTCTGAATGGAATCATGAGATCCTTAGTGGAATCATGTAATAGGCAAGGTTTTCTTTTGGCTTATAGTGCTACAAAGCATATCTTTCATCTCTGGTCTTGATGTTCATATTAATGCTAACCAACAATTTACTGTGCTTAATGAATCAGTGGAAAAGCCAGTACTTTTCATTTACTTGGTTTCCTGATTGTAAAGTGGCCATAATAATACTTGACTCATCTAGGTACTCGGCAGGTAAATAAATTTTTTGAGGCTTTTGAGATCCCCTTCCGAAAAGATGCTATAGTTCCCAAAACATTATCTTACAAGTAGGCTACAAAATGAATTCCTTATATATAAATGTCTGTTTCTATACATTTCTATTGATGAATTCAAGTATATAATTAGATTTAGGTTCTAACGGAAAACCATAAAATACATTGACTTGAGAAGGCAGGAATTGGGAGAATATTTCAGTGTAGGAGTAAAAAGTGATTTCCAGCTTGAATTGTCTGTCACTTTGTGCTTCTTCAGGGTGAGTCTACCTAGAGGTGATGGCCAGTCTCCTGCCTTATCTGGTTATTTCTGTGTCCTGCTCGATGAGGGAGTATACTATTTGAATTTTTCTTCCATAAAACAAAAAATGTAGAGATTTGAAATTCCATTGGCTACATGGAATCTCATACATACTCAAATAATCTGTTTTCTTAGTCCCAGTTCTGTAGTGGATAATTGTCCTATATGTGGTTAACCACATAGCTGTGTCATACATTTATAATTCTCGAGGGTCAAACTTTTTATCTTTTCTGATGGTCCTCCAGGGTCAAATTTTATCTTCTCATCTTCTTTAAGGAAATATTATAAAACTATTCTGTTCTAACTATATCACAAAACTATAGTATTATAAAATGTGTTCTTTAAAAGCTATTAGAAATCCTAAAATGTGTGCTAAAAGAAAAGTGTGATTATCCAGGTTGGAAGAGTATAACAAATCTGCAATAAATAAATTCAGCTTTTGAAAATTTTTTTATACTCATGAAAAGGTATTATTGTGAGGATACAATGAAATAGTAGATAGGAAGGTGCTATTAAGTAGCCAAAGCTGTTCGTACCTGTGTTTAGTATTAAAGAATTAGGTGGACAACATTACATTGTGGTGATACCAAAAGTCTGGAGCCAGACTTCCACACTTCGAAAATCCTGGCTCTGGCATATGCCACTGGCGTTAGCCCTATACTGGTGACTTAATGTGTCTGTCCCTCAGTTTTCTCCCATGTGATAGGATAATAATAGTATACCCACTCACCATTGTCTTACAGTTGTGACAAAATCTAAACAAGTTGATATGGGTAAAGCATTTGGACCAGTGTCCCACACATAGTAAGCATCACAGAAATATTAGTTACTATATTAGTGACATTTTTCACATTCTCAGAATTTCTACCCTTGTTTCTCCCAGTAATGCTTTGTACTTGGGCAGCTCTGTGCATTTGCTTCTTAATCTCAAGCTGCTGAACCCTCTTGAGGTGTGAAGGAGAAACGAGCTGTAGAGCATGTCCTGTGTGTGGCACTACGTGCAAAGCTGTACACATGTTACCCTCTTCTGTCCTTACAGGAGGGCTGTGAAGTTGGTTTCCTTGTCGATAAAAATAGAGCTTAAGTCTTCTTTACAAAGTTCATAAGAGTTAAATGAGATAATGTATGTAAAGCACTTTATGTAATGGACTCTAACAAATAATAGCTATTATTTTCACTACTATTCTGGTAGCTTCCTTGGTAAACAATAACTCCTTGGTAGATGAAGTGAAGATTTGATTTTTAGACTTTCTCAAATGTTCCTGGTTAAAGTAATAGAAAAAAAAATGTCACTTTTATTTTACTCTCATATACTCACCTGTGTAAAACAACAGAAACACAATTCCATCTTCAAGGAAATTTTTAAAAAACCCTACAACACTCCAAGCCAAAGCCTTCGAAGGATACTGGCCAAATATTGTGAATTCTCTAGAAATATGGGCAGTATATGCTTCTGTAGATTTCAAACAAAGTATATATCTCCCCTCCACCCCCCAAACAAGTGCTGCAGTCCTGGAAGACATATCTAAAAAGTCTTTGGTGACAGTACTGAGATACAGGGCAGCCAGGCAGTGATGTCCCTATGGTGATAACTCTTCAGAATTGCAAGGGCATTAGGGAAGCCAGGGGAAGTTGAGTGCTGCAGGAGAGACCATGCTGATAGACCATTTCTGTCATCTCTGGTCTTGCCTTTAAGCTTAAGAAAGTGATCTCAGGAAGCACATTAGGCAGAACTAGACAGGACCTTATGGCTGAATTGCCTTAGCTGTGGCCACATGGGTCTCTTGAGTGTTTAAGTAACAGGCACAAATGGAGGCCCCATCTCATTCTATGCATACCTCTGGCTCTGTCCCTCTCCACACTTCTTCAGCAGGTACCTGTTCTTTTTCAAAGATGAGTAACAATCAGGAAGGAACCTGTACATAAAAACTGGAGGGAAGAAACTTATACAAAAGGCAGAGAAAGGACAAATAATATAAGAGAAAAAGAAGACGAATCATACATAGTCTGTAAGAGATGCAAACACACTCACTCTAGAAAAAAAGAGTTCAATGAGAGGTTCAGGAGCACAAAGGAAGTGTGAGACAGAGAAGGAGATAAGGAGCAAACTGGGGAGCTTAGGAAGACATGGAAGTAGGGAATGTTAATATCACTGGACATTATAGATCACCAAGATGAGAGCCACACTAGAAGCTGCAAAAGACCAAATAAGCACAACTGAAAGCATCCTCAGGGAGGTGGCAGATAGGCTTTAGGTAGTCACACAAAATGACAGGAAATGAAACAGTGATTTAAACTGTGCATAGAGACAATGACGGAGATGTCATTGACAAAGGAGCTACATCATAAGCATGATTAGTATTTTTACAGAAGAAGTGAAAGGGAACCAGACAGGTGAAAGAGTTAAAAATAGAAAAGCAATGTTCCATAAATAAATGTGCAGATAAAAAGGGCACATTGTATGCTAGGAAATACAGATACAAAATGACATATTCCAGTGAGAGTATTAGCCATCAAGGACAGGGAAAGGAGTATTTGATGCTCCTGCAGAAAAAGTTAGTCATGTGCAAGGCACAGTAAGGGAGCGATGATGGGATCTGGAGTGAAAGCTGCCTGGAAAGGGCTGTTTTACAGGAACTATGCCCTTTGGGAGGGAGACTAGGCCTCACTCTTGTCCCGACCTTTGATTTCCTGCCTGTGGCTCCCTGTGGCTGCACCAGAAGACGAGAGTCCATTGATGCCATTCATACAGGTCGGCTGTTGGATGGGGAGCCGATCAGGAAGAGAAACAGAAAGCATTCAGCATGTGCATCAAAATATTTTTTTTCTTGCTATTCAATTAAGAAATTAAAACTTGTTTTAGACTCTTTAGGAACGGGTAATGCTAAAGATTAATAGTCATAGTGTTCCTTGCTGTCCTGCTTCCCTTTCTCACCATGCATGAGGATTTTAGCCTTACTGAGGTGCTATGTGAGAAATATGAGAGAGTTAATGCCTCTCACATATCTTTCATCTGCTTAGTTACA